>NC_000004.12:187406229-187709259 GCF_000001405.40 Homo sapiens | reverse complement strand
TGTAGTTCCATATACATTTTAGGATTTTTTTTCCTGTTTCTGTAAAGACTGTTATTGATATTTTGATAGAGATTGCACTGAATCTGTAAATTACTTTGAGTATGTTCATTTTAGCAATACTACTTCTTTCAATCCAAGAGCACTGTATATCCTTCCATATTTTCGTGTCCTCTTCAATTTTTTTCATCAGTATTTCATAGTTTTCCTTGTGTGGATCTTTCACTTTTTTACTTAAATTAATTCTTAGGTGTTTTATATTCTTTGAAGCTGTTGTAAATGAGATTGTGTTCTTGATTTCTTTTTCAGATTGCTTGCTATTGGCATATAAAACTGTTACTGATATTTGACCAGATGCAGTGGCTCACTCCTGTAGTCCCAGCACTTTGCGAGGCAGTAAATCACCTGAGCTCAGGAGTTTGAAACCAGCCTGGACAACATGGCAAAACCCTGTCTCTACAAAAAAATACAAAAATTAGCTGGATGCAGTGGCGTGTGCCTGTAGTCCCAGGTACTCAGGAGGCTGAGGCAGGAGAATTGCCTGATCCCAGTAGGTGAAGGTTGCAGTGAGCTGAGATCACATCATTGCACTCCAGCCTGGGTGACATTTGTAAAACCCTGCCTCAGAAAAATAAAAAAGTTACTGATATTTGTATGCTGATTTTTTATTCTGCAACTTTACTGAATACATTTATCAGTTCTAACTGATTTTGCTGGAGTCTTTAGGTTTTTCTAAGTATAACATTGTGCCATCTGCAAACAAGTCTAATTTGACTTCTTCCTTTCCAATTTGGATGCCCTTCATTTCTTTTTCTTGCTTAATTGCCCTGGCTCAGACTTGCAGTATTACATTGAATAAAAATGATGAAAGTGGACCTTCTTGTCTTGTTCCAGATCTCTGGGGAAAGGCCTTCAAATTTTTCCCATTCAGTATGATGTTAGCTGTGGGTTTGTCAGATATAGTCTTTATCATTTCGGGATGTGTTCCTTCTATCCAGATTATTGAGGGTTTTTATAATAAAGAATTGTTGAATTTTACTGAATATTTTTTCAGCATCTATTGAAATAATCATACAGTTTTTGCTTCTGGTTCTGTTAATATGATGTATCCTGTTTATTGATTTGCATATGTTGAACCATCCTTGCATTCCTAGGCTGAATCCCACTTAATCATGGTGAATGATCTTTTTAATGTGTTGTTGACTTCAGCTAACTAGTTGAGGGTTTTTGCATCTAAGTTCATCAATGATATTGGCTTGTGATTTTTTTTATTTTTTATTTTATTTTTTTGAGACAGAGTCTCACTCTGTGGCCCAGGCTGGAGTGCAGTGGTGCAATCTCAGCTCACTGCAACCTCCAGCTTCTGGTTTCAAACAATTCTCCTGCCTCAACCTCCTGAGTAGCTGAGACTACAGATACCTGCCACTATGCCTGGCTAATTTTTTGTATTTTTAGTAGAGACGGGGTTTCACCATGTTGGCCAGTATGGTCTCAAACTCCTGACCTCGTGATCTGCCCACCTTGGCCTCCCAAAGTGCTGGGATTACAGGTGTGAGCCACTGTGACTGGCCATTATTATTTTTTTATTTTGTCCTTGTCTGGCTTAAATGCCCTCTTCACTGGGGAGGACAGAGATGGGGAATGCAGAAGTAAATAATTTTCAGGGGAAATGAATGAGCCCAAAGAACAACGGCCTAGGACAAAGTTTCTGTGAGCTCCAGGGAGGTAGCCTCACAGGCTATGGGAGAATGAGGGGAGGAAATGTTGTCAATCAGAGCTGATCTTGTTATGCAAATGAAGCACTAGCTCTCAAAAAGAACAGATGCAAGGCTATAGTCTCAGATACTCAGGAGGCTGGGGTGGGAGGATCACTGGAGGCCCAAGAGTTTGAGACAAGCCTGGGCAACATAGCAAAATGCAATCTTTAAAAAAAAAGAAAAAAAAAAAAAGAATAGATGGGGGCCTGTCATCAGACTCTTAAAAATATTAGACTTTTGGTCTCTCCTGTGTATTTTTCCTACATTTGGACAAGGGTGGGCTTAGAAAAAGACTTTTTGTATCTGCTATTTACTTTGCTGTAGATTTTTCTCTACATGTGCAAACGTTCCATAAAAAAGACAACTTTCCAAATCTGTTCCTGTGGTTTGCAGCTTCTCTGAATAGCCATCTTGAAGCATGCCAAAGAAATATATTTTGGGTGAAATATTTTGCTTTCCTTCACAGTTTTACCCATCGCAGTTAATGGCAAATCCATTCTTCTTGTTCCTGAAGCCAAATGATGGACTCCTCCATCTTTCTTACCTCTTCTATATCCAGTTTTTTAGGAAAACCTATATGCTTTTACCTTTTAAATGTATCCAAGACCTGGTACATATCAGTCCCTCCACAGTTACAACCTTGGTGCAGCCACCCTTGTATCTCACCTGGATTATTTCAGTGGCCTCTCAACAGTTCTCCAGTACTTCCAGCCTTGATCTACTGAAGTTTCAACACAAAACCAGAATAATCCTCCAAAAATTCAGCAGCGATCACGTCACTTCTCAGCTTAAACTTCCAGTGGGTTCCTATTTCTCTTCAATTAAAAGCTCAAGACTTCGCATCACAGTGGTTTGCAAGATCCTGCACGGTCAGCCTTGCTCTATCACTCCAGTTAATTTCTTCCTGCCCTCTTCTTGTCCTGTCACAGAGCATGGACCCCTCTTATTCCTGGAGTGATCACATTCCTCCTACAGAGTTTTTGCACTGGCTGCTGCCTCTATGTACAAGTTTAATACCTTTCATGTCCCCACAGAAATTTCTCTTTTTTTTTTAAAAAAAAAAAAAGTGTTTTAGTGTTGCCTTCTCAAGGAGGCTTATCCTGTCTACACCAATGAACTTCTACTCATACTATCCCTCCCCTACTCCCTGCAGTCTCCATTCCCCTTGTTCGACTCTTTTCTCTTGTTGCACTTATCACCTTCAAAATATGTTTGTTGTGTATATTATTATTATTGCTGTTGTTGTTGTTATTTTGAGACGGAGTTTCACTCTTGTCTCCCAGGCTGGAGTGCAGTGGCGCGATCTCGGCTCACTGCAATCTTTCGGGTTCAAGCAATTCTCCTGCCTCAGCTTTCCGAGTAGCTGGGACTACAGGCACCCGCCACAACCACGCCCGGCTAATTTTTTGTATTTTTTGTCCAGACGGGGTTTCGCCTTGTTGGGCAGGCTGGTCTCAGACTCCTGACCTCAGGTAATCCGCCCGCCTTGGCCTCCCAAAGTGGTGGGATTACAGGCGTGAGCCACCGCGCCCGGCCTGTTATGTATATTATATGTTATCTTTCACTTACTTGAGAGGAGACTAGTGTGATTAACAAACATTTGTGAATGAGTAAGTGAATAAATGAATGAATGAACCTCACTTTTTCTTTCTGAGGGAGCTACACTGTATTATAAATTTAGTATAAAAAGAGACCTAGTATCTTTCAGTAACAATTCTCCATTCTTAGTTATACAAGTTTATATAGCTCTAAAATGGCCTGAGTCTTTTAAGCCTTTTCCATATTTTTTAGAAAGATATTGCTGGGGCTCATAAAATGACACCCCAAAGTGAAGGCCTCAGAGATGGCCTCAGAAGCAAGCTCAGTGGCAAAAAACCCTCCCTGACTTTCTTCTGCCCTTATGTCTCTGAGCCTCATTCTCTCTTGAGGCTAGACAGAGAAACTAGAAATTTTCTTTCCCTAAGGTGCGTCAGAGAAACCAAAACCCCTTCTCCCAAAGACAGCCATAAAACCTAAGAATATTATTCTAACTTTCCCCCACCATTCTGTGTAAGAACTGGCCATAAAGAAACTGTGACCTACCTTGTTTGACTGTGGGTCAGAAGATCCCCATTCCAGAGAAGTTCCTGCCCCACACCAGAAGGAAAGGAAGCTGCTCACAGGGGCCAGGAAGAGTCTGGGTGTCCCCACTCAGCCTATTAGCAGTAGATCACACCCTTTAGTTGACTCGTATTTCTACACGCATGTCCATACTTTGTTGTACCTGTCTTAGAGCATCGCCTGGTCTGGTGTTGCATAAAAATGGACAATTTCTCATGTGTCTTTGGGTCTTCATTCTTCATGTAAAACTGTGATCAAACAAATTGGCATGCCATTTCTCCTGTTAATTCGCCTTCTGCCTGTTGATTTTTAGCAAACCTTCAGATGGTGAAGGGGAAGTTTGCACTTTACCCCCACAATATTCCAGCAAATAAGTTTAAAGATGATTTAGAAAATAACTACTATGTCTAGAATGAAAGGCTTCTCTTGAGTTCACAGACACCTGAAAAGATAGGCAAAATTCAAAAATAAGAACAAAATTCCAAATATGAATTTGTATGTGTAATTTCTATTTGGCTTATGAAAAAGCTACATTCCAAAAAATGAATCATTATAAATGAGCTTATGCTATAATCCTGTCAGACCCCATTTTCCAGGCTTTCTAATAATCAAAGAAGCTGTTAATCTAAATGTCTAATTTGTGCAGGACTCATGCTGAATTCAGTGAAATGGCCATTTAATCAAGTCTTTCTTATTTCCTATTTTCTTTATCTTTTATTGCCTTTAATAAGCGAGGTGATCTTCATTCTGAGTCTATAGAACGGTAACTCAAGATGAACTCTTGAACGTGAAATCTGATCGCTGTCTGTGTGATCTGTCTACTTAACGTGAGTACTGGTGGCTCTGACGTAGTACATTTTGTCATGTCTCTAAAAGATTTCTACATCTATATTGAGCTTTTTCATGCAGAAAAATTTTAGTTCATTAGTAAACAAAAGAGAAAAATGTACTCATAAAAGTACAAATAAACCCCTTTACTGTTCAACAACCCTATATGTTTATTAAGGCTACAAATTTCATCTGCAGGACCTGGATCTTGAGTGCTCTGTGTTGGAAAAAATACCACATAGCTGCCTGGGCACTTCCTAAAACATGAGACACACTGGCTGCAGGGTTTCTTTTGGAGTTTGTTGTCCAACTTAAACTGAAATCATGACTCAAGTTTTATAAGTAAATGGCACTTAGAAATCAATATTTCATTAAGAATTACATTGTTCAATATATACATGAATGTTCACAGATATGAAGTGTAAATGGTTCTCTATATGACATGAAGATTTGTTGTCACTCATAATGTATGTAATGTTTATATTTTCAGGAAAAAAAACCTCCTCAATACAGATTGATGCCCATTAATGACAACACTTAATCTGAAAAATCAGTCCAGGAATTCTGGCATAACTAATGATGTCATCTTCATGAAGATGTTTAGAACCAGAATTTTAATTACATTTCCCAAATGTTTTACTACTATTTCATTTTAAACAAGAGTATGAAAATTCAAATAGTCAAATACTTTCTTTCTAGTTAAAATTTCAACATTTCCTTTAGCCATGCTAGTGAGCAGATTAGCAGAGACTGTAAGAAATCAGGAGTTCACTTAACGCTATCTATCGAGTTCTCATCTCTGAAATCAGGAGTTGACTTAACGCTATCTATCGAGTTCTCATCTCTGAAATCAGGAGTTGACTTAACGCTATCTATTGAGTTCTCATCTCTGAAATCAGGAGTTGACTTAATGATATCTATGGAGTTCTCATCTCTGAAACCAGGAGTTGACTTAATAATATCTATGGAGTTCTCATCTCTGAAATCAGGAGTTGACTTAATAATATCTATCTAGTTCTCATCTCTAAATCAGGAGTTTACTTGATATCTATCTAGTCCTCCTTGGTATCACAAAGAATTCCTGCTCAAATACAGTTTTAAGTAGTTTTTCACCAAACAATCTATCACCTAAATAGAACTTATTTTGAAAGTTGGTATCACATAAAAATGAGGAGTCTGAGATGGTAGGTCTTCCTGTTTTCCTTTCTTCTTCTTGTAGTCTTTCGGAAAATGATTTTGGTATAGAAAAATATAAAATAAATGAAACAGGACTTCACATACTCTTGGGATAGAAGCACCCCAGGATCCCAAGATACTCCAGTTATCGTCATGCCATAGTTCAGAGGACTGGCAGCAATTGTTTAGAATAAGGATAATTTATTATAGCATTTATTGATATCATAAGTTAGACAGGCCCCATTCCCTGAAACATACATTTAATTATATTTTCTCAATTTTCTTTTAGAAACTTTAAAGTCAGAGCCATTATATGTATAAGATTAAAAGTTCTATCGTGATAATTGACCTACTCTCAAAATCGAGTCAATCTCAATAGATAATAAAGAAGGAGATAAGGCATCCCCAATTCTAATATTTGTGATAAAGAACAAACAGCAGTTGGAAATATAAAGAAGGTGCATTCTGATCATGTGTTTCTTGCTGGACCTTACCAAGAAATAAGGAGCAATACCAGACCAGACGATGCTCTAAGACAGTGCTTGCTTCAGCTCCTTTCCAGATAATAACTATTCCAATGTGGTGTAAGCATGTGAGTATATTACCTGAGACAGTGGAATTAAAATTCAAAACTTGCTAGTCATGAGACTTCTGTTATAAAGGGAAATTACTTCATATTTTTAAATATGGACTTCTTTAATAGCTGAAATGAGCTTCTGTAAAAGAAGGATTGTTGCTTGAAAGGGTTGTGAGATTTAAATTAGAAAAACATATCAATTTAGGTAGCACGTGATAGTAATGCAGTAGACGGTCACTTCCTCTCATCTTATTATTTATCTGTGTTTGCAGTAACCATAAGGGAGCTGTATAACGTAGTGGTTAAGAGAGCAGTTTCCGGAGCCTACGTAATAAAAACAAACAAAAACAAAAATAATGACAGCAATAGAGACAAACTGGGTTTAAATATAGAATCAAACAGTAGTTTTGACCTTACTCAGTGTTCCTTCATTGCTGAGATAAGGATAATAATAGTGTTAATGCTCTCCAGATTCACAGCACCAGGAAACTTGTAGTTGGAGAACTGGTTTATTGAAATGTTCCAGTGCGGGGCAACTCACATCATGGGGATCTGGGGGCCACATCAGTAAGAGAATATTAGAAAGAACTGGCAGAATTGGGGTTTATCCTAAGTGATTTAGGAAAAGGCTCAAAGAAGGAAAGCTTTGTTCTGGATGGGATGCTTTTCAGGAGCAGTGGCATTTTTGTGACTCAGTATCTTAATAATTCTCATCCAGAAGACAGGAGGAACAGAGAAGGCTAAAGCTATCACTGGTAAAGCAGCAGCAGCCTCTCACTTTAGCCAGGATAAGAGGATGTTTGGTGAATTTTGTGGTTTGGAAAATGTTCTTGTTTCTGTCTGGGTTCAGACATGCCTCTGGAGTGGTGATGTTTTTGCCTGGATCCATCCTGGTCAGAGAGTGGTCCTAGCTGATGCTAACGCTGATGCTCTGTGAAATAGTTTATGTGCACAGGAGAACATCAAGGCCCAGCTCATAATGCCAAGCTAGCTCCCAGCTGCCAGAGGCTGTTTTTCTCTTTCTCAGCAGTAATAACCAAAATATGAAAATTCACTTTATCAGCCTAATACCTGATACCTCAAAATGTGTTACCTATTTTTATTTTCATCTTGTACCCAGATTTTTGCCAAGGCAGTCTTAATTTAAAATATTTTGTCTCATTATCTATAGACTTGATTTTTTATTATGTAAATAGGCATATTTACATAATATGCCCCCTAAAAGGATGAAAAATGACATCTGCCATAGTTATTTCTCAGCTTTATGGGTTTTGCCCAGTTGAAAAGAACCTAAGAAGATGACTGAATATATTAATGGATAGATAGAATTGAATAGAGGTTAAGAGCATGGTCTCTGTCTGGACTTAGTCTGCCTGGATTTAAACCCTGGCTCAATCTCAAGCTGACTATATAACCTTGGAAAAATTTTTTTGAACCTTCTGTGCTTTATTATCTTCTGATCTAAAATAATTAAAATAATACAGACCTCATAGTGTCTGCAAGAGGATTAAAGAAAATAAAACTTATGAAGTGCTTAGAACCAGTGTCTGGGACATAAAAAACATTAGCAGTAATGTTTAATAAATGTGAGCTATCAGATTAGGTTGCCATTTAACTCTGGCCATTTCATCTAATGATGAGGCATTCTGGATTTGTTGAGTGTTGATTAAAACAACATATAATTCCCAACCATGAAGGATAAAAAATAATAAAACAACAAATATTCATTGCTTGCAATTCTGCCAGAAACTGCAAAAGATATGTAGAAATTGCCTCAGTTCCTGCTTTTAAGGAGTCTGCTATCTCACTGAGAAGTACATGAAGAGATAAATACCTAAAGAAGCCTGTAAGGATTAAGTACAAATGACTGTCACTGACAATAAGAATTGCAATGCTTTTATAGAAGAAGAATTAGCTTTTAGCTAGGGAAGACTGGCAAAATGTAGTGGAAGAGATGGCCGATGAGCTGAGTCCTGAAAGATTTATGGAATTTGATCATTCAGATGACAAAAGAGCACTCTAGACAGATCTTCAGGTGCAAATACGCATGAGAGGTCAGATAATAAAAGTTACAACAGCAGCAACAATACAGAAACGAAAGGTAAGTAGATCACGCATGGAGCATAAAGCCAAGCACTGTGCTAAGCCCTTTTTATCATTTCATCTAGTCTTACGACCTTGTAGGAAAGGTAGCATTATTATCCCCCCTCAGTGAGGAAAACCACATTTAGACAGTTTAATTCACGTGTTTGAGGCTGCTCAACTAGCATGTGCTGGGTCACAGTTTAACCCAGATCCAAAGGGCTCCTTCAACAATCTTTGCATGCATTGTATCACTTGGGGTCCCCAATATCTAGTCCAAGTCAGTGTGACTGTGGTCGGATTATGCAAGACATTTAATGCGCTGTCAAGGAAGTTTTGTTTTTTCTTTTATAGAAGGGGGTGATCCATCGCCATTTGGTGCAGTGAAGTGACATGATTATTTTGTAAGGATATTTTAATCAATAATTCTATCTTTTATATTTACACACGTATTCTTAAAACACTGGATCACCCCATTCCCAATGATTTTACATAATCACACTGAACTGTTATTTCTTATAAAGAAAAACCTAAGAGGGTAAAATTGTATTCGACAAATTTTCCTTTCATTCTCATTTGTAGAAGAAGCTTGGCACAAAGCTACAATCCAGATCACATATGAATACTTTGCTCATGAGAATATGAAGCATGTTTTTCCTCAGATTTTAAGCCTCACAGACAGGGACACAGCCCACACATATAGGCCACAGAGAAATTAAAAACAATTAAATCATTAGAATTAGATTTAGCAATGGCAATCAAAGAGCAATCCATCTAGAATTATGCTGTTTGGTTGATTGTTCACAAAGCAACAAAAGGGGCTAATATTGCTTAATTTGAAAAAAAGGCAAACTGAAGTTTATTTTAACCAATAAACCCATCTGTGTTAAGCATCCAGCTGCTCCCCTTCCATTTGCTAATTACCAAAATGTCCATAATTTATTCATCTCAGGATACACTTATACATCTGTAGGATCATTACTTTGGCGTGTGTAATTGTCTTTGAAATTAAATAAACCAATGAACAAGAGAAAAGATAAAACTCAAGGGAGAGCTATAGATTTAGCAAAAGATGTTGTTGGATACTAAATAAATTCCAAAACCAAAGAACTTTTATCAAACGGCCAATAGTAACCATTGCATCAGTTGCCCATCATTCCTAAATTTAAATCCTCTAAATGTACATTTGTCATTCTGTGGATTATATTAAATTCACCTCTTCATAGGCTTCTCAATATTTCAATTACCTTTTAAAATTTCACAGAAGCAAAGATCTTGAAAAATAACACTATTCTCAAACCATCATCCTAGCTACCCAGGACTGATTCTGATAGTTGAAAGTTGAGTTCCCTCAAAGGTGTACAAATCTGCATTCTACAGATTACATGTGTGGTTTGGAATTTGCCTTTTAAAATATTAATTAGTATTTCTTTAATTTTAACTTTTTGACTTCCTTCTTTCTGGAACATTCAAGTCTATGAAACCCTTACTATTCTCCCCATCTCCCTGTGATGGAATGAGCCACTGGGAATTGTCTGGGCCTCCATGACTGGAGAGGCCAGCATGACTATCTTACACTGATGAAGGGCACTGGCTCTAGGTAGGGAAGACCTGAGTTTGAACCACTGCCCTATCATTTAGTGACTATGGGACTTTGGACAAATTATTCACGTTTTCTGATTTTTAATTCTCTCCTTTGTAAACAATCCCAGCTCATGAAAATGTTATGTGAAACAATGAACATATATTTTCAATATGTATTTTCATAATACTTTGAACAATGTCTGCAATAATAATACTCAATAAATGTGAACTCTTATGTTGCAAGTGAACTCAAGCATCAGTAAATTACTGAACTAGAAGACTTTTAATGTCTTTTCCAATGCTGGGGTGATATACTACTCTGATTTTCTGGATTACTTCCTCGTACCTCTCATTTTGCAGGTAACTGATACCACCCGTTTTGCTATTTACCTTCACAGGTGTCTATCTTATTTTCACCCAGATAATAATTTCCTTGAAGGCAGGCAGTGTGTCATATGTTATTGTTATTTTCCCCAGGGCACTATGGAGCACAATTTCCTATACAGAGCAGATTTTCTAAATGTAATTCTGTTGATGATACTGATAAGTGCCTTAGACACACTTCTCTCCCATCCTGTCAGTAGTAATTAATTAAGATTACCTAGATGTCTCTGTTATTCCTCGAGAGTAAGGTAAGTGCCTTGAAGAGTGTGGGAGGCCACACAGTGTTCTAAAGGTTCCTTTTATTCTCCAAGAGGAGTTTAGGCACCAGAAACATATGGCATATTAAATGAGAATTTACTTGTTTTTTGCCTGAATTTGCCTAAAAATTCATAGAGTGACATTTGCCTAAAAATTCATAGAGCTTTGAAACAAATAATACTTTGATGGCTTCCTGCATCTGTAACACTGAGGAAAATCAAGTGCTGTTTTTCAGATAGTTTGAAAATACTTGTAAAGGGTGGTTTCAGAGCTAATATGAAAAAAGGAACAGGACTCACTGCAGGGCACAGATGGTTCCAAAGGACTGTGCAAGCATCAGCAGGACACACTAAGCTCTGAAACAGCCTGTATTTGTCTATTCTCATGCTGCTAATAAAGATATACCCCAAACTGAGTAATTTATAAAGGAAAGAGGTTTAATGCACACACAGTTCCACATGGCTGGAGAAGCCTCACAATCATGGTGGAAGGCAAAGGAGAAGCAAAGTCATGTCTTACACGGCAGCAAGCAAGAGAGCATGTGCAGGGCAGCTGCCCTTTAAAAAACCATCAGATCTTGTGAGACTCATGCACTATCATGAGAACGGCGTGGGAAAGACCCGCCCCCGTGATTCCATTACCTCTCACCGGGTGTTTCCCACTACATATGTGGGCATTGTGAGAGCTACAATTCAAGATGAGATATGGGTGGGAACACAGCCAAACTATATAATTCTGTCCCTGAGCCCTCCCAATTCTCATGTCCTTACATTTCAAAACCAATCATGCCTTCCCAACAGTCCCCTGAAGTCTTAACTCATTTCAGCATTAACTCAAAAGTCCACAGTCCAAGGTCTCATCTGAAACAAGGCTAGTCCTTGCCACCTATCAGCCTGTAAAATCAAAAGCAAGTTGGTTACTTCCTAGATACAATGGGGGTACAGCCATTGGGTAAATACGTTGGTTACTTCCTAGATACAATGGGGGTATAGCCATTGGGTAAATACAGCCATTCCAAATGGGAGAAATTGGCCAAAACAAAGGGAATACAGGTACCATGCAAGTCTGAAATCCAGCAGGGCAGTCAAATCTTAAAGCTCTAAAATGATCTCCTTTGACTCTATGTCTCACATCCAGGTCATGCTGATGACCTGGTGGGCTCCCACAGCCTTGAACATCTCTGCCCCTGTGGCTTTACAGGGTACAGCCCCACTCCTGGCTGCTTTCCCAGGCTGGCATTGCGTGTCTGTGGCTTTTCCATGTGCACCGTGCAAGCTGTTGGTGGATCTACCATTCTGGGGTCTGGAGGATGGTGGCCCTTTTCTCACAGCTCCACCAGGCAGTGCCCCAGTGGGGACTCTGTGTGGGACCTCCCACACTACATTTTCCTTCTGTGCTGCCCTAGCAGTGGTTCTCCATGAGGGCTCTGCTCCTGCAGTGCACCTCTGCCTGGACATTGAGGAATTTCCGTACATCCTTTGAAATCTAGGCTGAGGTTCCCAAAGCTCAGTTCTTGACTTCTGTGCCCCTGAAGGCCCAACACTGCAGGTAGGATGCCAAGGCTTAGGGCTTGCACCCTCTGAAGCAATGGTCTGAGTTGTACGTTGGCCCCTTTTGGCCATGGCTGGGATGCCAGCCACCAAGTCCTGAGACTGCACAAAGCAGCCAGGCCCTGAGCTCAGCCTGTTAAACCATTTTTTCTCCTCCTAGGCCTCCAGGCCTGTGATGGGAGGGGCTGCCATGAAGACCTCTAACATGTCTTGGAGACATTTTCTCCGTTGTCCTGGTGATAAATATTTGGCTTCTCATTACTTATGCAAATTTATGCAGCAGGCTTGAGTTTCTCCTCAGAAAATGGGTTTTTCTTTTTTGTTGTTTTTTGAGATGGAGTCTCCCTCTATTGCCCAGGCTGGAGTGCAGTGGCTCAATCTCAGCTCACTGCAACCTCTGCCTCCTGGGTTCAAACAATTCTCCTGCCTCAGCCTCCCGAGTAGCTGGGACTACAGGCGTGCACCACCTCACCCAGCTAGTTTTTTTGTACTTTTCGTAGAGACTGGGTTTCACCATGTTGGCCAGGCTGGTCTCGAACTCCTGACCTCGTGATCTGCCTGCCTCAGCCTCCCAAAGTGTTGAGATTACAGGCATGAGCCACTGTGCCCAGCCTGGGTTTTTCTTTTCTATCACATTGTTAAGCTGCAAATTTTTCAAACTTTTATGCTCTGCTTCCCTTTTAAACATAAGTTCCAATTCTAAACCATATCTTCGTGAATACATAAAATTGAATGCTTTTACCAGCACCAAATCACCTGTTGAATGCTTTGCTGCTTAAATTCTTCTGCCAGATTCTGTGAATCATCTCTAAGTTCAAAGTTCCACAGATCTATAGGGCAGGGAGAAAATGCTGCCAGTCTCTTTGCTAAAACATAACAAGAGTTGCCTTTGCTCCAGTTCCCAACAAGTTCCTCATCTCCATATGAGACCACCTCAGGACTTTATTGTCCATATCACTATCAGCATTTTGGTCAAAGCCATTCAACAAGTCTCTAGGAAGTTCCAAACTTTCCCACATCTTCCTGTCTTCTGATCCCTCCAAACTGTTCCAACCTCTGCCTGTTACCCAGTTCCAAAGTTGCTTCCACATTTTTGGGTATCTTTACAGCAGCACCCCACTACCCAGTATGAATTTTCTGTATTAGTCCATTCTCACACTGCTAATAAAGACATACCTGAGTCTGGGTAATTTATAAAGGAAACAGGTTTAATGGACTCACAGCTCCACATGGCTGGGGAGGCCTCACACATGGCAGAAGGCAAAGGAGACGCGAAGGCATGTCTTACTGGCAGCAGGCAAGAGAGCTTGTGCAAGGGAACTGCCCTTTATAAAACCATCAGGTCTCATGAGACTTATCCACCATCATGAGAACAGCACAGGAAAGGCCCACCCCCATGATTCGATTACCTCCCACTGGGTCCCTCCCAGGACACATGGGAATTATGGGAGCTACAATTCAAGATGAGATTTGGGTGGGGACACAGCCAAACCATACCACACCCCAACAACTGTGTTTTACAGAGAGAGTTAAGTGAAAATCTTTTCTTGAAAATATTCATAGGCCCATGTTTTCACTGGGCCGGGGGAAATCCTCTTCATGCGTGCCAGGTTCTGCAGTGATAAGTCCCCCTTTCTTTCTTTCACCCATGGTGTCTATTGTTTCAAGCAATGTCTGGAACTAAAAACACCCAACTTGTCGGTCAGAACATCATGTGTTCCCCACATGGAAACCTGTATCTGCAGAGCTTGCTTTAACTAATTCTACTGTGCAAACATTAAAAACTGTGCTAGCTCTGCTACACTCAGCAATTAGAATCTAGTTTTTCTGACAGGCCTACTGAGATTTTTCTTAACTACAAAGCTTCCATCCTACACCTTGAGAGGAAAAATTGAGGGCAGAAGGGAAGGAAAATTTTGCCTTTCGGCAGCTTTCCCTCTAAAGTTAATGGTCAGCTTAAAAACACAATTGCCATTCTTCTACTATGCAGTAAAAAGGCTGCACACATTCAGTGCAACTCAATGCAACTACATGGGCAAAGGAAATCACTGGAATGGTTCACCGGGGCTGCTTCTGCATATTTACCCTTGCTCAATCTTTTTGTTCAATACTCAGCCTTGAGTTTGCCTTCCAGCGCTATCTACCTTTCAGCACTGAATCCAGAGTCTGCTCTTCTAGGCACTCTAATTTTCTTGCATTTAACCTTTAAAAAATTGACAGTTTTTCTCCTCTTTACAATTTTATGACTTTGGAGTCCATAAAAGCAGGAAATAAAATGCCATTTTCTTTTTCCAAATTAAAAAAAAATCTGAAAAGAGAACAGAAAACGAATTGTTGGACTGTCAAGATCTTCCATGTGAAGACATTGAATAATGAAATCAAAACAGATAATCAAGTATAGGTCAATTCATATTTGCATTCCAGCATTTCTTTAAAATAATATGACACATGAGGATTTTCTGCAGATCTGAAATGCCTCTTATTTTTAAAATCTTCTAAAACATATTTTTAATGTTTAGCCATTGTTTAATGCATATTGCCTTGCAGAGGAATGTCATAAAATATAAGAATAGCTAAGAGTTATGACCTTTAAATCATTATTATTCATTACATTTGTTTGAAAATATTGTAAAAGGTTTTCATACACTGTATCACTCTGTGAATGCTGGATTCAAGTACTCAGCTGCAGGCTCCATATCAAGCAATTAGAATACATATAGTATAGACTAGCTATATTTAGACACATGGTCAGTTATAATGTAAACATGGAAAATATATTTGAAATTAAAACTTGGAAAGTCTTAGAAAAGTCTGGATTTTCTAAAACACTCAGTTATCCGTGAATGAAAAGATTCTGTGTATGTGTGTAGCTCTGTTTTCTAACAAGCCATTTATTCTAAGCAGAAGTCCTGTCTCAATGTTGGACGGTTAATTAACAAGGATGAAGGCTCTGCTCGGTACCCAGTGCTCCCAAGAGCCCTTGCAGGGGACTCTGGTCAACTGTTCCTGTCAGACTTCAGCAAGTTAATAGGTAACTACTTCTCTTCTCATTTTTCATATTTTCAAAAATCACTCTGAGGAAAGATCAAAATATCATGCTCAGAACTATTAATATTCTAAATGTTAAAAATCAGCAACATTAATGAACTTGTTATATGGAACAACATATTAATAAACTGAGCTCTAGACATGGAAGAAACTAAGTCTTCAGCGATATACATTTTCCAGTGATCTGTGCACATGTGTAATTAACATGTTTTGGTCATGGTATCAATGTGTAAAATCATAGAAGATTAGCATTTGAAGGGTAATTGGAGCCTACACACAGCACGCACATGCTCACATGCATGTCCACATGGGCACCCTGCATTACCCTCCCCAAGGAAGAAACCTTCCTCCAGTTGATTTTCCATAGAATTTTTCCCAAATGAATCTGTAGGCCCTTAGTAGTGGTAACTAATCAACCCCTAGGCATTGTCTTCTCCAATGCCACTGCAACCTCCCCTGCCTGATCCCCCCAGCCCTCTCACCAATTAAAAAACCACCTCTCGGCCGGGCGCGGTGGCTCACGCCTGTAATCCCAGCACTTTGGAAGGCCGAGGCGGGTGGATCACAAGGTCAGGAGATCGAGACCATCCTGGCTAACATGGTGAAACCCTGTCTCTACTAAAAATACAAAAAATTAGCCGGGCGTGGTGGCGGGAGCCTGTAGTCCCAGCTACTCGGGAGGCTGAGGCAGGAGAATGGCGTGAACCCGGGAGGCAGAGCTTGCAGTGAGCCGAGATCGCGCCACCGCACTCCAGCCTGGGCAACAGAGCGAGACTCTATCTCAAACAAAACAAAACAAAACAAAACAAAACAAACACACCTCTCAGGAACATTAATGTTGGGGGGTAAAACAAAAACAAAAATAAATTAAAAAACCCCACCTGAGACATAGGAGTCTAGGAACCTAGAAAGACTTAAGCTATTGGTGAAGAATGAATTTGCTGCGACACTGGTGAGGAAGGATCTGAGATCAATTGAACCTAATGTTGCACGTGCTCTTGCCATGACTTTGTTGCAATGATGACATGCTGCTAAGGAAAGAAAAGAAGTTCTATAACTTTCCGTCATTCATGAATAAATCTCTCCTATTACGTGGTGTCAGCTAATTTTTCTTGGTGTCAATGCCTGTTTTCTTTGTGCCTTGTTGCTATTTTTAAACAACACCTGATTATAATGTTATTCTTACTAAAAAAAAAAAACAGCTCCTTTATGCTCCAAAGAGTTAAAGAAACATAACACCTTTTCTTTTAGCCGGGCCATGGGAAGGAGGTGGTGAGCCTTTTGCGACTGTGTAGGGAATGATGAGCGGGGTCCATTGAAGGCCATTCCCCTGATCTTTCTTAGCTGTGTATGGAAGGGAGCTCTTCCTAGATTAGCTGCCTATGGAAGGGAGCTCTGTCCTAGATTAGCTGCCTATGGAAGGGAGCTCTTCCTAGATTAGCTGCCTATGGAAGGGAGCTCTGTCCTAGATTAGCTGCCTATGGAAGGGAGCTCTGTCCTAGATTAGCTGCCTATGGAAGGGAGCTCTGTCCTAGAAAAATCTGCTGGCTTGGCAGAGGAGCTGCTATTGAAATAAACTGGTTACCAAGTGTTTATTATGTTTTATGTTTTCCTCTCATCATAATCCTTCGTAGTGTGTTTAAACAATTAATTGCCACAATATCCAGCCTTCTGAAGCTGAGAAAGGGGCCCCGGGTACACTGAAAGAGCTATGAGCCCCTATTTGGGCAAGAGGGAGAAGAGGTTTTTTGCTGTTGTTATTTAATCACATATTAACTTTGCAGTTATTAAGTGTTTCCAATTTAACATGAACAACCAATTGTACTTAGAGAGACATATTAGGGTATTATGAGCTTTTCACACCCTGTGTACTCAAGAGTCACGCACTGTTTCTTGTTGGGGGCAGAAGGTGTGAGGCAGTGCCTCGTGGGAACTTTCTTAGGTGAAGAAAAGGTTAGTAAACTTTTCCCTGTAAATAATTCTCTCACATAGCCTAAGTTATATTAGTATGTAATAGTCAAAATAAAATACCATCTGGCTCTATCTTCGCTTTCTACTTTATGTTCAGAGTAATTCAACTAAGCCGAAAAACGGAGTTTTTCAAGCATACCCTGCACTTTTTGCCAATTATGTTGAAAATATGTATTAGATGCTTAGTCTGCACGTCATACTTTATTTCATGTAATCTTCACCTTTATTAGGTAGGAACTATTATTATCCTCATGTCACAGATAAGGAAAATTGAGGCTTCAGGATTTAAGTGACTTATTCAAGGTCATTCGATTAGCAAAGGGGGCAGGGACAATGTTTCAACCCAAGCAGTCTGACTTCAGAGCTCTTTTATCTATTGGTCGGTCTATCTGTCTATCTATCTATCTATCTATCTATCTATCTATCTATCTATCTATCTTCTATCATCTAATCTATGTATCTTTTTATGTATGTATATATCTATCTGTATGTATGTATCTACCTATCATCTAATCTATGTATCTACTTATGTATGTATCTATCTGTATGTATGTATGTATCTGTCTATCTACCTACCTACCTACCTACCTACCTATCATCAGTCTTCTAGCTAGCTACCCAGCTGGCTATCAGAGTATGGGGAGGTTTGCTCCCTATCTTACATATGACAAGCTATTCTCAAATGTATAGTAATCCTTATTTCTTAGGTCACTAGTAAAATTTAAGAACAAGATGCAGACAACTTCTCAGAAACTCCCTGTACCTGGGTGAGCTTGTTGACTGATGGGCCTCACTATACACTGATTAAGGAGCCAGTCATTTTCTTGGTAGATTCCCAAAATCAATATCCAAATTTCATTCCTTTTGAGTTATTCTTTTCCCTGAATGATATTATCTAGGGTGCCAGTGTTCAGGGTTCAAGTGCAAGGGACAGGGCTGTCACTCTTCAGGATGGAGACACCAGTTTCATCCCTCTGTGTTCAGCAGCACCTGACACTCCCCTGGGGCAGTGCCTTACACCTACACACAGCTTCTCTGAATGAGTGTCTGCAGAAAGCAAACCTTGCTTCTGCCAGGATGAGGAGAAGCAATTTCCCATGACTGCATGGAATCAGGGAGAGTACTTGGGAGCCTAACACAACTTCTATGCAATCCTATTGCTGTCAGCTCATCCTTATCTAGTATTTGGAGGGCTTGGAGGTGCCTCCAACCTTGACTTGTGACCAACAGTCAAGCTTTGAAGATTTCTTTCTCTTAAAATGTGCTTCCAAAGGACTATAAATCATGCTGCCATAAAGACACATGCACATGTATGTTTATTGCGGCACTATTCACAATAGCAAATACTTGGAACCAACCCAAATGTCCAACAATGATAGACTGGATTAAGAAAATGTGGCACATATACACCATGGAATACTATGCAGCCATAAAAAATGATGAGTTCATGTCCTTTGTAGGGACATGGATGAAATTGGAAATCACCATTCTCAGTAAACTATCGCAAGGACAAAAAACCAAACACCACATATTCTCACTCATAGGTGGGAATTGAACAATGAGAACACATGGACACAGGAAGGGGAACATCACACTCTGGGGACTGTTGTGGGGTGGGGGGAGGGGGGAGGGATAGCTTTAGGAGATATACCTAATGCTAAATGACGAGTTAATGGGTGCAGCACACCAGCATGGCACATGTATACATATGTAACTAACCTGCACATTGTGCACATGTACCCTAAAACTTAAAGTATAATAATAATAATAATAATAATAAAAAAATGTGCTTCACTCAACTCCTACCAGTGTCTTATCGTCAAATACCTCCTCTCCCTTCAAATACACCACAAATGCTCCATGCTCCATGAAGCCCCAGTTCTTTTTTCATTCCAGTGTTATCACTTTGTGTGAAATGTTATATTCATGTTTAATTATGCCCCACAAATTCCATACCTTTTCAGGACTAAGTTTGACAAATGTTCTTCATGCTTCTGTAAGTATCTAGTAAGAAACATTCAGCAGCACATTTTGCATCAGAATAACAATAGCCAGAGGATAGTTCTTGACGTGTTCCCTTCATTTGGTCATTATTGCATAAGAAGAAAAACCTTTCCTAGATTATACATTTTTCATAGCTTTGCTTCATAATTAATTAATAGTTAGAAAGAAGTTAAACAAATTAGATAAATTTTGTAATGTGTAAGTGCCTACTTTGGGTTAGACACACATCAATGCTAATTTTCACAACCACCGTGCAAGACTGGTTTTTTTTTTTTTTTTTGGAGGTACTATTATTATTATTTTTTTATTATACTTTAAGTTTTAGGGTACATGTGCACAATGTGCAGGTTTGTTACATATATATACATGTGCCATGTTGGTGTGCTGCACCCATTAACTCGTCATTTAACATTAAGTATATCTCCTAATGCTATCCCTCAAGACTGGTATTGTTATATCCATTTAACAGCTGATGGAACTCATGCTTGGAGAGGTTAGGAAGTTTGCTCAGTAATGATCATTTATATTTACACAACATATATGTAACAAACAAATCTTTGTGATTATTATTATCCAGCTTCTACAAGTGAGAAAAAGTCTTTGGAACAGCATTTCTCATGATGTGTGAAACAGGTCCCTGAGACGTGTTTAGGGGTCCCCAATACTGTTTCAAGGCCTTGGTGAGGTCAAAGCATTTTAATAAGGAGACGTTGTTTGCCATTGTTGCTCTCATTCTCCCGTGGGCACGCAGTGTTCTCCAGAGGTTTCACGAAGAGTGACTATGCGATCACTCTGACAGCCAATGGAACGTGTGCCTGTGTATTCTTGTGTTTAAAAAATTTCTCAGTTTAAATTTTAATATGCTATATATTGACAGAGATAGTCAACATATATATAAACTCCTGAAGCCCTCAATATTTTTTAAAGTGAAAAGGTATCCTGAGACCAAGAAGTTTAACATCTGCTGCCTTGAAGGAATATATTCCTTATATTCCACGAGGAATACAACTGATTTCTAGTCGAAATGAACTGACAACACAGATATTCTGTGGTCTTCATAGTAGACTCTGCTTCTCACATGGTATTCATGGTATTTTTGGATATCAGAATCTTCGCAATTTTAGCAGATATTTAACTTTCCTGGAGGATAGCCTTTATATATCCAATAGAACAATTTTGTCAATTGGTAGTCAAATTATATTGACCTAAGTTAGTAAACAATTTCACCTGAAGACCTACAGATGTCTCTTTTCAATGGCAGATGCATTCAATATTATCACAGAAATTCACCTGGAATCCAATTTACTTTGGGGCATTTGATATTGTAGAATTTCACTATGTGGCCAATAATGATGTCTGTACAACATACTTTGATTTGCGGCCTCTTGTTTGTAGTTGGCTTTTACTAAACAAAGTGACTTCTTGGGAAGTTAATCTCTTTGATATTTACAATATAGAAAAAATCAAAATTTCTTACAAAGAGTCTTTGAAAAGCCTAGATATAAGAATTATTAAATCCTTGTAGGTTGCTGCCGGACTGATGATTGGAAAGCTACCTAGAAAAGCTGCCAAATTGGGCATTTTTGCGTATGATACATGCTAGAGAAAATTTTGCAAAGAGTATTTTTTTTAACCAACTGGACTTTAATCTAAGTTTCTGTGAACCACACACTGTTTTTCTAGACATTCAAGCTTTACTGTCCTGGAAATTATGATGGCAATTTTTCTCTGAGTTTTAAGTGTATATTTAGCACTAGAAGACTCACGATAAATTATTAAGATTTTACAGAAATTATCATTAATGAGATGTTGAAAAGATTATCTCAAACTTCAGGTTTTATTCTAGGGATCCAACATTTTGACTCAGAAAAGATTAAATTGAGAGTTTAAAAAAATAAAATGCGATTTTTTCAAAATTCCTTAAATCAAATATCTAACAAGTGAGTACACTTTCCAACATCCCAGCCATTTTACTTGCACCAAGTTTCCTAGAGTGCATGAATAATACTGATTGCTGTGGTTGAATCGATTGTGCAACAATCCACATTGATCATGAAGACAGCTGAAATGAGCAGACCAGCCACGGGGCAGTTTGTTTATTTTACGTATATAGATATAGCTTTAATTCCCAGCACAGAAGTCTCAGAGAAATATTCCTAATACAAATATATTTTTTTTGACTGAATACACATTAAAGGGTCATTTTCTCTCATGCTGTAGGGAACAAGTGCTCAGGGAAATGGTCTCAGCATGTTGACACTGCATTTGAGGTTTGTAATGAAGTACCTTATTCTCCACCCTACGGGTTAGAAACTGGACTCTGGTAAGTCCACACAGAGAAATGATCTGCAGGTGTTATAGTTAGGAAGGAGAGATCCATGGTCCTCCTAATGGGAATAAAATGCCCCCAGCATTGTAATTATAATGCTTTCTGAATTTTTGTAATTTGTTTTCTCCACATTTAGTTTCAAGCAAGGCTTGAATTACATAAGAGATAGATGCTTCCAAGAAAATGTCCAACTAAAAGCTCTAGGTCTCCTCTAAAATGTTCTTGGGTGAGTACAAAGTCTGTCAGTGGCAACTAAAACGAGGATTGAGTCTGAGAAAACAATTGGTGAAGAAGTGAGCAACATTTGCTGTCTGCAATCAATATTTGTGAAATATGACGCAGGTAAAATTTGAAAGAACATTCATCAAGAATTATGAGAGAAGTTCCACATATTAAAATGACTAAATCCCAAGATGCAACCTTAATCCATTAAGTGTTTTTTTTGTTTTGTTGTTGTTGTTGTTTTCTTTTAAAAAAAGACTGTAGAATCCAGTTAACACAAAAGAACTTGGACAGAAGGACTGGAGTTTATAAAAATGAGACTTGGCTTTCGCTTTTGTGAGCAGCTAATTTGAAATACTGTAACACTTTTTAGGTGAGTTTACTATGCCACAATTTCTACGAAATCTCTAGGCTAGATAGTCACCTTCTTTCAACTATAACCTTTCAGAGCAAAACGACTTATTTCTACTTTGTCGCCTACTATTGTTATTTTCTTTGAACTTGTAGTTGGCCAAAAGTTTCTTAATTGTTCTTTCTATAAATGTTGGGTTTTGATTTCATTTTGTGTCTAATTGGCAAATAAGGGTTGCCTGCTATTTTTCTATAATCTTTTTTCTTAGCAAAAAAAAAAAACATGAAAACATCACTTATTTGTGTTCATCAGGGTTCATCAGTTTTCTAACACAAACACTTGATGTTTTCATTTGTGCCATGGTTTCTAAATAGATCAGTGAATCGCATTAGAAAAGTGTCCCTTTTTAGAAATCCTCTTGTTCCTTCAGTGCTGGACGGGTCCCCTTCATTACTGGGCATGCCAGAATTCTTTAAAGTTCTTCTGGAGTAGTCAGTCATCTACAAGGAAATCTGACTGGGAGCTTGAAGTCATGTAGAAGGACTTCTTATTTTTGACTCTGTATCAGTGCAAGTTTACTCTTATGTTGTCATATTATGTGGGAATCTTTTTGACAAAAGTGTCAACTTTTCAGAGAGACTTTTTTAAAGAGTGAAGTCAAAGCTGCTCTGACAAATAATTTCCTAGTCGTTCCATATAACTCCGAAAGAATTTTACATGTGTGAAGCTTACTTCATATCTACCATTATATTTAGCACAATACTAGCTGTACAGCAAACAGGGCATGGGAAGCAGTAAACCATTAGTAAATTGAATGTGTTTTAAGTATTCTAAATATATATACAGACACGAGGGATACACATACACAAACACAGTTGTAGGTCTGAAGTCTTCTCTTTTCACTGTAATGATTTTCACATTATTCAACAAAAATGATCCATCACTTACATGCATTATTTCTAATAGAATATACCTTATGTTACTAATGTCCTATAGACAGGGCACATTTATCTCCAATCAATAGCACGCAGGTGCTATAACTGGGTGCTGTACTCAGATATTAACTTGTGTGTGTAAGTTTTGCTTTGTTTTGTTCTCCTCCTCCAACCCCTACCCCCATGCACACATTTTAACCTGTCTGTTTCTTTCAGTCAAGAAGATACCACAATGTCTTAGGAGGGAGCAGGAAGAAAAGTCTAAGTTCTTTGAAGAAATCAAAGACTTTTCAGACGAAGCAGAAGAAATGTACAAGAGAATTAGCTCACCAAAGGAGTATCATCTTGGAGCTGCAAATAGGAGAAAGGAGCTGTTTCCCCACCACAAATTAGAAAAAAAAAATGTCTTCAATGGTTGAAGGGGAACAGAAAAGAAGAATATATATTTTGAGGTCCTGCATCAGGGGAAACCCAGCCCCAGATTTCTGGCATTGCTTCCTGGAGGCTGTGAGCCTCCAGGTGAGTGTGGATTCAAAGAGCAGCTGGCAGAGGGAAGTAGGGGCAATTTCAAAAAGATCTTGTCCCCATTGTAGCAGAGAATCTGCCAAAGCCGTGGACCAGGATGGGGCCGTGTGAGATGAGTCAACACCTGACTCACCCATAACATGGATACTGAGGACTCAGGCAAGCGTCCCTCCTCTCCACCCCGACACCCTTGACAACTTTAAGATGTAGAAACGGTCTGTAACACCACTGCATGGTGGGTAGAAGCCCTCAACCTGACGAAGCCTGTGTTCTACCAGTATTGTAAAACAAGAATTTTCTTTCTTTTTTTTTTTTTCCAAAGGAAGAAAGGAAGGAAGGAGAGAGGGAGGGAGGAAGGAAAGAGAGAGGGAGGGAGGAAGGAAAGAAAGAAAGAGAGTAAGAAGGGAAAAAAGGAAGGGATAAAGAAAGAAAAAGAAGGAAGGAAAGAAAGGAAGGAAGGAGGAGAGGAAGAACAAAAGTTCTCTGAAAAGTAATTTGGAGGAAAGAGACTATTCCAGTGAATAGTTTGCCTCCAGTTCAAAGTGAAGATGCATTCTCCAAACAAAAGTTTAACATCAGAAATTGATCTAGTTAAATAAAAAATTTATATGCTTACATTGTGGATTTTGGATTCTGACATTTCCATCTGGAGCAAGCATACTAGAGAAGAGTAATAGGATGTCTGAAGAATTTAAATAACTTCCTCAGGATGATAAAACTGATAAGTAGCAAAGCCAGATATGAATTCTGGTCTGTCTGACTTCCAAGATCCATGATCTGCTTACTATGTTTTCCTATATTGACATGTTTTACTATGTTTCTTATACTCCAGGATTAGAGCAATAGTCTTAGCCCAAGAAATGGAAGCCATCTGCAAAGACAGTACATGGACAGTTGTGCCTGGGACTAGGAGAGTGAATCTAATTTAAAAGGGGAGTGGGCAGTCTGCAGACCAAAATCGAATGCTCTAATTCAATTTACAAGTCATAAAGCTGATGATTTGAATTCTGCTAGATTCCCCCACTATTGCTTAACTGGATGAAAATGTGTAGGAAAAAGTGGTAGGGTCAGTACACCAGTACCCAGCTGCTCACTAACCTGCACACTCATGCACAAGATTTGAAAACAGAATTAAAAACAGATTAATGATTCTAACACTTATTCCTACTGTCATACCTCAACCAGATAGTTAAAAACAAGTATGATATTATATGACATTTATATATCTGTTAAAGACCAAGCAAATTCAATGCCTTTAAGAAGCTTATAAGATAAGGCATTCACGTCTCCTTAACTGTAGTTCTTAAGATCATACATTTTTTGCTTTATTTCAAGCTTATTTTGTATTTTATACCAGACTTTTTTGAAGCATATTCCTGGTTTATATTTCAGCACTTCCTTCCCTCCAGATTTTCTAGTTTGCATTTTTCCAGGCTGTTGTCATTTTTTGGTTGATATTTATTTCCTACCTTGGCAACATTTCCTTGTGTTAATATGACCTTCACATTTATCTTTGCACCATCTTTGATTTGAGTAGTCTCTATTTTGTTCACTGGATTGGATCAATAAGTTTTTAACCTATGTCTTTGGGGATGTGTTGATTGTGATTTCAAATCTCATTCCAGTGTTTTCTGCAAGACGCCTCAAATGAGAAGGAATCATTATTTTGGGAAGTGGTGATTACAAAGGGAATGGAGCAGTAAATGGACATTATATATTGCAGCATGGGCCAAGTCAAATAAAAGTCAGGAGGATGTATTTCTATTGGCATATTTATTTATAGGCATCAGAGCATACAGTCTGAAAATAATAATTACTGTCATAATATCCAACATTATTGTGTCAGGAATCTTTCTAAGGGACTTATCTGTATGAAGATATCTAATCTCTATAAGAACTCTAAAAATTAGGTACAATTATTAAGCCCCAATTTACAGATGGGAAAACTGAAACAGACGTCAGACAGCTAGAAAGTGGCAGAGCCAGAAGTCTCTTTTACATGTGTGTGTGGTGTGTGTGTGTGTGTGTGTGTGTGTGTGTGTGTGGTTAAAGGGTATGGTTAGTAAAATCACTGCTGAACCTTAATGAAATGTTACTTTTTTTTTTTTTTTTTAGATGGGGTCTTGCTCTGTTGCCAGGCTGGAGTGCAGTGGCCTGATCTTGGCTCACTGCAACCTCTGCCTCCTGGGTTCAAGCGATTCTCCTGCCTCAGCCTCCCGAGTAGCTGGGATTACAAGTGCGCGCCACCACGCCCAGCTAATTTTTATATTTTTAGTAGAGACGGGGTTTCACCACATTGGCCAGGCTGGTCTCGATCTCTTGACCTCGTGATCTGCCCACCTCGGCCCCCCAAAGTGCTGGGATTAAAGGCTTGAGCCATGGTGCCCGGCCATGAAATGTTACTTAAATATCAGATGACAAGATATCTCTTCCTGCTGAAAGGCATGGGTTCTTTTCTCTCCTCTCCAGACAGAATCTCCCCAGTTCTTCATGGGTAAGCATAAGAACCCTTCCCACCCTCCTCATTCTCCTTGCATGACAACTCATCCACCTTAGGTGGTGGCCACGATGGTGGGCTGACTGAAAGGCCAATACCTCAGTGACCCAGGCCTTCAGTTTCACTAGGAATGCATTTGTCTGAGTCTAGGCCATGAAAATAAGTAACTTTTTAAAGACTCCAATTGACTTGAGCAGTAAATCTAATTTTGGGAAGAATGTGGGTCAGACCATTTGCTAAAGTGACTGTGAAATCTACTTTGAAGTTCAGGAGCTTTGGAGGCATAAAACCTAGAAGGCAGATCTCAGCTCTACCACCAGCCAGTTGAGTGGCCCTGGACAAATATCTTCTTTAATATTCAGTTTCTTAAAGTGTTGGGGAACTGTTAGAAACAAGGCATAGAAGCATCCATCAGGCAGGTTCTCAATGAGCTTTAACTATATTTGTATCCAAAAGAAAAAAAATCCTACAGAAAAGAGAACATTTACAAATACTTGGTCTTAAAAAACATATTTCCCACACAAATAAAATACTTAGCATATTTTCCTGAGCCCACAGAATAACTAATATATGGTGACTGATAATATAATCGAATAGAATGGCTCAAACTAATGTTGAATTAATGAAAGCCACATATTGTAATTTACACATCATGGTCAGCATTAAGGAATTACAATCACAAACCTGTTTCAAGGGTCTTGTTCTGTTGTAGTGGTTCCCATGTTGGAAGTTCTCAATCCTGGCCGGGTGCGGTGGCTCACGCCTGTAATCCCAGCACTTTGGGCGGCTGAGGTGGGAGGATCACGAGGTCAGGAGATCGAGACCATCCTGGCTAACATGGTGAAACCCCGCCTCTACTAAAAATACAAACAATTAGCCGAGCATGGTGGCGGGTGCCTGTAGTCCCAGCTAATTGGGAGGCTGAGGCAGGAGAATGGCATGAACCTGGGAGGCAGAGGTTGCAGTGAGGCAAGATCGCGCCACTGCACTCCGGCCTGGGCGACAGCGCGAGACTCCGTCAAAGAAAAAAAAAAAGTTCTCAATCCTAAGGGTGCAAGGAGATAGCAAGAGGATTGAGAGCGCTCCTCTTAATGAGCCAGGGCTGCTATAACAAAATACCATAGACTGGGTGGCCTAAAGAACAGATACTTATTTCTCACAGTTCTGCAGTCTGGAGGGCTGAGATCAGGCTGCCAGCACTGTTGGGTTGTGGTATGGGCCCTCTTCCTAATTTGCAGAATGCTGCCTTCTTGCTGCTATGTTCTTACGTGGCTTTTCCTTGATGCGTGTGTTTGGAGAGAGATCTCTCTCTCTTCCTATTTTTAGAAGGCCACTAATCCCATCACGAGAGGTCCACCCTCATGATCTCATCTAAACTTAATTACCCCCCAAGGGCCCTAGCTCCAAACACCATCTCACTGGAGGGTCAGGTCTTTGACATGTGGAAGAGGGGCAGGATGGGGGAACCAAAATCTGCCGTCCATAACAGAGCTCTTATAGATACTTCCAAACAGTGAAATTGAGATTCATAAATTTACACTCCTTAAAGCAGCCCAGGCTAAGAAAAACCGCAAAATCGTTTGCTTCTGGCTGCGAGTTTATCAGCCATGTGTGGTAACAAATAGTTGTCTCACCCTGATCATGAATTTTGATTGATAGATCTGATTAATAAAGACAAAAATATTACTGAATGAAAAGCAATTTAATAGATAAAAATATTTCAAAATATAGCATCTTTGGTGCTGGAAGGAAATTATAGAATAATTTCAGGTCTTGATAAAAAGAATAGTGGCACCGATTGAAGCGGAAGAAATCAGGACATGCCCAGGACACGAGGGCTGTTTGCTCTCCTTGCGGCATGACTTTCCTAGCAGCACTTAACCCTGTAACAATAATTTTTACAATAAAATACAAGCAATTTCTGAAAGAGTGGGGGTATGTGACCGGTACAGTTTATAGATCAAGTTCTCAGGTAGCCTAGTAGGACATTCTCATCCTGTTAGACTTAAAATCAGTTTTAGAATGTAGGTGTTCCAGGGTGTCCAGCTTCCGCTGTGGAGATAGGCAGTGGGAGGGAAGGAATGGGGATGTGCAAGTACAACAGGGCAGGGTGAAGAGCGGCTGGGAGGCACAGCTGGCATACAGTCATTAATTAGTGAATTTCCTATTGCACGAATGAGGGAAGCCACGTCGGATTCAACAATGATGACTGCAGCACAGCAAGGTGTTCCAGCATAGTACAAAGAAGGGAGTATGTACTCGCCAGACACAGGAGTCGGAAAAAAGAGAGAGAGAGTTCAGGACAAAGAGCAACATCCCCATAAGGCTTTTATACCAGATAATCACGGCTGGTGATGGAGTATCTTGTCAAGTCAGTTCATAAAGAGTCTTGAAGTTTTCAGCTATATATGCAAGCAGAACAAAACCCCCGACCCCCTCATGACAAATGTTGACAGTGCTCCCCTAGTCTTTCTTGCTACTTGTGGAAAAGACTGGCTAGAACTACCCCCAGAAAAATGAGATTCTGACTTACTTTTGAAGACTTTTAGCAAAAAAAGATTTCTGTCTCCAATTCCCTCATTCAAAAACAGCTTTATCTGTTTGGCCCTTACAGTTTACAAAGTGCTTTTTATGCATTTTCTTATTTGGACCTTCACAACAGGTGAGGTGGGAGGCACGCACAGCTTCTTCCCATTACAAACAAGCAAGGGAGGCTCATCTGAAAACGTGGCCAAGATCAAGCCACCAATTAAGCAGAAGAGCTAGGTCATTCATACAGGTCTTCCAATTCCTAGCTCTTTCAGCTTAGTCATGTTGCCACTACATAAATCCTATCAAAAATTACCCTTTATTCCTAAACTATTGATCTCATGCAGCAATAAAAACTCAGTTTTTCTTGATCTATAAGAAATGAAGGGCTGAGCACAGTGGCTCACGCCTGTAATCCCAGCACTTTAGGAGGCTGAGGCGGGTGGATCACGAGGTCAGGAGGTCAAGACCAGCCTGACCAACATGGTGAAACCCTGTCTTTACTAAAAATATAAAAATCAGCCAGGCATGGTGGCACGCGCCTGTAATCCCAGCTACTCAGGAGGCTGAGGCAAGAGAGTCGCTTGAACCCAGGAGGCAGAAGTTGCTGCAAGCCAAAATAGCGCCACTGTACTCCAGCCTGGGTGACAGACTGAGACTCTGACTTAAAAAAAAAAAAAAATTAAGATAGATAGAAATATTATTGGCAGCTACCTGAAACAGTTTGTTGTTAAATCAACCCATTCTTTAAAAAAAGGATTAAAAATTATACAGCGTAACTGTGTTAATGCTTCTACTTAGGCCATATTTTCTAACTCTTTAATCATCTTAGGTGGGTCTCATTTCACCATCTAATTATCAGAATTTGTGGTAAGCAGATTTCCTATTTCTTGCAAAACAGCCTTTCACAATAAGATAACTATGTGTAGAAAAAATAAACAAGAACGTAACAGCACCTATTTCCTATGAAGAATGAGCAAGAGAACTTCTGACAGTCAGAAAGATCATTAAAATTCTTCTTTCACAATACAATGCAGTGAATTTGAAGTTAACAGTAAAAGAATGTGTTTAAATATAAAATAGTAAGAATAGTCTTAAAGAAATATTATTCTTATAATACATGCTTTAAAATTATAGTTCCTGTTTTCAAATGTTAAAATTGGGAATTTTATATTCTAGCACCACATCTTTAAACGTCTTATAGTATTGTGTGGTTAGATGAAATAATGCATATAAAACCATTTTAGAGGTATAGCACTATGAAAAGTAGGAGTTAAGAACAGTAATTGTGGAGTGAATGCATTTCCACATTAGCCTTGCACGCATGTATTTGTTTGTTTGTCTTATAAAGTAGGTATTATAATCTATAATTTATGGTCAAGTAAGTTGAAGTGCTAAGAAGTTAGGAGACTCCTCCAAATATCACACAGCTTTTTACTGAACTCAGGAAATGGACTCAAAATCCTTTTGTTTCACAGCTGGGACTTGTTCCATTTTTTCCACTTTCCCTTTCCATCTATTCCACATGATTCATGAAGCAATTTTCTACCATCCATCCAAGCTAAAAATGTAGATGACATTCAATTTTAAAAGTTTTAGTCCCTTTTGTCTCTTCTATGCTGACAGAATATACAGAACGCCCTTATAATAAGAAATTGCCTTTTTTACACATTCAGAATATTAAAACTCATGTGTTCACTCCATTCTCCCACACAGCAGCTATCATCTTTCACGTGTATGTGCTGGATTTTATTCTTTCCAGAAGGAGTGTAGTTTACCGTCTGTATTTAGCACTGTGGCCACCATTGCCCAGAACAGTGAGTTACTCCTGACAACTCTTGGAGAAAGGAAGCTTCCCCCTCCTCTGAAACTCAGATGGGATTCCAGTGTGCAGCCTGAACGCAGCTTGAAGAGCTTCCGTAGTTTACCATGGTCACTAGTTGTGTTCTCAAGGACTTGCCAATTTCGTAAGCCCTGAGTTGCCAAGGTTTGTTTTAAGAAGGGGTAGAGAAAGTAGTTTGGATTCTGAGATTGGTCAGTCACAGATTCGAGTCCCATTCTACCCTTCCACTTGCTAAGTGGAAATGGCTTAACTCCTTCAAAACTCAATGTGTCTAGGTGGAATATGGGACTCATAATTAGCGAATAGAACTCCTGTGAAAATTACAAATAGTGGAAGCTACTTAGCACTATGCCTAGTACAGAGCATGTATTTAATAAATTGGGGCTACTTTTAAAAAATAAATTTATGCTAAATGTTAGGTGGTAGACAGGCTGAGAAGAGTATCATATTTTTTATCAGAAAATTTGAGGATATTGGTGAGGTGTGGCGACTTGCACCTGTAATCTCAGCACTTTGGGAAGCCAAGGAGGGTGGATTGCTTGAGCTCAGGAGCTCGAGACCAACCTGGCCAACATGGTGAAACACCATCTCTCCAAAAATACAAAATTTAGCCGGGTGTGGTGGTGCATGCCCTGTAGTCCCAGCTACTGGAGAGGCTGAGGCAGGAGGATGGCTTGAGCCTGGGGAAGGTCAAGGCCGTAGGCTGCCGTGAGCCATGACTGTACCACTGCACTCCAGCTTAGGTGACAGAGTGAGATCCTGCCTCAAAAATAAAATAAAATAAAAAAAAGAAGCTTGAAGATGAGTTACTAATAGTTACATGGAAAACTAGGCAAACAAACAAGACAATTATTTACTTAGGAAAAACAAAAAAAAAATGGTATCTGACACTAAAATATGATCAAAGGAGACTAAGTCGTTCAGTTGTAACTTATGTTTACCTAGCAATAAAGATGTAAATTCCAATAAAAAAATTTTAGGTGGTAGAACTTTTACTTCTTTTGGGAACAGAGTACACAGAAAGCGTATATGTACAAAGACTCAAAATACTTACACCTCTAAAGGCAACTCCCTTCTTTAAGAATGAGTCTTCCTTTATATGTGTTTATTCCTTTAAAAATTAAGATTCTTTGAATGGTTCAGAGCCTAAACTACCAAGTTAGAATTCTGATTTAGAAGGGGCTTCCTGGCTGGGTGCAGTGACTCATGTCTGTAATCCCAGAACTTTGGGAGGCCAAGGCGGGCGGATTGCTTGAAGTCAGGAGTTCAAGACCAGCCTGGCCAACATGGCAAAACACCGTCTTTACTAAAAATACAAAAATTAGCTGGGCATGGTGGTGCATGCCTCTAATCCCAGCTCCTTGGGAGGCTGAGGCAGGAGAATCACTTGAACCCGAGAGGCAAAGGCTGCAGTGAGCCAAGATCGTGCCATTGCACTCAGCCCAGGTGACAGAGCCAGACTCTGTCTCAAAAATGTAGACTTCCTGACTTGATTAGCACTTCCTAGCTGTGTGACTTTGGGGAAAGTGACTTAAACTCTCTGAGCTTCAGTTTTATCATCTGTAGAAATAACGATAACAATAGTTTCTACTTCATAGGGTTATTGTGATGAATATAGTAATAAGGTATGTAAAGTGTGTAGAGCAATGCCGAACTTACAACCAGCATTCCCTAATGGTTAGCTGTTCATGTTGTGAACACAGAGTCAATTTCTCCTGTCCTTCAGAAAGAAAGATCACCCTCATCTCATCTGGTTTCTCATCATTTAGAACCTTTGCATTTCCTGGCTTTTTCCAACAACCTAAACAAAATATATATATATATTTAACTTCCCACTGTTTGCAGCCCTCTTCTCGGTTAGGGGAGGCTGTGATTTACTAGGGGAGGCAGCATCTTCTGAGCAGCTCGTGAACTGCACAGACAGTGGGACTCCAGGCATTCCGGTGCTAGGGGCTCAGTGTGGCCTGGGGCCACTGGGAAGGATGGTGTGGAGGATGTGGACAAAGAGTTGGCGTTGGCTCACGGAGGGCAGGGGCTCATTCTAGTCCCATGGAAATGCACAAAGAAGAAATAGGGTATATACCCAAAGGATTATAAATCATGCTGCTATAAAGACACATGCACACGTATGTTTACTGCGGCACTATTCACAATAGCAAAGACTTGGAACCAACCCAAATGTCCACAATGATAGACTGGATTAAGAAAAGGTGGCACATATACACCATGGAATACTATGCAGCCATAAAAAATGATGAGTTCATGTCCTTTGTAGGGACATAGATGAAGCTGGAAACCGTCATTCTCAGCAAACTATCACAAGGACAAAAATCCAAACACCGCATGTTCTCACTCACAGGTGGGAATTGAACAATGAGAACACATGGACACAGGAAGGGGAACATCACACACCAGGGACTGTCGTGGGGTGGGGGCAGGGGGGAGGGATAGGATTAGGAGATATACCTAATGCTAAATGACAAGTTAATGGTTGCAGCACACCAACGTGGCACATGTACACATATGTAACAAACCTGCACGTTCAGCACATGTACCCTAAAACTTCAAGTATAAAAAAAAAAAAGAAAAGAAATAGGACAAGCTTGTGACATTTGGTGGAAACCCTCTGCTTGAATATCCCACAGGCACCTCCAACTCTAAGTTGAGTTTCAACCTTGTTATTGTCCCAGCTTCCCTGTCCCAAATACTTACCCAGCTCTACACACACACACACACACACACACACACACACACACACACACACACACTCAGCTCTCCCAGCCTCACGGAGGGCCCAGCAGCACTCTGCATCCCATTTCCAATCCAGAATCTGCTAAATTACTCATGACTTTGCCCTGTTGTTGCTCGGGGTCTCCAGGTGATCACGAAGTGCTATTGATTCTCCTTCTAAATATCTCTTAAGTTTATCCACTTCCTTTCATCACAACTGCCACTGCCAACTCATGCCATGATCATTTTGTACCTGAATAATGAGGACAGGCTCCTGATGGTTCTCCCTAAATCCGGTCCCCATCCAGCAGCCAGAGTAAAGTTTCTCCAATACAAATCCGATTGTTCTTTTTGCACTTGAACAAAGTTGTCGCTATTTTTTGGGAGTGTCAAGCTGTGATGGAGGAACTGCACGCCCTCCATCCAGCAGGAGATACTGTCTCCCCCCGGCATCTCCATCCAGCAGGATATACTGTCTCCCCCTGGCATTGACACTGACCTTCATGGGTCACGCCACTTACCAGTGAGCAGCTTTCCATGGGGAAAGTGGAGCACCAGAACATGAGTGGGCTTCTCTCTCAACATCTCTGATATTTTCCTACAGGTTCTGGGATAGAGAACAGTGGATGGAGCATGTTTGAAGACAGGGCTGGCTAATGCCCTTCAGTTTGGCTAGTAAGAGCCATGGTGATGGGGCATTAAAATGCCCTTATTTGCACTCACTAGCAGGGAACAAACGGGGTATACACAAATATATAATTTGGGATTCAGTACTTCATAATTTATTTCATCTGCCTGGAATACCCTCCCATATCTGTCCCACCCATGCAATTCCTTATTTTCTTACAATAGCCCATTTCAAAGGATGCTTTCTCTGAGAAATTTTTCTTGACCTCATGGGGGTGGATTTGGGGACTCCTCTGTTCTATCACCTCTGTGGTTGTATCATGCAACTTTGATTTATGTGTTCTTGGTATATTTCCCACATCTGTTCACACCTGATACTCTAGAGATCACATTCCTGAGCATGGCAGCCGCTGCAAAGCTAAGACAGAGACTCTGAGAAGCTGGCCTAAGTGACAGGGAAAAGGATTTGTGTTAAGACTTGTGGAATGAGATTTTTCTGCTCCCCAAAACCTGCAGGTGTGTCTGCACACTGCGGAGAAAGAATGACTCGTCCAAAGGTGAGGCGGCAGAGCTTACAGAACATTTACAGCTTGTGTAGTGGCCCAGGAATGAGGGTAGACCTCTCCCCATCTGTCCCCGCCGACCACCCAGGACCTGAGCCACTTGAAACTTTTCGTCAAACAGGGTGAGCAGCGGCGGGGCACGGTGGCTCATGTCTGTAGTCCCAGCACTTTGGGAGGCCGAGGTGGGTGGATGACAAGGTCAAGAGATTGAGATGATCCTGGCCAACATGGTGAAATCCCATCTCTACTAAAAATACAAAAATTAGCCAGGCGTGGTGGCGCGCGCCTGTAGTCACAGCTACTCGGAGGCTGAGGCAGAAAAGTCGCTTGAACCCGGGAGGCGGAGCTTGCAGTGAGCCAAGATCGCACCACCGCACTCCAGCCTGGTGACAGAGCAAGACTCCGTCTCAAAAAAAAAAAAAAAGAAAACCAACTAGGTAAGCAGGAGATACGTTACATATGTGTAATGCTTAAGCAATATTTTGGCTGCTATCGTGTCCCAAATACATGCTCGCTGTTTTACCACACTCTTTCCTTTGACTTCATTTCCACTATAACTTCCTAACATAGGCATTTTATCCCCTTTTACGATAATGAAACTGAAGCTCATGGAAGTTAAATAAGTTACCCAAGTCACATAAATGACACAAAGGAGTTCTGAAACTCTAACTCACCTGCAAGTCCGCACTTGGTCACTGTGCCACTCTGCCCCTTTGCTTCTATTCTTCTATATAGATCTACAACTTTCTTTATACATATTCTTGTGCTAGAAGCAGTCATGGCTTATTTATCTATATACCCTAATCTTAGCAAAGTACATGGCATGTTGTAGGGAGCAAAACATATTTGATGAATAAATGAAAGAATGTAAGAATAATTTGAGAAAGTAGAATATCAAAAGGGCAGCCACGAAGGCAGCTGTTTGCCTGGGATTGATCTTGCCCCCGGTGTTCCAGGAAAGTGTTGATTTTGTCCTACTTTAATTGTCTGGTATTTAATGTGTCTATGGGCACAAGCAAGCCCAGGTGTTCACTCACCTGTACCACACACCCGAGCACTGAGAGAGGCCGAGCTGCGCACCTGCCCGTACCCCTCCTTCTCTGCTCTACTTCCTGACATTCTGAGGTTCCAGGATTTACCTGCTCATTCTACAGATTTTCTGTGAACATTAGTTGAACTGAAGGAAGGCACTGCAGCATGAAAGAAACACTAGGAGTTTTAAAACATAAAGGAAAGGAATTAGGCTATAAGCTATATTTGCAATAATTATATACAAAGCCAGGAGGAACATGCAAGTAAAAAATTACTGGGTATCTCAACTGATGGCAACTTTGCCTTAATTTTTCTGATTACTAAAGAGAAGGTGTCTATCGCCCACCTTTACATTTGTATTTTAAGGCTTTCAATACAGATTGCTAACTGTACTCAAGAATGTTTTACTAATTTATATTATTATATTATTGCTAGATGTGTATGTGATGTTCGTCTCTCCTCTCCACCTCTTACCCTATAGATTCTCAGGTTTGTATAAGATCAGAATTTATCTCTTAGGAAAAAACTTCATGTCTCATATAACCAATTGGTAAATACACATGAATAATATTTCCATGAAATTCCAAAAGTCTTTCTTTTCTCCCAACATTTAACAGAAGCCTTTTGCTAACAAACTTTAGTGCTTTTAAAATAAATGTTAAATACTTTTTAAAATCATCTTTCAATTATCTTTTGAATCTTCACATTTTCCTGACACAGGAACAGAGGGATATACGATCAAAGAAAGAAAATACTGTTGGTATTTGCTTTCTTCTCATTTGGGAATTAGAAAAAAATGTGTAGAAATATGCTAAGCATGTAAGAAACACTAAGAAATGTAAAGTGACATAGAAAAATATAATAATAAGCCAATAATTATCAATGCAACCCATGGAAATGAAGCTGCCCTGCATAGTAGGGGTGGGTAGCACACACCGATTATGGCTTCTGACACACACCAAGGGCCGCTGAGAAAGAATCTGGATCTGGAATGAATTTACAGCAGGAGAACAGATCATCATGGCGGACGGGAGGCAGGACTACATTGCAGCTCCCGACAGGGCAGCGTGCGGGGCTCGCATTGTGACTTTTAGCTCCAGATGGACTGCAGGAAGAAACCAGCAGTCCCGAGAGGACCCGCAGACCCTCTGAAGGAAGTGGGCTGCTCCTGCAGGACCCGGGAGACCCCCGCAAAAGTGTGAGTGCCCCAACTGCAGAAGTGGGAGAGGGAGACCCTCCTCTCCCAAACACACACCCCCACTGGGGAAGCTGAAGGTCTGCTTGCGGGAGAATTTCCAACTTTACCTGGAGCTGAGTCCGTCTGGGGAGCCCAGTGAGGTACAGGGGTAGAGGAAGCAGCGGAAAGGCCCGCGGAGCTCGCTGGGTCCCCGAGCAGCCCATTCCTGCTGGCACCACAGGGATCCATCGGGAGAGGAGGGGGTAAAACTCCACAGGGAGAAGGAAATCTCTAGCTGAGCGTTGTAACAGTTTGAACTGGGTGAGAATCCTCCTGGCCAGAACTAGGGCAGGGCACGAATCCGGGGTGCTGACTCCACAGGCGGGGGAAGAACCAAGCCTTTTTCTCTCGCAGCTGGGAGGCGGGTAGCCTGGGGCAGGTTTTCAGGCCTGTATCCCTCTCCGCCTGGAAACGGACTGGGGGCTGTTGGGGGGTGCACGGTGGGAGTGAGACCGGCCCTTTGGTTTGGGTGGGAGCTGGGTGAGCCCTGTGACTGCCGGCTTTCCCCCACTTCCCTGACAACCTGCATGACTCAGCAGAGGCAGACATAATCCTCCTAGGTACATAACTCCAGTGACCTGGGAATCTCACCCCCAGCCCCCACAGCAGCCGCAGCAAGGACCGCCCAAGGAGAGCCTGAGCTCAGAGGTGCCTACCCCACCCTCACCTGAGGGTCCTTCCCTACCCACCCTGGTAGCAGAAGACAAAGGGCATATCATCTTGGAGTTCTAGGGCCCCGCCCACCGCCGGTTCCTCGCCACACTACCACAGCTGATGCTCTCTGGAAAGCGCCCCCTCCCGGCAGGAGGCCAAACAGCACAAAAATAGAGCATTAAACCACCAAAGCTAAGAACCCTCACGGAGTCCATTGCACCCCCATCATTGCCACCTCCACCAGAACAGGCGCTGGTATCCATGGCTGAGAGACCCATAGGTCACATCACAGGACGTTGCAGACAAACCCCAGTACCAGCCCGGAGCCGGGTAGACCCACTGGGTGGCTAGACCCAGAAGAGAGACAACGATCACTGCAGTTTGGCTCTCAGGAAGCCACATCCATAGGAAAAGGAAGAGAGTACTACATCAAGGGAACAACCTGGGGGACGAAAGAATGTGAACGACAGCCTTCAGCCCTAGACCTTCTCTCAGAGAGCCTACTCAAATGAGAAGGAACCAGAAAACCAACCCTGGTAATATGACAAAATGAGGCTCTTCAACACCCCCCCAAAATCACACTGATTCACCAGCACTGGATCCAAACCAAGAAGAAATCCCTGATTTACCTGAAAAAGAATTCAGGAGGTTAGTTATTAAGCTAATCAGGGAGGGAACCGGCACATAGACCAATGGAACAGAATAGAGAACCCAGAAATAATCCCAAATACTTACAGTCAACTGATCTTTGACAAAGCAAACAAAAACATAAAGTGGGGAAAGGACACCCTTTTCAACAAATGATGCTGGGATAATTGGCTAGCCACATGTAGGAGAATGAAACTGGATCCTCATCTCCCCCCTTATGCAAAAATCAACTCAAAATGGATTAAGGACTTAAACCTAAGACCTGAAACTATAACAATTCTAGAAGCAAACATCGGAAAAATCCTTCTAGACGTTGGCTTAGGCAAGGATTTCATGACCAAGAACCCAAAAGCAAATGCAATATAAACAAAGATAAATAGCTGAGACTTAATTAAACTAAAGCGCTTTCACAAGGCAAAAGGAACTGTCAGCAGAGTAAACAGACAACCCACAGAGTGGGAGAAAATCTTCACAATCTATACATCTGACAAAGGACTAATACCCAGAATCTACAACAAACTCAAGCAAATCAGTAAGAAAAAAAAACAAACAATCTCATCAAAAAGTGGGCTAAGGAAATGAATAGACAATTCTCAAAAGAAGACATACAAATGACCAGCAAACATGAAAAAATGCTCAACAACACTAATGATCAGGGAAATGCAAATCAAAACCACCATGCCATACCACCTTACTCCTGCAAGAATGGCCATAATCAAAAAACAAAAAAAACGGTAGATGTTGGTGTGGATGCAGTGATCAGGGAACACTTCTACACTGCTGATGGGAATGTAAACTAGTACAGCCACTGTGGAAAACAGTGTGGAGATTCCTTAAAGAACTAAAAGTAGAACTACCATTGGATCCAACAATCCCACTACTGGATATCTACTCAGAGGAAAAGAAGTCACTATTTGAAAAAGATACTTGCACACTCATGCTTACAGCAGCATAATTCATAATTGCAAAATCATGGAACCAACCCAAATGCCCATCAATCAACAAGTGGATAAAGAAACTGTGGTATATGTATACGATGGAATACTATGCAGCCATAAAAAGAAATGAATTAACAGCATTTGCAGTGACCTGGATGAGATTAGAGACTATTATTCTAAGTGAAGTAATTCAGAAATGGAAAACCAAACCATTGTATGGTTCTCACTGATATGTGGGAGCTAAGCTCTGAGAATACAAAGTCATAAGAATGATGCAATGGACTTTGGGGACTTGGGGGGCAGAGTGGGAGGGGGCGAGGGATAAAAGCCTACAAATATGGTGCAGTGCATACTGCTTGGGTGATGAGTGCACCAGTGTCTCACCAATCACCACTAAAGAACTTGCTCATATAACCAAATACCACCTGTGCTCCAATAACTTATGGAAAAATTAAAAATAAAGAAGCAAAGTACAAACAAACAAAAAAGTGATTTACAGCATGAATGACGTTAAAAAAAAAAACCCCACAGAAACAAGATAAGAGATAAAAGGAGATGATGCACTATCTATTCTGTGTGGGAGGGGGAGGGGGAATAGAAAGAGCATGAAACAAGTCAATTAAGCAATTCTTTAAAAATTTCTGGATCCTCTCTCTCTCTCAAGACAGCCTTTATGCTCACTCTACTATTCGGGTTTTGCCTGTAGAAAACATCCTTGGGAGAAGGAGAGACACATGTGGTAGGTTTGCCTTAGGGTCTGCACTGCCGAGGGTGCTCTTAGCTACAGCTCATAGATCACAATGCAAGGGAAAGTCATGCTCTCTTTCAAAAGACAGAATGTCTCTTTTCCAAGCAAATTTTACACAGCCAAGTAGAGGCGAGCATATATCCTGTCCCATTTGGTCCCAGGCATAATGCACTCTAGCATTTGGAATGCAGTAATCTTATAAGGTCGCTTTTTTTTTTCTCCCAAATTTGACAAGAAACTGTTGAGAGACATGAGGTGAATGGCCATACTAGTTTAATCATTACAAAATAATATAGTTTTACCTAGTAAGACAGCTAATTTTAACTGTGTGAGAGGACAGCCCTTTAAGGGAAACTATTACAATTTTCTGTTTTAAAGAAAAAAAATACTTATTCTAAGCTCCAAATTCTACAAACAACTACATTATTATATACAAACTTATAGGAATCCTTGTGCTATCACCATCAACAGAGCATAAGCAAAGTCCAGGAAAAATAAGGTATGACAATGTAAAATCAAGCCTTTTGATCTCTTCGCAGCACAAAACCACTGTCAGTCATGAAACAGGCCCCTGCCTCCTGGACTGTTACTAGAAACTTAGTTCACTAAGTATAATGAGTCAAAAGGGAAGTCATAGGAAAATATGAGTTCTAGACAGTGAAACACCCATCCCAATGATTCATAATATAAATTGTTTAGACATAATTTACTTCAGAGAAAAAGGAGACTCCCACACGTAATAGACATTATATTCAGCTGCTTAAAAAAACGAGAGAAACAAAGTGACATGGCTTTGAAAGCAGCACTTTGCTATATTAGGCTACGAACAGCCAGCACTGAGTATCTAGGATGGGCTAGACATTATGACAAGCACTGGGCCTGTGTCATCTCCAGTTCTCACAATGACCTTAGGAGTGAGAAATTATTCCTTTCCTTTCCTTTCCTTTCCTTCCTTCCTTCCTCTTCCTTCCTTCCTTCCCTCTCTCTCTTTCTTTCCTTCTTTCTTTCTCTCTCTCTTTTTTTTTTTTGATACAGTCTTACTCTTGTCACCTAGGCTGGAGTGCAATGGCACTATCTTGGCTCACTGCAACCTCCACTTCCCGGGTTCAGGTGATTCTCCTGCCTCAGCTTCCCTAGTGGCTGGATTTACAAGCACCTGCCACCATGCCCAGCCAATTTTTTGTATTTTTAGTAAAGATAGGGTTTCACCATGTTGGCTGGCTGATCTCCAACTCCTGAATTCAGGTGATCCACCCACCTCAGCCTCCCAAAGTGCTGGGATTACAGGCATGAGCCACCGCACCCAGCCTCATTTCATACATGAGCCACCTGGGGTTCAGAGAGAAACTATAGTTAGATGCTTTGCATGTGGAAGTGCCTGGACCCTAAAACCATGCATGATCTTTCTCTATCTCTTGATGCCTGATTACACCGTAGGATACTGTTATTTGATGAAAGGCTAAGATAAAGTATAATAATATCCAAAGCAAAGTAAGCCCCGTTGAATACAAAATAATCACATCCTATAATAATTAAATTAAAAATTAAAAACAAAGGAACTCAGTGTGAAATTAAGTCAGATGTTGAAAATAGCATTTCTTTTGGGGAAAAAAGTGCTATTGAGAGATGAGGCTGTGTGGTCTTGAACAGACAGAAGTTACCATGATAGAATAACTTGGGATCCTGTTGTTCTGGGCTGTTCCTTAATTCGCCCTTGAGGACTCTTTTCTGGCAAATCACCTGTGTCGTGAGCCGATGTTAAGACTCATTAACTATCTCTCCCAAGCAAAGAGTACAAAGATAAATCCCCCACAGCAAGGAAGCAGCCGTACTGTAATCTCCTACTGCCGCTTCCAGTCTGGCCTACTCAAATCATCTCTCCCAAATTCTCTTTCTCCTTGTCCTTGAACATAAACAAAGAAGACTTTCTCATATTAAACATGCTACTGCCAACAATTACGAAAAAAAAAAAAAAAAATAGGCCAGGATTTGTCTAATTTGGCCAGAAATACTATCTGGGTTTTTACAGAAAATATTTGCCAAACCCTGATCTAGATAAATTAGGTGATTTTAGATTGGATAATTCTTTCTGTGTTGAATGATCATAATATAAACATAACTGATTTAGAAAGACAAATTGTTCAGTATTCACAGGTAAGGAACAAAGATAATGAATGAGCTTGTGTCTGCTACTTGTTTTCATGGTACACCCCCTCATTAAATGCCTTAGCTGGCATTTTTGACAACATCTCTAGTTGTTTGCTAGCAGAAAATTAATGCTGACCAACTTTCAAATTTCCTAACTCTTATTTTTGTGTTTCAAACATAACATCACCTGATAAATTATTCCTTGCAGCCTCTGAGTGGCAGGCCAGCCCATCTATTTTCTCCCTCAGAATAACAGCAACAAAGATCGACTTGCTTCTTTCATTATTTACACGTGAATCCTCATCAACTACTTTATCCAACCCCTATGCTGAGAGTCCTCACATACTGGAAACTTAACTTCAGCAGCAGACATGTGTGAACAGGCTTCAAAGGCAGCTTCCAAATGTACTGTCCTTTTAGGATCAGAGCCCAGAAAGCCTCACGGGACATGATGGCTTTTCTTGAGAAAAGTTGGGCTGCACTGTAAGTGTGAATGATGTGCAGAGGAGACGCTAAAGGAAGATGGATGTTTCATGTTGCAGCTGAGCCTGCTCCACCCTCCTTAGACATCGCACAGCATTTTCCATCTTGTGCAATGCTGCCATCAGGTTGTCAAGAAAAGTCATGAGTGGGAGTCACGGGACAGTTATTTATTTCCAACGACTCGTTCGCTTGCTAAAACACAAGCAGGAACTTCACAAACAGAATTTCCTGAGACCATGCTAGTGGACGTGCCGAAGGCAGTCTAATGAGGCAGAAAGACTGGGATTTGGGACACCAGTGACCAGGTTTAAACTCATTCTCCATTTCTTTGTCAACATAGCAAGAGGCACTTAACTGCTCAGAGTGTCAGCACCCCTCACCTGGAAGATGAGGTGTTTCTCATAGGGCTGTTTGAGAATTAATGTGACAATATAGGTAACATACCTCATTGCATACCTAGCAGGCGTGCAATAAATATTATTATATTATTTCCATCCACTAGGATTCTACACTCTTTTGATGTTTTGAGACACATAATACTTACAACAGCCCCCTGGAAATACTATACTCTTAAAATGGCCAAAAAGACACACACACACACACACACACACACACACACAACTTACTTGTATGTAACATAAACATAATCTTTGCATAACTCGTTGGAGAAAGACCACCCAGTCTGGGTCTCAGTGTGGTGATTCATCTCTCTGGCTTATATTCATCTGCAGAGTGAGAGGATGGAACCAAATGCTCTCGTAGGGCTGCAGCGATGATCAGTTTCTGTGGTACTCCAATCCTGACACCTGTGAGTGTGTTGCTCACGGGTTTCAATTATCCATTTGTCTTTATTTGAATTGGTACCAAGGAGTGTGTTGCTCACAGGTCTCAATTATCCATTCGTCTTTATTTGAATTGGTACTAAGTACAATATTGCATTTATACTTGGCCTGGAAATGTGATTCTGTACTTTAACTTACGCATGAATAGGAGATTTTGTAAATTTGCTTTAAATAATATAATGAAGTCCCACCTTCAGGCTCCCTCTCTGTCTTCTGCTCACAGCTGAATGCAACAGCCCCTGGTTTCCTGCTCTGTGAGGAATGGCTAGACCACATCTCCTGCTGGTGACAAGTGTCAGAGTAAGCTAGCCTTCTTATCTTTACTCTCCTTCTCTCGCGCTCTTGCTCTCTCTTTCTCTGCGGTTTTTCTCATCACTACTTCCTCATTTGGGGAAGGGAATGAAGTACTTTGGTTTAAATATCTCCACCTGATTTGTAGACTGCATGTGGGAATGAAAGCCAGAGACATGGAATAATACGAACAATAAATGTTTCTGCTAAACTGCGTCAATGTGAACCAAGAAAGATGACTGAGAGTTGATCAAATTCTTTTTCAGAATATGATTGTTATTTGCACTGTTTTTGTCTTCTTATGTCTGATTTCCTTTATAGAACTGAAGTGGTGTCTCTGGTCTCCTGAGATTGTATGCTTCACTCTCTCCTTTTTATATCACACTGCAAGCTATTATTATGAGCACAGCAGTGAACAAAATAAAGCCTCTTACAGTAGGCAGATAATCTCTGCTCCATGAGATAATTATCAGATCTCATGGGAATTTGTTTTTAAACTCACTTCATAATGATGGCCCTCCTCTCTGAAAATGCTTCATCATGTTTAATATAGTGTAGTCATAAACCATGGTGGGATGCATAGAAGTTGTTTAAAAGCCATTTCCTAAGAGGGAAGGGATGGGGAAAGTTAATTATATCTCATGGCCCTCGATCTCCCAAGAGAATAGTCCTTTCCACCTGATAGAAAAGAGTGGTTTGAGAAACCAGGAAATCTGATAAGTAGCTTAACTGTTTTGTAAAAGGTGAGGGGTCCACTTGTACTGGATGTCAAAGCTACTGTCTAAGCGAGAAGCATTTAGAATTGCACACTCCCTAAAGAAAAAGTGACAAGCAGAATAAGGGTCAAAGCTAACACCAAAAATAAAAGAAGAAATCCTTTTGAATCTCAAATCATATGTCTGCAAATACAAGGTTTTGTTTGTTTAATTATGGCAACTATCCTGAAGGCTTTACATATTGGCAAATATAGCAGATAATGAACTCTTGATCCAGAAGTTGTTCAGGAAATGCAGAGCTTAACTAAATTGTCTATTTTCCCTTGGAAGGTACATTGATGTAGTGGGAGGTTGGCAATCTATTGATCCACTCCCAAAATTCCTCTGACCCACACTAATTAAAAAGAAAAGGAAAAAAAAGACCTTGAATATACTCTCTCTGAGCCCAGTTAACTTCTAAGAAATAATCCTGTAAAGACAGACGTACTTGGGCCTCCCTAAATCTGATGTCATTGTCATGCTATTCTGCCTTGTGTCCCATTTTGAGTTTTATCAGTGCCACGTGTAAAAAATAGCAGTTAAATCTTTCACCTTGAAGCAGACACTTAACATTATAGTACTAAGTGAAGTACAGTGGATTTTATCTTGCTCGTAAGGGACAGGAGCACAGATAACCTCTTTGAAGATGTTTTCTTTTTCACTCATTTCTGAAATAAGGTGAGTTGGGGCCTGGTTGTAGTGGGGATTCTTGTTTCTGATGAGAGATCTACTACTTTACCTATAATGCCCTGTCAACTGTCAGAGGTGTTGAAACCAGAATGACTCCATCTTGAGTGAGGGGCAGGAAAATGATGCTGGGACTTGCCGGGCCGCATTCCCAGAAAGTCACACATTTCTCGCCTCTAGATGTTTACAGTTAAGGGAACAGATTAATAATGTTGATTAAACAAACCTGACCTGGGGGTGTCCAGATATCCCGATATCTGGAGAACAAAGGCACTCCTAATTTTGCTTTAAAGATAATAATATTGATTCTTGCAAAATACAGTAATTAAGAAAATTAATCCTTTATCACAAACCCTTGTGGCAGAGCACATCTCCCCGTGTATACAAGCATTGTACCTAGGGTGGACATGTTCCTCCTCTTACTTTTGGAAACGCCCTACTCAGTCTATGGAGTAGCTGTACTTTCACTACTTTCTTAATAAACTTGCTTTTACTTTGCACTGGGGACTCACCCTGATTCTTTCGTGGGAGAGATCCAAGGACCCTCTTGTGGGGTCTGGATCATGACCCCTTTCTGGTAACACAACCTCACAACCTTAAAATTCTAAAATGGAGCCCATCAGAGTCAGGCACAGTAAGAAGAGTACTGCAGTGAGCTGGGAAAGAGAAGCTCATTATCTTCATGACTCAGATCTCATTTTAACATATGTATCTGCTTAGTTAATATATATCCATTATATATCTGTATGTGCCAAGCACGGTGTCTAACATTGTGAGATGGAAAGATGAATTGGTTTGATTACTTGGAAAGAAATAAACAAGTAAATCACATCCACACCAAAATGTAATAAGCTTTGCAACAAATATACATACACTGGGGGAGTATGTATATGCTGGGGGAGAAAAGATACAGGTGATTCTAAATTATTAAAGAAGTTTCCCTAAAGTGTGAGTAAGCATTTGCTTGATAAATTGGAACAGTGGCTAGTGCCTCGTATATCTGGGTGGGATGTACAGACACATGATCTGCATGACTCATTGGAAGTGCTCAAAGCAGTTGGATCTGTCTGTTGCAGAAATGGCAAGTCTTGAGAGCGTTAGAGATGAGGTTAGAGGAACAGAGGGTACTCAATCCGTGAAGGGACTTGCGTGCTAATGAAAGGAGTTTTTACTTTAGAAAGAAAGCCTTGGGGAGCCATTGAAGGACAGTAGGAGATTGGCATGAACAGTCATGTACTTTAAATGTAACCCTCTGGCAGCTCTGTAGACATGCGGAGAAACAAAACCAGAGTAGGAAGAATTGCATGTTCCTGAAAGAAAAACTGACAAGAAAGCCATCAGTGCAAGAAATGATTAAAGCCTGAATCATCATCATCAATTTTAATTGAATGGATATTATAAGCCAGTAGCATGCTAAGTATTTTGTGAACATTATCTCATTTACTCTTCACAAGGAACCTATGAGTGGGTACTCTGTACTCACTTCAATGACGAAGGAACTGGAGGCTCTGAGAGTTTCGAGCTCTTGGCTGAGATTGCACAGGTGTTGGTAAAGCAGAGTTTAGATGCAGCTCAATCTGACTTCAGAATGCATCCATCAGGATGCATCATGCTGTAAACCAAAAGTGTCTGCCACAGATTTAGAGGTGTATATTGCCACAGTTGAGGATGTGCCTGGAATGTGGACTGTGCTTTTTCCAAAGAAGGTTTTGAGAACTTCAATACTACAGGGGGAAAGAGCAGGCAGGAGGGGAAGGAGGAAAGAAAAAAAAGTGGGGGGGAGGTAGAACTTAGGCAGTGTGGTCATTACATTCTTGCGAGGCTTTGATTAGCACTCACAAAAATCTTTGTTTGACATGTGAAAAGAGAGGAGTGGTGGAAAAGGTCAAGTATGTCTTTTCCTGGCTTGGCAAATCTACATTTCACATGTGAAATTACAGTTGTCTGCTTGGGAACAAGAGGAAGGCAGTTTTTTTGTGTGACTTGCTTTCCCTTTGACAGAGAGTTTGGGGTCCTGAGATTTTCTTTTCCTTTCACAAATCTATATTTCCAAAGTTATTGGTAAGAGTAACTTGAAGGAAATTTTGCTATTCATCAAAGAGAATTCAGGTATAGACACAGAGTGTGGGGGGAAAGATGATGAGATATTTCGTGGATGTGCTGAGTTTGAGCTACCTAAAAAAACCCTTAAAACATGGGAAAGAATGGGGTTGAAATGGTTTCGTCAAAGCCATAAAATGCTTCATAGTAAGTAAAGTACATGGGTTTGAATATGTTATTTCAGAAGACAATCGTCAAGTAGTAACAGTGACATTCTGTTTTACTCAGGACCCTACTCTTTGGAGAATTATAGCACTATCAGAAATCTTTTTGCTACATAGAAAGTAATATTTAAAACTAACACTTAAAACACACAGTTATTAATTGCTGTTTTAACAACCCATGAAGTTACTCCTCCAAATTACAGATGTGAAAATACAGGCAAAAAGTGGGAATTTAATCCAAGAGTATGATAATAAATTGGCATGCCTTAACTTGCTCTTGTTTTGAAATTTCCTTCAAAAGGTTTTGTTAGTAGCACATCAGCCTTTGTTCTATTTTATTTCAAAATAGAATCTTATTGAGAATCTAAAGGAAAAAAAGGAAGGGGAAGGAAGAAGGTTTATAATTTAATATTGTGACTTTTTTGACTGCCACATGTGAACCAGACATCCCTGAAGCCTTTGTTCTACTGCGCAAACATGCTACACATCTCGGGACATGCTGGACTCATCCAGATCCACGTGCTTATAAGTTGTTACTTTCATCTAAGAACCATCACTGAGTGCTGTGAAGGTGTAACAGCCTGACTACTTCTTCTTGCCCACTGCCCAGAAAAGCCAATTCACTGAGAACAGCAGGTTTTGCAGCAAAGAAAGAGTTTGATAATCACAGGGCCAACGAAGCAGAAGGATGGGAGATAATTCTCAAATCTGCCCTCCCAAGAATTCAGAGGCTAGGTTTTTTCAAGGGTAGTTTGGTGGGCAGAGGCGTAGGGAATGGGGATGCTGATTGGTTGGGTCAGGGATGAAATCATTGGAGTTGGAAGCTGTCTTCTTATGCTGAGTCAGTTCCTGGGTGAGGGTCACAAGACCAGATAAACCAGTTTCTTGGTATGGGTTATCAGGCCAGGTGGTGCCAGCTGATCCATCAGAATGTAGGGTCAAAAAAATAGCTCAAACACCAATGTTAGGTTTTACAATAGTAGTATCTATAGGAGCCATTGGGAAGGGAGTTAGTTTCAGGAAAGGACGGTTGTCTTTGTTTAAAGTTAAACTATAAACCAAATTCCTCCCATAGTTAGCTTGGCCTATGCCTAGAAGTGAACAAGGGCAGCATGTGAGGTTAGAAGCAAGATGGATTCAGCTATGTCCGATTACTTTCAATGTCATAATTTTTGCAAAGGTGGTTTCAAACATCTTGCTCAGACTGTACTTTTGGGTCCATGGAGCTGGACATGCAAAAATATAGGGAGAGAGGGAAAACTAATGTAGAATCAAATACATGCAGACTTCATTAGATGGCCATAGTGGGGTGGAGATAAATAATGTGGAGAAAGGAGAAGAAGTACTTGTTTGGAGAGTGGACTTGCCATTTTATACAGTGCTATTGGTGAAGACATTGCTGATGGGGTGACATTTGAGTGGGGACCTGAGTGAAGACACTGCCATTCAGGTGTCTGAGGCAAGGAAGTTTTAGGTGATGCCTTTACTATAGCATTGGGTTGCACTTTTCACTCTGTTGAGGTGCTATGCTTGAGCGATGTCTTCATGGGTATAGACCAGAAGCCTGTGGCAGTGATAAGCATTTTCATAAATAACATTTGATGCTATGTCCAATGAGATAATAACATATTCATCTTGGGTACAATAGCCACCTTTCAAACCACTATATTTCCCAGAGCAACTCTGTCCCAAACATTGCATTTAGAGAGACTTTATTGCTGTACAGCAGAAGAGCAGGACATCCAAGATGGTTAGTAACATTTAAATTCACCTGTCATACAATATTTTATAAACTTAGCTTTTATAGAACCAAACAGTAAACAACACAAAGTTAAACCAAATTTTGGCTTCTCAGGGCAGGTATCATGATAGTTCTTTCCAAGTTTCTTTATCCTTCCTTGACCAATCCATTGCTGTAAATCGATAGTCTATGAGAAGAAATTTAATATCAGTTGCAACCTATGTCTTGAGGAGAATTAACCAAACAACAAATTTGTTTTGTTTTACAGAGTTATCTATAGATACTGTGTTTTGAACTATTTGTTCTCTGCACTTATAAGAAATAGATAAGGTTTAGGTTTTGTCAAATCTTTCCAGCACAAATTCAGGGTTAGCTAACGTAATGTCCATTGTCCTAGCTTCATCTAAGTGTCTTATGAGTCAGTCCCAACTTATTCCTTTCCCAATGCTTGGTCTATAATTGTCTGGGATGCTTGTCTTTAGTCTCCTTTGCATCTAGGTTGAGCTTTACAGCAAAATTCTCATGTTTCCTAAGACAGAAGTCTCTTTGGATGTACATCTTCTCCTAAATCAAAACACTTCACTCTTTTTTTTTTTTTTTTAATTTTGAAAGTAATTTTCCCAGGACAAGAGTTTTACATGACCTCCTTTTCAAAGTATACTTCCAATGAATTCACATTAATAGAAAACAGTACAGAGTAAGTTGATAATTATGAATAGTCAGCAAGTCTCCATTTTGCACAAATGGAAATGGAGAAAACAAGATTGATATTTTCCTAAATGTTTTCAATTTAACGCTGCATCAAATCAGAGTCTTGGAATTCATTTTATAAAGTGAAAGGATATTTCTCTCTCTGTTGGTTCAAGGAAGAGGGAACATTTTCATTTCCTTTGTAGAGACGTTTTTGTTAATTTTCAACACTTGCTTTTTTATAGCCAGTCTCTGAAATGTCATTAGGTAGCATTAAATAGTAAATTCAAGCCTTTAGATCTCAATTTAACTGGCTGAAATGAAGAAAGAGATGGAAGGCTTTTATTTAATAGAGAACATGGCCAGGCATGATGGCTCATGCCTGTAATTCTAGCACTTTTGGAGGCCGAGGTGGGAGGATTGCTTGAGCCCAAAAGTTCAGGACCAGCCTGGGCAACATGGCAAGATTCTATCTTTACAAAAAAATTTAAAAATTAGCCTGGCATGGTGGCACATGCCTATGGTCCCAGATACTTGAGAGGCTGAGGCAGTGGGGATCACTTGAGCCCAGGAGGTAGAGGCTGCAGTGAGCCAGTGAGCTATGATTGCACCCAGGCACTCCAACCTGGGTGACATAGAGATACCCTGTCTCAAAAAAAAAAAAAGAACATATAGCAGGAATCTTCCATATTAATCTTCCACATTAGTAAATCTCCTTTTTTTTTTTTTTTTTTTTTTTTTTACTTTGTCAAATTCTTTTTTTTTTTTTTAATTGATCATTCTTGGGTGTTTCTCGCAGAGGGGGATTTGGCAGGGTCATAGGACAATAGTGGAGGGAAGGTCAGCAGGTAAACAAGTGAACAAAGGTCTCTGGTTTTCCTAGGCAGAGGACCCTGCGGCCTTCCGCAGTGTTTGTGTCCCTGGGTACTTGAGATTAGGGAGTGGTGATGACTCTTAACGAGCATGCTGCCTTCAAGCATCTGTTTAACAAAGCACATCTTGCACCACCCTTAATCCATTCAACCCTGAGTGGACACAGCACATGTTTCAGAGAGCAAGGGGTTGGGGGTAAGGTCATAGATCAACAGGATCCCAAGGCAGAAGAATTTTTCTTAGTACAGAACAAAAAGAAAAGTCTCCCATGTCTACTTCTTTCTACACAGACACAGCAACCATCCGATTTCTCAATCTTTTCCCCACCTTTCCCCCTTTTCTATTCCACAAAACCGCCATTGTCATCATGGCCTGTTCTCAATGAGCTGTTGGGTACACCTCCCAGACGGGGTGGTGGCCGGGCAGAGGGGCTCCTCACTTCCCAGAAGGGGCGGCTGGGCAGAGGCGCCCCCCACCTCCCGGACGGGGCGGCTGGCCGGGCGGGGGCTGACCCCCACCTCCCTCCCGGACGGGGTGGCTGCCGGGCGGAGACGCTCCTCACTTCCCAGATGGGGCGGCTGCCGGGCGGAGGAGCTCCTCACTTCCCAGACGGGGCGGCTGCCGGGCGGAGACGCTCCTCACTTCTCAGACAGGGCGGCGGGGCAGAGGTGCTCCCCACATCTCAGACGATGGGTGGCCGGGCAGAGACACTCCTCACTTCCTAGACGGGATGGCAGCCTGGAAGAGGCGCTCTTCACTTCCCAGACTGGGCAGCCAGGCAGAGGCGCTCCCCACATCTCGGACGATGGGCGGCCAGGCAGAGACGCTCCTCACTTCCCAGACGGGGTGGCGGCCGGGCAGAGGCTGCACTCTCGGCACTTTGGGAGGCCAAGGCAGGTGGCTGGGAGGTGGAGGTTGTGTCGAGCCGAGATCACGCCACTGCACTCCAGCCTGGGCACCATTGAGCACTGAGTGAACGAGACTCCGTCTGCAATCCCGGCACCTCGGGAGGCCGAGGCTGGCAGATCACTCGCGGTTAGGAGCTGGAGACCAGCCCGGCCAACACAGCGAAACCCCGTCTCCACCAAAAAAATACGAAAACCAGTCAGGCGTGGCGGCGCGCGCCTGCAATCGCAGGCACTCGGCAGGCTGAGGCAGGAGAATCAGGCAGGGAGGTTGCAGTGAGCCAAGATGGCAGCAGTACAGTCCAGCTTCGGCTCGGCATCAGAGGGAGACCGTGGAAAGAGAGGGAGAGGGAGACCGTGGGGAGAGGGGAGAGGAACACTTCACTCTTATCTTTTGCTTCCTACTAAATGTCAAGCTTCTTCCCAAACTCTCCACTTTGCAGCTCATACTCTGTTAAACTGGAAAATAGTTATCACTTCATAAAATTGTGTGCAGCCAGCATAGATAATAAATGTAGGCAATTAATAAAGAAGCTATGGTTTTGTGAGCTTAATGTGGACCTGGTTTCTAGTTCTAATAAACATAGATATGGACATTTCAACATTAGGTTTCAAATCTTATTACTAAACAAGATAGATATGCATCAGATGATTCAGTCCTCTAAAGGCCAAGCAAAGAAATGATTATAATTCCAGAGCAGCAGTAGCAGTAAACACTTTCTTGTGGCTTTATTCCAGTGTCAGCACTTCATTTTAATGATAACTGGATCTCAGCTGTTCATTGTGAAATCCTTGAATGTACTTAACAACCTGCTTAGAGTATATTGAGTTTATAGGGATGACCAGATGAAGCTTGACAATTTATTGTAGGGAAATTGTGCAGATTATGTGGGAGATATTTATTGTAATGTGGGGCTGAGTAGCAGCATACAAAATGTAAAGATTTGAATAGGGCTGCATTGAAGCAGGTGGGGTCTTACCTGCCACCTATCTTCATCATTGTCAGGTGTCTCCTCTAATTAGCATATTTCTCTTAATTCTTGATTAGCAACTGCCAGAGCTCTCCCAAGAGTATAACACTAATATGCTAATTTGTATAGCACTTTGCAGTTTGCAGAGCATTTTTTCACACATATTATCTTTTTAATGGTGTTAACAATCCAATGAAGTAGGGATTTTTATGGTTATTTTATAAGGGAGAAAAAGAGGCTTAATGTCATTGACCTCATATAGCTAGTTGAGTAAGGATGGCCTTCTTCCTCCCAATACAATGCATATTTCTTTGGGTTTTGCCTTGTTTGGCTGTCCAGCATGCACTTCTCTCTCCTTATTAATAGAAGAAGAGCAGGTCATCGCCATTATGTGTGTTCCTGTGGGTCAATAGGGCCCTGCCTCCCACTGGAGAGGCTGCCAAAGGCCATATCCCCCTCTCTCAAGACCTGGCAGCAAGGGTGTGACTTATGACCTGGGATGAATATATTTGTTTTCTGGGTCTTTGTATCTTGAGGGAAAAGAAATGCAAAGATAAAGGAGTGACCAGCATATACTTAGACTTTGCTAGGTTTGTCTGGCAATGATGACATTTGCAAGACCCAACTGTATACATGGAAGTCCACATGCCATAAAACTAAATATTTAAAAGTTGTAGGTTAATCTTAAAAACTGCTTAATCATATACATAATATGTATATCTATTCTACTCCCTGGAAAAATGTGCCTTCATAAAAACCCAGGTGGCCATGTTTGAGTTTAGAATTCTTAGCTCCCTGGGGCTTGCATGCTGGATTCTGGAAGCTTGGGAATACTGGCCTCCAGTGTTTGGTCTTAGTATGCGAGCCCTTTTCCCCTAGATTCTTGCTCTTGGCTGTGTTTTGCTCTGTAAGAAATTTGTGCCTACACAAGTGGACAGCCTGACCTATAGATCTAAGCTTCATCCATAACCCCCAACAGAAAGCTGCATGTTGGCTACTCCTAGGTCCACCTGTATGCAGTTTCTGTTCGAGTGGGTGGAGCCTGTGAAGAGGACTGCATAGGCTTTGAGTGAGTTAAGGACTACTTGTGCAAACAATCCTGGGGTCATACGTGTCCCAACATGGTCTCAAGGCAGGGCTTGGGATCTGGGTAACATGCATCCTCAACTTCATAGACTCTTGCCTTAGGGACAAGGCCACAGGGCCAGAGTTTCTTTAAAACCCAGAGCTGGGGCAATGGCCCTTCTTGCCTGGGCCTAAGAGTGGTCCTGGGTATTGGCATTCCATCTAGGAATTTGTTGCAACTTGGCTTCTAGAACTTCTTTTGTTCTTACTGGTTGTTTAAGCAGGTTCCCCTACATCACCTTTGTTTTCTGAGCCCTCTACATACTTCCAGTTGATTCATTTATCTTAACATAGCCAACTTCATTTTTTTTTTCTTGTTGCTTGTACCTGGGAACCTTGCTTGATACACGCAGTCTGTCATTTTCCACCCCCCACAGGATGAGAATGGTAGAGGATTAGCAATAACTGGACAGTGATTGATGAAAACAGCTAATGATAGTCTGAGCAATGTTAAGTCTCATCCATCTGTGATTAATATTCCACTGTCACCATGGAAAAACAGGCAGGTAGAACTACTCCTCAGCCTCTCTCTCTATTCCATCAGGCTCACCATTTCTTATTGTCTTCCTTCCAGGGTAATGTAAGTTAACCCTTCTGGTGAAATATTCAGGGAGCAACATAGTACTTTGTGCTGCTTGCTGTTAACATTAAAATGCGATTTGGTTATTTTTTAAAATTAAAAATATCTTACATGTTACCAAATCAATAGATGCTCATTATAGGAAAGACTTGTAAGTATAGATGAATAAAAGGAGACACACCATAATCATATGCTCACACTGCCCAGAGACAACCATTACTATTAATAGATAACTTTCCATGCATATCTTTAAGAAAAATGATCACACGGTACATGCTCATTTAAAACTGTTTTAGTCATTAAACTCCATATTATAAGCATTTTCATTTCAATAGGTACGTTCACAGCTTTTTTAAAAGGGGAGAATATTGAATCTTTAAATAATGTGAAATTATCTAAACTAATACTTAATGTTGGGCATTTTGATTATCTTAAATTTTTATTATCAGAAACATTATTAGTGAACATTCTTGAAGTGAAATAATTATACATGTGGTTAATTATTTCCAAAGGATATATTTCTATAGGTGGAATATTCATTTCAAAGACTTTTCATACCTAGAGTAATTTAGTACTATTTAAAAGCCTATGCAAAGTAATTACAAATTGAACAGTATTCATCTAGCATATATTTTGATTAAGAATTAGTAAAGTGTGATTAAAATCCAGTACTATTCATCGTTCAATTTATTACATATACTACACTTTGGCAAGATTTTAAAATAAATTTGGAGGGAAATGAAGATTTTTTTCATTTAAGTATGACACACTTCACTGTTTCTCTTTTTTTAACAACTTTGTTAAGATATAATCTTCACACCACAAAATTTACCCACTTATAAAATACAATTTAATTATTTTTAGCATATTTACAGAGTTGTACAGCCATCATCACAGTCAATTTTAAAACACTCTTTATGATCTCTAAAATAAATTCTGCACTCAGTCAGGGCTCCTAAATCTCCCCATTTCACCAGCCTTGGGTAATCACCTATCTAGCTTCTGTCTTTATAAATTGCCTATTCTGTACATTTGTTATAAGTGGAATCATACAGCCATCCTTGGTGACTATCTTCTTTCACTTAACATGATTTCAAGATTCATTCACGTTGTAACAAGTATCTGTACTGAATTCCTTTTTATTGCTGAATAGTATTCCATTTAATAGTATGAATGAGGGCATTTGTTTGTCCCTTCATCAGACGGACACTTGGGTTGATTCCACTTTGGGGCTATATGAATAATGCTGCTGTATACATTTGTGTACAGACTTTTATGTGGACACATGGTTTCATTTTTCTTGGGTATTCACCTAGGAGTGAAATTGCTTGATCATGTGGTAACTCTGTTTAACTGTGTGGGGAACTGCCAGACTGTTTTCCAAAGAAGTTGCACATTTTATATACACACCAGCAGAACATGAGGGGTCCGATCTCACCACATCCTCACCAGTACTTGTGATTGTCTGTCTTTTCTACTGTAGCCATTCACTTCACGCTCGGTGTGAAGTGGTATCTAATTTTGGTTTGTATTTGCATTTCCCTGATGGCTAATCAAGCTTCTCTCTCTCTCTCTCTCTCTCTTTCTCTTTTAATATTAGCCCTTTTAAAAAGTCTAGAAATATTACAAGTAAGATATTAACTCCATTTCACAATACTTTATGTTGATAAGTGAATCGGCTTTCTTTTAAAATTATTTTCTAATGAAATAATTCAACTCAGTCCATGGACCTACAGTTATTGTAGTTTAAAAAATTTTATGTTTCTAATAGATGATGATATAACAAAACATTATTCTACTTCTTATAAATGTAGACATTCATTATTATCTGTATGTGGTTTTCAAAAAATTATTTATGATTTTATCAAGAGTGAGACTAAGCTTCAGTCATTTTCTATTAATAAAGAGGCACTAGATATCTCTCATCAGATTGCTATATTCTCTGATAGAAAACTTGAAATATACCTTTAAAAACATATTTTAACAGATCTATAACTGAGATTCATTATAAATTTCCTATTTAGTGTGCTTAAAACTTTTATCAAAAAGATAACTTTTTACTGTTAATATTTGACTCAGTTCAAAGGAGGACATACAATGTGAACCAATGGTGATATAATGTTAAATAAACACAATGCAGTGAATGATTTAATTGAACATTGAAAGTTAAGTCTTGCTTTAGATAGAATAACTATGTGACAATACTTTGAAAAGTATAGGTAAATAAATATGTAGCTTTATTTTATGATATAAAAATGGGCCAGGCACAGGGGCTTACGCCTGTAATCCCAGCACTTTGGGAGGCTGAGGTAGGTGGATCAGTTCATGTCGGGAGTTCAAGACCAGCCTGGCCAATATGATGAAACCCTGTCTCTACTAAAAATACAAAAATTAGCCGGCTATGACAGTGAGCGCCTGTAGTCCCAGCTACTCGGGAGGGTGAGGCAGGAGACTCGCTTGAACCCAAGAGGTGGAGGTTGCAGTGAGCTGAGGTCGTGCCACTGCACTCCAGCCTGGGCGACAGAGTGAGGCTCCATCTCAAAAAAAAAAAAAAAAAAGAAAATGGCATTCAGCACTGAGGTAACAAACTTCAGTACAACTTGATACTTTGAAGAAAAACGGAAGGATAGAGCAGTAAACTTGCTTTCAGTAAAAAAATCCACATGCATATATTGTATGTCTCAGGTGTATTTGCAGAAAATTTTGTTCTCGAATGGATAAAAGCATGCAAACTTCTTTGAATTCAACAAAAAATATTCAGAGAGCAATATTTGAGAGGTAAGCTGGAACAGGTATTTCATCAGCAAACTTAGAGTTGGTTCCCAGAGTTGCTGGAAGAATCAAGCTTTATATTGTTATGTATTCTTTCTCTTTTTTCTTTTTTTTTGAGATGGAGCCTCGCTCTGTCGCCCAGGCTGGAGTGCAGTGGCGCGATCTCAGCTCACTGCAAGCTCCACCTCCTGGGTTCAAGCCATTCTCCTGCCTCAGCCTCCCAAGTAGCTGGGACTACAGGCGCCCACCACCACGCCCAGCTAATTCTTTGTATTTTTAGTAGAGACAGGGTTTCACTGTGTTAGCCAGGATGGTCTTGATCTCCTGACCTTGTGATCCTCCCACCTCGGCCTCCCAACGTGCTGGGATTACAGGCTTGAGCCGCCGTGCCCGGCCTATATTGATATGTATTCTGAGAGAGGATTTCAGCTCTCTATTGCATCAAGGACAAGACTGCTGAGATTCAGATCTAATCTCTTGACTTCTGGAGAATAGGCCAAACAGATGACATGGCCAGATGGAAAGAGTCATAATAAAGCCAAGAAAAGAAAGACTGTGAAGAATTGCTAAGGTACCTACAGGATTGTTTCTTCTAGCTTTGACCTTTGCTGCCTTAGCATGGCCACTATCTAGCTGTGTGACCTTGAGCCGATTGCTTCATTTTTCTGGCCCTCATTTTCCTCATAAGTAACATGAAGAACAGCTATACATTAGGGTTATTGTGTGGATTAAATGAGATGATGTGTGTACAAGCAATTATCCAAGAGAAACCTTCTTATTGTCTCTGACATACGATAGGCATTCAAAAATAATAATAACATGACGGCTTACTCTGTGTCAAGCACATTTTAAGTGCCTTACTGACTCATATAATTTTCACATCAACCTTAAAAGGAAGGTATATTTAACAAACAAGGCCCAGAAATTAAAATACAGAAAAGTTCAGAAACTTACATAAGATCCTACAGCTGCTACCTAAATGCGTCCAGATGAATATGACTTTCCAATCATAACATAAAATCCAGTGTATCTTAATATATAATTATTTTTGTACCCAAATTAAATTACTTTCTTAAAAATTTGTTTATGAATAATATGAAATCTATGAAAGAAATTAAGAAAAAGTGGCTTATTTCATGGGTTTTGTGGTCATCCCTGATAAGATGATTTAATGAAATGACATAATTTGCTTTCCAGCAGACTATTTCATAGGTCACATAACATGATTAATGTAGTGTTTGAGTCAACTAAGTTATCTTGGACCAAGTCTTAGTGATTCTAAAGACAGGTGACTTCATGACTTGAACAAGAACATTGTCTCAAAGCCAAAAGAGAAGAGTCAACACCCTGCTACGCTGTAATTAAAACAGTCATTCTATCACACAGTCGTTCACCCTCTCTTCAAGTGTGTTAAGCACCATGGCACTGTAAGTCAAGCCCCAAACTCGAGGTGCTCAGAGTACACTGCACATCTCTGGGCTGATATCTACCAGTGCCAGGAGGAGAAAGGGGAGGAACAGGCCCTTCAATCCTGCGGGAGAATCTGGGCAGCTCAGCTATGTCTACTATAGCTCATTCCCTGCTGTACTTGTTCTGCTTCTTTACTTAAATGTTGGGGTAGCCTCTCCAGGGATTCCAGTGAGCATCCTGAAGGAAAATTACAGGCCTGACCACTGCATTTTGTCTCAAGACCCACAATTAGTACACAGTCTCCCTCTTCTACTGTCCATCCTAGATTCTACTCACCCTCAGACATCACCTCTGCTCTTCTGGATGGGTCATCTACTGGCATGAAACCCTGGGCACTATACCTGCCTCAGGCTGGGGCCGCTACACTTGTCCATTTACCGAAACAATTGGTCAAGGACTTTCCAAAGGTAGATTGCCAGCATATTCCTCCCTGTAGCAGCAGCTCCTCCTCCTGAGGTGGGGCATAAAGGAGGGCCAGAATCCATTACCTCTGTTAGGATGGTGACTGCTTTTCTTGTCCTTTTGTCCTTTGCCATGAGAAATTTAATGTGTCCAGGAAGCTACCACAGCTTAGATTCAAGGGAAATGATGATGTGTTCATGGCAGAAATGTTCTTCCTTTGGGAACCAAGATCTTTAAACCCACAGACCCCAGAGTTGCAGGAACAAGAAGCACAAATTCTCCAGTGGGTCACTGGGAATGTTGGTAACAGAGGCCACTCTTGCTTCTAGACTTTGGTTTCTCATCTATGTATTCTGTTTATCGGGAACCCAGAGCCCGCGAATGCTCATTGATTCAGGATAGATGCTATGTCCTGGAGAGTGCTGTCTCATTCTCACAGGGAAGCATGTCTGGGCCTACACCTCCGTTGTGTTTCAACAGGCTGTTTCAGCACTCTATCAGGTTGATGCAATAGAGTGGTGTGGCTTGTGATATGACCAGCAGATCCTGTCATTATGGACCCACTGATGGACCTGCTTGGTTTTAAGGTTTGTCCCTCTGCCTGACATAATTATAAGTGAAATTGCTGTTGTTGGATCTGACACTCTGCAAGCATTCAGATAACAGTGTTGCCTGAAACCATGGGGACAGAAAAAGCAAATTCATGTTCAGAATTTGTTACTGTCAAAAATGAACCACTGACCCTGGCAAGATGAAAGAAGTAGACTGTGGTGAACTTGCCGCTTAGTGATGGGATGATCTCCTGAAGAAATGATGCAATATTGGGGATGAAGATGTCATCTTTGTTACTGGCAAGTTTGCTGTTCGGCAGCACCTGGAGCTAGACCAGCTTTGATGAATGGGAGCCCATGCTGTTGGGCCCGAGCATAACCTAACATCTCTGACACTAAAGCTACTCTTTTCATGTGTTCATTTCAGCAGCACTGGAATGGCCAATGACAGAAACTGGCTGGCATCAAGTGGCTGAGTCAGTCCATCTACTTGGCTGTCTAGTGCCTCTTCCAAAATAGATGATTTCTGGTAGGTGTTAACCTGCAACTGAAAGATCTTCCCACATTGTGTCTTCTCCCATAGTGTCATCTACACAACACTACTCCAGATATCCTTGTCTATGATCTCCTAATTTCTCTCCCACTAGGCCTCTGATGATCTGTCTGTGCCCTTCAGCACCTACCCGTCTGTGTATATTCCAAACTGAGGCTGAGGCTGCATCTCTTTCAACATGAATTTGATGACCAAGTGTAGTGCGTGAAGCCCTGCACACTGAGAGAATTCCCCCTCATAGCTGTCTTTGAAAGCTGCACCTGAGTGAGTGAGGGGCCAAGCTTCCTCAACAGGCATTGGAAACAGATTTCCCTTAGGAAAGGATTGTGACATCAAGAGAGGCAGCTCTCTCCACCAACAGGCAATTCCAAGAGAGAGGTGATCATTGAGGACTGTCAGCCATAGCACTCTACGCAGCTGAGGGACTACATCCTTGAAGACTGAAGGGGGACCTGGGCAGAGGACAGCAGCTGCTACAGTCTATTTTATCTGTGGATAATCTAGGGATATGAATTGCTATTGCATTATTATCTTGGAAGCTCAAGTTGAGGATGAATATGGAAAAGTACCATAAAGGGAAATTGGAAGATGGAAGAATATTTAGTACCCTGTGAATTATTTGCATCCCTACTCATTTCCTCATAATTCCTCCTTGATTGTGCATTCCTCCTTGAGTTTCTTACATTTAAATATATTTTTGGCTCTTTCTAAATATTTCCAATGGAGGTGACTGCCTAGCATAAAATTATGGGGAGAAGCATAAAGAAGAGTAGTTAAAAGTAGGTATGAGACAAGGTGGGCAAGTCTAGCACATAAGCAGTGAACAGTGGCATTTGTGGCATATTTAGAGGCTGGAGATTAGATGTTAGATAGCAACTGAATCATTATGCTACTGTAAATACAGTCACAGGTCTGTGGAGTGTCTGTGTTCAAAACCCAGGATGGTACTAAAGCTTCATATAGATCCATGAAACCTCTTTGGTTCCTAAGTTGACATTTAGGAAGTTCTGCCTGCAGTGAGTTACATAGTTCTGTAACAGCCTGGATGAGTTATTGCAGCTGCAGAAAAAACTTCTGTTAATGATCTGTGAGTAATTTATGCAGCAAATGAATCTGGCTGACTTTTATCAGAGCCCCAATCAAAATAGAAATCACAGCTCTTGTTTTAAAAACCAAATGCTCTAGGATTTAAGAAATTGACATTATTTTATGTACATCTATATTAATTTTCTGAGTTTTAGTGCTCATTTTAAAGAAGATGATTATTACTGTAACACCTTTTAACAAAATTTTTTGGCAAACAAAGTCGTTGAAGCTGAACATCATTTAAGTGGAGCTATTAGATTTCTTTTTTCCAGCTTTATTGAGGTATAATTGACAAAATTGTGTATATTTGAAATATACAATATAATGCTTTGATATACTTATGTATTGTGAAATTCTTACCACAATAAAACTATCATATCCATCACCTCACCTCATACCTACTTTTTCTGTGTGTGGTGTGAGATGGTGGTCAAAAGATGCAAGCTTTAAGGTAAATAAGTTTTGCATACCAGTGTATGGCATGATGACTATAAATTAATAATAAGGTGTTGTATACTTGAAATTTGCTAAAAGAATAGATAGATCTGAGATGTTTTTACCACATACAGAAAAATAGGAATGAAGTGAGGTGATAAGTTTATTTAATTATTCATTTTTATATTTCACATGTGAGATCATGCAATATTTATTTGTCTTTCTATGCCTGGCTTATTTAAATTAGCAGGATGTCCTGGTTCATCCATTGTGTTGTAAAGATTTCCCTCTTTTGTAAGACTAAATAATATTTCATTATATATATATATATATATATATATATATATATGCTACATTTTCTTTATTCATTCATTTGTGGATGGACAGTTAGATTGTTTCTGTATCTTAGCGACCATGAATAATGCTGCTATGACTATGAGAGTGCATAGATCTGTTTGAGATAGTCGTTTTATTTCCTTTGGGTATATACCCAGAAGTGGGGTTGCTGAATCATATGGTAATTGCATTTTTAATTTTTTGAAAAACTTCCATACTGTTTTCAATTTAAATTCCCACCAACAGTGTACAAGGGGTCCCTTTTCTCCATACCCTCAACAACACTTGTGATCTTTTGACTTTTGATAATAACTGTCTTATTGAATGCTATGAGATATCTCATTGTTGTTTTAATTTGCATTTTCCTGAGGATTAGTAACACCGAGCACATTTTTATATTCCTGTTGGCCATCTGCATGGCTTTCTTTGGAAAAATGTCTATTGAGCTCCTTTGCCTATATTTTTATTGGGCTATTTGCTTTATTTGCTATTGGGTTATATATGTTCTTTATAGAGTAGTCTCTACTTTTCTGGGGGTATATCTTCCAGTACCTATAGTGGATACATGAAACAGCAGATAGTACCAAACTCTGTATACACTATGCTTTTTTCTCTATACATACATACTTACCATACAATTTGATTTATAAATTAGGGACAGTAAGAGATGAACAATAGCTAACAGTAAAGTAGAACAGTTATAACAATATACTGTAATTAAAATTATGGGAATATGGAATATGGTCTCTAAATTTTTTTTTTTTTTTTTTTTTTTTTTTTAGACAGAGTCTCACTCTGTCACTCAGGCTGGAGGGCAGTGGCATGATCTGGGCTCAATGAAACCTCTGCCTTCTGGGTTCAAGCGATCCTCCCACCTTTGCCTCCTAGGTCGCTAGCATTACAGGCATGTTCCTCCATGCCTGGCTAATTTTTGTATTTTCTGTAGAGACAGGGTTCTGCCATGTTGGCCAGGCTGGTCTAGTACTCCTGGGCTCAAGTGATCCACCAATCTCAGCCTCCCAAAGTACTGGGATTACAAGTGTGAGCTACCATGCCTGGCCCATATTTTATTGCGCTGCATTCACCCTTTTTATGATGATGTGAGATGATAAAATGCTTACCTAATGAGATGAAGTGAGGTAAATAATGCAGGCATTGTGATGTAGCATTAGGCTACTATTGATCTTCTGATCATATGTCAGAAGGAGGATCATCTGCTGTGGGTGTTCCTGATCTTTGAGCCATGATAATGTTACTGGTTGGATGTCAGGAGCAGGCCATGTGGATGATTAAAAGATGAATATCATATACAGCATGGATATGTTGGACAAAAAGATGATTCACATCCCAGACAGAATGGAGCAGGTCAGAGTGAGATTTCATCATGCTAATTTAAAACTTATAAACTGTTTATTTTGAGAATTTCCCATTTAATATTTTCAGACTGCAGTTAACCATGGGTAACTGAAACCATGGAAAGTGAAACTATGGATGGGGGTTGAGGGGCTATCGCATATGTTGAATATGAACCCCTTATTAGATAATTGGTTTGTAACTATTTTCCCCCATTCTGTAGGTCACCTTTTCATTTTCTGGATTGTTTTCTTTGCTGTGTAAACATGTTTCAGTGTTTTGTAGTACCACTTATTATATTTGCTTTTGTTGCCTGAAACTTTTGGGTTGTAACCAAAAAATACATATATAGCCAGAACCAATATCAAGGAGTTTTTCCCTTGTATTTTCTGTTAGAAGTTGAAGGGTTTGGGTCTTAAGTTTAATTATTTACTCCATTTTGAGTTGATTTTTCTATATGGTGTAGGATAAGTGTCTAATTTCATTCTTTTGCATGTGGATGTCCAGTTTTCCTAACATAATTTATTGAAAACACTGTATTTTCTTCATTGTTTTTTCTGGACACCTTTGTGGAAAATTAGTTGACCACATATGTGTGGGTTTATTTCTAAGCTCTCTATTCTGCTCCATTGATCTATATGTCTAATTTTTATCCCAATACCATACTGTTTTGATTACTATATCTTTGTAACATAATTGGAAATCAGAAAGTGTAATACCTCCAGGTTTGTTCTTCTTGCTCAAGATTGCTTTAGCTATTAGGGGTCTTTTGTGGTTCCATAAAAATTTTAGAATCGTTTTTCTATTTCTGTGAAAAATGTCATTGAAATTCTGGTATGGAACGCAATGAGTCTATAGATTGCTTTGGATAGTGTAGATATTTTAACAACATCAATTTTTCCAAATCATGAACACGGAATATCTTTTTATTTATTTGCATCTTCTTCAATTTCCTTTATCAAAGTTTTATAGTTTTCAGTGTACAGATCTTTCACCTTCTTGTTTAAATTTATTTCCAAATATATTATTTTTGATGCTATTTTAAATGGAATTTAAAAAATTATTTTTCAAGCAGTTTCAGTTAGTGTATAGAAATATTACTACCTCTTGTATGTTGCTTTTGTATCCTGAAACCTTAATGAAATTGTTTCTTAGTCCTAACAGTGTTTTTGGTGGAGTCTTCAGGATTATCTATATATAGATCATATCATTTGCAACAGGAGACTATTTTACATCTTCCTTTCTAATTTAGATGCCTTTTTTTTTTTCTGTTTTCTTGCCTAATTGCCCTAACTAAGCCTTCTAGTACTATGTTAAGTTGAAGTGGTGAGAGTGGGCAACCTTGTTCTTGATCATTGAGGAAAAACTTCCACCTTTTCACTCCTGAGTATACGGTTATTTTGGAGCTTGTTACATATAAACTGTGTTATGTTGAGATACATTTCTTCTATATCCAATTTGTTGAGAGCTTTTATCATGAAACAATGTTGAATTGTGTTAAATACTTTTTCTGCATCTATAAGATAATCATATGATTTCTACTTTTCATATGGTTAATGTGTATCACACTTATTGATTTTGGTATGTTGAACCATCCTTGCATCTCAGAGATAAATACCACTTGATAAAGGTATGTGATCCTTTTAATGCTGTTAAATTCAGGTTGCTAATATTTTGTTAAGGATTTTTGCCTCTGTGTTCCTCAGGGATATTGGCCTGTAATTTTATATTTTCGTGTCTTTATCTGGCTTTGGTATTAAGGTAATATTAGCCTTAATACCTTAATATTAGCCTTAGTTTAAAATTTTCTTTATCTTTCAATTTTTTGGATGAATTTGAAAGTGACTTACATTAATTCTCCTTAAATGTTCAGTAGAATTCACTGTTGAATTCAACAGTGAGGTCTACCAAATAGTAAATTTTATCAGGTCCTGGGTTTTTCTTTGGTGAGCGATTTTTTATTATTGGTTAAATTTCCTTAGTTATTATTAGTCTGTCCAAGTTTTCTATTTCTTCATGATTCAGTTTTGGTAGGTTTTGTGTTTCTAGAAATTTACCCAAATTCATCTAGCTTATCAAATTTGTTGGTATATAATTGTTCATAATAGTCTCTTTCAGTAATTTGTGTCTTTGTGATATCATTTAAAGGCCTCCTCTTTAATGTGTACTTTTATTTATTTGGGTCTTCTCTCTTTCTTTCTCAGTTAATTTAAATGAAAGTTTGTTAATTTTTTAAATTTTTCAAAAAACATGTATTAGTTTTCTTAATCCTTTACACTTTTTTTTCTTTTTTTGAGCAGAGTTTCTCTCTTGTTGCCCAAGCTGGAGTGCAATGGTGCAAACTCGGCTCAACACAACCTCTGCCTTCCAGGTTCAAGTGATTCTCCTACCTCAACCTCCCAAGTAGCTGGGATTACAGGCATGCACCACACGCCTGGCTAATTTTGTATTTTTAGTAGAAATTGGGTTTCTCCATGTTAGTCAGGTTAGTCACGAACTCCTGACCTCCACCCACCTCAGCCTCCCAAAGTGCTGGGATTACAGGCATGAGTCAGTGTGCCTAGCCATGATCCTTTACATTGTTTTTTAAGTATCTATTTATTTCTGCTCTGATCTTTATTATTTCTTTTCTTCTGCTGATTTTAAGTATAGATTGTTCTTTCTAATTTCTTAAGGTGTAAAGTTGGGTTATTTATTTGAGATGTTTCTTTTTTCTTAATATAGGTGTTTATTACTGTAAACTTCCTGTACTGCTTATGCTGCATCCCATAAGTTTTGGTATGTTTTACTTTTATTTGTTTTACAATCTTTTTATTTCCCTTTTGATGTCTTCTTTGACTCATTTGTTGTTTAGGAGTGTGTTGTTTAATTTTCACATATTTGTAAATTTTTAGTTTTTCTCTTATTGTTGATTTCTAGTTTCATATCATGTGGTTGGAAAAATACTTGATATGATTTCAATTTTTTTACCTGTGCTATGGCCTATTTTTTTTTTTTTTTTTTTTTGCCTCAACTATGATCTGTCCTGGAGGATGTTTAATGTGCACTTGAAAAAAATGTGTATTTAGTTACTGTTGGATGGAGTGTTCTGCATATGTCTGTTAGGACAGTTGGTCTGAGTGTAGTTCAAATCCAATGTGTTTATTAATTTTGTTTCTGGAAAGTATGTTCATTGTTGAAAGTGAAGGTGTTGAATTTACCTACTATTTGTTGTAGTGTTGTGTATTTCTCCATTTAGTTCTGGTAATATTTATGTTATATATGTAGGTGCCTCAATGTTGTGTGCGTATGTATTTACAATTGTTATATACTCTGGATTTGTTGATTCTTTTGTCTGTCTATAATGACCTTCTTTGTCTCTTGTGGCAGTTTTGGACTTATAGTCTGTATTGTCTGATGTAAGTATAGCAACCTCTCCATTGTTTTGGTTTCCATTTCCATTTCCATCCCTTCACTTTTGACCTATAAATGTCATTAAAGCTGAGGTGAGTCTCTTGTAGGCAGCATATAGTTTGGTTTGTGTGGGTGTGTGCATATGTGCACATTTGTTTATTTTTATCCACTCTATGTCTTCTGATTGAATAATTTAATCCATTTATATTTAAAGTAAGTATTGATAGGCATGGACTTACTATTGCCTTTTTTCAATTGTGTCTGTCTCTTTTGTAGTTCTTTTGCTTCTTTCTTCCTCTCTTGTACACTTCCTTTGTTATTGATTTTCTGTAGTGATATCTGATGATTCCTTACTCTTTATCTTATCTGTATCTACTATAGGTTTTTCCTGTGCAATTACCAGGAGGCTAACACAAAACACATTAGATTTATAACAGTCTATTTTATACTAATAACAAGTTAACCTTAATCACATACAAAAACTCTGCCCTTTCTTTCCTCCACTCCCCCTAAATATATTTTATGTTTCTTGATCTCACAGTTTACATATTTTTATTATGTATGTTTATTGAAAAATTAACTATAGTTTTAAAAAATACTTTTGTCTTTTAACCATTATACCACAGTTAAGAGTGATTTACCTATCACTATTATAGTATTTGAATATTTTCAATTTGACTATGTATTTATTTTTACTAATGATTTTTATATTTTCTTATATTTTCATCTTACTAAAGTCTTTTCATTTCAGCATGGAGAACTTTCTTGTAAGGCAGGTCTTGTGGTAACAGACTCCCTCATTTGTTTTTTGTTTGTTTGTTTGTTTTTTGGTCTGGGAAAGTCTTTATCTCTTCTTCATTTCTTAAGGACAGATTGGCTCAGTAAAGTATTCTTGTTTGGTAGTTTTTCTCTTCTTATTTTAGCACTTAGGATTTATCAGCCTATTCTTCTGGCCTGAAAAGTTTCTGCTAAGAAATCATCTGTAGTCTAATGAAATTTCCCCTTTATGTGAAGAGTCTCTTTTCTCTTGATGCTTTCAAAATCTCTCTTTCTTTGATACTTAAAAATTTTATTATAATGTGCCTCAGTGGAGACCTCTTTGAGTTAAATTTGTTTGGGAAATTTTGCGCTTAATGTATCCTGATGTATATATATTTCCTCAGATTTCAGGAATTTTCAGCCACTATTTCTTTAAATATTATTTCTTTTTCTCTCTCTTCTCCTTACATTATCATAATGTGTAAATTGGGCTGCTTGATGGTATCTCATAAATCCTATAGGCTTTCTGCACTCATTTTCACTCTTTTTTTCTTTTTCTTCCTTTAACTGGGTAATTTCAAATTACCTGTCTTTGAGCTCGCAAATTTTTTTTCTGCTTGATCAAGTCTGCTTTGTCACTGTTGTATTTTTTTCATTTCATTCATTGTATTCATCAGCTTCAGAATTTGTTTTATTGTTTTTGAAAATTATTTATATCTCTTTATTTACCCCATTTTTTTCATGTATTGTTTTCTTGATATCATTGAGTCTGCTTGTAGCTTGAGCTTTCTTAAGGCATTTATTTTGAAATCTTTCTGTGACAATTTGTAGATCTCCATTATGGAAGACTGGCTACTGGAAATTATGGTTTTCCTTTGGTAGTGTCATGTTTTCTTGATGTTTTCTGCTTTTCTTGTCTTGCATTGATGTCTGCATATTTGCTGGGGCAGTCACCTATTCCAGAATTTACAGGCTACTTTCTGTGAGGAAAGTCCTTCACCTACAGGTGGTATGAGGGTACTGATGGGTGGGATGCAGCAATTCCAGCTCCAGTGAAGATACAAAAGCATAGTCTCTGTGTATTTCCATCCGTTGAAGATTGCAAGGGTCCTCAGTGGCCAAGGCTGCAGATGTCCACAGTGGTGGTGAGGGCTGTTGGGTTAAGAGTTGGTGAAGGTGGTAGGAGCCCTCCTGATTTCTTGTTCTCCCGTGTGGGAAGTCATGGCCAAGGGGATCCCTCTTGGTGTTGGGTTTGGTTCATGGTTATGTTCATGGTGGCAGTGGCACTGGTGCTTAACATGCAGGCACCCCGGCTCCAGTGTTGGTCTCAATGTGCAATGAACAGATGCTTATGGAACAGCTGGAAAGCCAGGGTCTGAAACAAAGGCATGTGGATACCTATAGTTTCTGTATGGTCCAGGGCATGGGTGCTTCTAAAGCAGTAGTGGCTCTTGTGTTGTAGGCACTGGCACATGTAGAGCTGTTATGGAACCGGGGTCCAGAATGTGGGTTTGTGTGGAGCAACCATTGCTCTAAGGTCTGTGATGCAGATGTGACTTCTATAGCAGTGACTGTAGGGTCCAACGCCTGTGAGGTCACAGAATGGCTGCAGAGCTAGGATCCGAAGCATGGGCTTGTGAAGTTATTATTATTATTATTATTATTTCTGACAACACAATTGACTCAAAAGATACCACTATCCTTTCAGGAATCCCTAATTTCATAGGCAATTTATATGAACAAAACTAATGAGCCTTCAAAATTCCTTAGTCTAAACTATTCAATAGTGTTTTTACCCTAAAGCAATAATTTTGGTAAAGTACATAACACTAATGTATTCATAATAAAAAAAAGTGTCAGGAAAGGTTTAAAATGTAAAGGCAGTAAGTCTAAAATAACACAATTAAGAATAAGAGGATATTTTCCTCACACTATAAGATGTGTAAGAATTCTTACAATGTTCCTTTTAATATTTAGTAACACTATCTAATAGTACTTTTTGGCCGGGTGCAGTGGCTCACGCCTGTAATCCCAACACTTTGGGAGGCCGAGGCGGGCGGATCACGAGTTCAGGAGATCGAGATCACAGTGAAACACCGTCTCTACTAAAAATACAAAAAATTAGCTGGGGGCAGTGGCGGGTGCCTGTAGTCCCAGCTACTCGGGAGGCTGAGGCAGGAGAATGGCATGAATCCGGGAGGCAGAGCTTGCAGTGAGCCGAGATCGCGCCACTGCACTCCAGCCTGGGCTATAGAGGGAGACTCCGTCTCAAAAAAAAAAAAAAAAAAAAAAAAAAAAAAGTAGAACTTTTTTCTTTTAAAGTAAGAAAAGTATTTTGATAGTATTTTTAAGTACCATGTTTTTCTTTGTATGTTACTAAAAACCACTGTCATGCAAATTCTAGTAATGAAAACAATTTAAGCTCCAAGTTTTTCCTACCAGAAGAGCCTCAGGCACAGATGGCCTTTTTTTTAATCTAGTTAACACCATATCCCAGGTCATCATCTGATTAAGCAAGAGTGCATTTCCATGAACAAGACACTATTCTTTGGGAAATATCCACAACTTATATTGAAATTGCTGTGCCACAGCATATAACCGCTCCCTTCAGTTTTTTTGAAAGTATCTTTTCTTGATAATAGGCAATTGTGTGGGCCTCCTGAGAAAAACACTGGGTTAGTGGGAAGTGATGGATGAAGAAGATTTCAGTAAAAATTTGAGCAAATACTTCTCTTTAGTTTCCACATACTTTAATATTTAGGAACATTTTGTAATTTGTGAAACACACTTTCAGAGTAAAAAAATAATAATTACTAAAACCAAAAAACAGAAAGAGAATATACAAAATTATCTTATGCTAGGGTGATAAAAATTATGAATATGATTGTACATATCAGTGAACACTGTTTCTTATATAATATATTAAATGTATAAAATATAAATTTAACAAATGAAATTATGTGTGTAGTTTTTGGTAATCTTTTTTGTCTATTATATATTATTAAATGCATATCAGTAGATACACTTCTAAAATATGATTTTACAATAATAAATATCCTACCAACCAAAAAAAGCCCAGGACCAGATGGATTCACAGCTGAATTCTACCAGATGTACAGACAAGAACTGGTACTATTCCTGCTAAAACTATTACAAAAAAGGAATCATGTTACCCCACTTTAAACTAGACTACAGAGCTACAGTAACCCAAATAGTATGGTACTAGTACAAAAACAGACACATAAACCAATGGAACAGAATAGAGAACCCAGAAATAAGGCCACACACCTACAACTATCTGATCTTTGACAAAGCTGCAAAAAACAAGCAATGGGGAAAGGATTCCCTATTTAATAAATGGTGCTGGGATAACTGGCTAGCAATATGCAGAAGATTGAAATTGGACCCCTTCCTTATACCATGTACAAAAATCAACTTAAGATGATTGAAGACTTAAATGTAAAACCCAAAACTGTCAAAACTCTGAAAGACAACCTAGGCAAAACCATTCTGGTCGTAGGAGATGGCAAAAGTTTCATGATGAAGACACCAAAAGCAATTACAGCAAAAGCAAAAATTGACAAATGGGATCTAATTAAACTTAAGATCTTCTGCACAGAAAAACTATCAATAGAGTAAACAGCCTGCAGGATGGGAGAAAATATTTGCAAAGTATGCACCTGTTAAAGGCCTAATATTCATAATCTATAAGACACCTAAACAAATTTACAAGAAAGAAAACAATCCCATCAAAAGTGAGCAAAGGACGTGAACAGACACTTTTCAAAAGAAGACATACATGCAGCCAAAAAGCATATGAAAAAAAGCTCAGTATCACTGATCATTAGAGAAGTACAAATTCAAACAACAATGTGATACCATCTCACACCAGTCAGAATGGCTATTGCTAAAAGTCAAAAAATAACAGATGCTGTTGAGGTTGTGGAGAAAAAGGAACACTTTTATACCATTGGTGGGAATGTAAATTAGTTCAACCATTGCGGAAAGCAGTGTGGCACTTCCTCAAAGAGCTAAAAAGAGAACAACCATTTGACCCAGCAATATCATTATTGGGTATATACCCAAAGGAATATAAATTATCCTACCATAAAGATACATGGATGTGTTTGTTCATTGCAGCACTATTCACAATAGCAAAGACGTGGAATCAATGGCAGATTGAATAAAAAAAGTGGTACATATACACGATGGAATACTATGCAATCACAAAAGGGAGCACAATCATGTCCTTTGCTGAAACATGGATGGAGCTGGAGGCCACTATCCCTAGCAAACTAACACAGAAACAGAAAACCAAATGCCACATGTTCTCACTTACAAGTGGGCACTAGATGATGAGAATACATAGACAAGAAGAGGGGAACAACATACACTGGGGCCTACTTGAGGGTGAAGAGAGGGAGGAGGGAGGACGGAGGGGATTAAGAAAAATAACTATTGGCTACAAGGCTTAGTACCTGGGCGATTAAATTATCTGTATACCAAACCCCTGTGTCGTGAGTTTACCTATGTAATAAACCTTCAATATACTTAAAGTTTTTAAAAAAATACACATAACATTTAAAAATATGATTTAATGTCTAAATTATAGTTTATTGTATAAATATACCATAAGTTCATAAATCAATCCTCTATTATTGATCATTTAGGTCATTCACAATTTTTACCATTATAAAAACTCAAGGTAATTAAATACTAATGCTAATTTTTATGTTTTGCCAGTATAAATTCCCAGAATTAGAATTGCTGTATGCACATTTTAAGGCTTTTGATAATTTTTAAGTTCTTTACTGTTCTTAAGCACAGATCTAATAAATTTTGGTCACATTCCTGGAATAACAGTAGAAATTAATTATGTAGACACAAATCTGACATTTCTAGGGTTATTTTCCTTCCCTTGAAAGTGCTCCTTCTCAGCTGAGCACTGTGGCTCACGTCTGTAATCCCAGCACTTTGGGGGGCCAAGGCAGGCGGATCATGAGGTCAAGAGATCAAGACCATCCTGGCCAACATGGCGAAACCCCATCTCTACTAAAAATACAAAAATTAGCTGGGTGTGGTGGCATGCACCTGTAGTCCCAACTACTCAGGAGGCTGAGGCAGGAGAATAGTTTGAACTTGGGAGGTGGAAATTGCAGTGAGCCAAGATTGTGCCACTGCACTCCAGCCTAGCAACAGAGCAAGACTCCGTCAAAAAAAGAAAGAAAGAAAGAAAGAAAGTGCTCCTGAACATTTCATTCATTGACAAAAGCTGTTCATTCAATGACTCCATCATCTGTTGAATTCCTGTTACTTGCAAAGTGCCTGATAAGTACGGGGGATACAGCAGTAAGATTTTTAAATAGAGGCACAACCCTGATAGAGCTAGCTTACAGGCTAATGTAGAATATAAATAAATAAACAAGAATTGCAATAAGTAGTGTTTCTCAATGTATAGTCAGAGATGTTGCCCCAAAGATGTATTGGAATCACCCATGAGGTTATTCCAAATCTAATATCCACCTTTAAAAAAAGTATGGGACCCCAGTCAAGAAACTCAATGATAGTAAGTTAGTTAGTGAAAGTTTTCCAAGTATTAAAAAAGAAAAAGAAAAATAGAACCAGTGTTAAGCATCACTGAAAAATAATATTTCAGTACTATATTTGATGTGATCAAGAAATTAAAGTACATAAGAGGGACACCTAGATCAGCTTTGAGGCCCTAAAGATTGTGTCTCAGAAGAAGTGATATCTGAGACGATATATGAAAAATAAAGATGAGTAGAAGCTGGTTAAAAATGAGCATGAGAGGCAAGGAGAGGGGACTGTCCACGGCATTCTGGGCAGAATCAACAGCAAATAGAAATGCTGAAAGTGAGAAATAGCATACCATAAAAAATGAATGTAATTTAGAACTGTGGGACTGTTGCACTTAAAGGTGTTTTGGTTGGGTAGAAACGAGGATAAAAAAGTAAATGGAGATGATAACATGAAGGAATTTATAAACAACTTACCTAGATTTACTTAAGAACTTTGGGAATTTATTGATTGGTATTAACAAGGGAATGGCACAATCAGATTAGAATTTTACAAAGATCCCTTGGATACAGTGTGGAAAGTGGATTGGAGCAGGGCCCAGTTAGAAACAGGGAGGTAAACTGCAATGAGGCTACAAGAGATGAGAGTAGCATGCTGTACAGTGATGCCGGTAGGACAGAAGGGCAGGGGCTGGTGTTTCTAGTGATGAAATTGACAAAGCTATGTGATTTCCAGGATGGGGAGTGTCGGATGGGAAACAGCAAAGGGAGAGCCCTAGAAATCTGGTTTGAGCAGCTGGGAAAGCAGATGCACTCACCAAGAAAAACGTTTGCAGAGAAGCCAGTAGAGAGGGGAGGTCCAGAGACACTCAAGTTGAACAAGTTACCTTGAGATTCCTGTGAGGTAAACAATGGAGAGCTTGAACAAGCAGTTGAGCCTGAAGTTTAGAAAAGAAATGGGTGGACATAGAGATGGGGTGTTGGAATTATTATTATTATTATTATTATTGTTTTTTTGAGATGGAGTCTTGCTGTGTCACCCAGGCTGGAGTGCAGTGGTGTGATCTCGGTTCACTGCAACCTCCGCCTGCCGGGTTGAAGCGATTCTCCTGCCTCAGCCTCCCGAGTAGCTGGGATTACAGGCGCCCGCCATCGTGCCCAGCTAATTTTTGTATTTTTTAGTAGAGACAGGGTTTCACCATTTTGGCCAGGCTGGTCTCGAACTCCTGACCTCGTGATCCACCCACCTCAGCCTCCCAAAGTGCTGGGATTACAGGTGTGAGCCAACACGCCTGGCCAGAATTATTAATATACATAGTAATCAAAGCCAACTGAATGTATGATTACTTGGAGAATTTAAAGAATGGAAAAAGAATAGAGCTTAGGTTAGAAGCCCCCAAAACATCAATATATTAAGGACAGAAGATTGCTGCAAATAATCCTGACATGAAGTAACCAATGACGTGGAGTAACCAACAAAATAAAAAATACAAAAACAAAACAGAAAAAGTGCAGGTCAGAAAAATTAAGGGAGGAATATTTTTATGCCCATTTGTTAAAGTTTGTGGATAAGATCAGACATTCCTATAAAAATTTTAAAAACTATTAGGTGATCTATTGAACAATTAAAACTTAAGACACAATGGCCCTTGGTCCCTTAACTATAATTCACTATTTTACATATAAAGACTGCTCTTCAACTAATACAATTAAAAGCAATCTGTTAAAAAAATGTATAATCTTTGACATGCTTGCTGCAAAGGGGAAAATATAACCTAGCAATAAGTAGCTAATTGAGTTCAAATCATCACACAAATATTCAGTAAGCAGGCTTTGTGAAGGAAAACGTGATCTGAGTTACAAACAGTAAAGACACTGAGTAATGAACAGTAAATCCACTTGGCATATGGGTGACTGTGAATTTAAGAAAAGCCTCAGAGTAAAGATTCTATATTTGCATAAATATAGCAATATTTTCCCTCTATGTTTCTGTGTCACAAGAAAGTACTAGACAGATTTTACCCAAATGTTAGAGACTGTGTTTGGAATCATTTGACTTAAACTATAAATTACACAGCAGAGAGCAAATGCCTGTGGGAACAAGGGCCTCTGAGCAGAGACTGGCAGTCAGCTCCCAGGGTAGCTGCAGGCATGGATTCCTAAGTGAGCTACATCTCACTCACATGTGCAACTCTGACAGCAGAGCTCCAGGTGGGAAAGAAACAGAAGGAACTGATTGATTGATCGATTGATTGATTAATGAATCTCCTGAGCAATGCAGTGCTGGACAGCAAAGACTGACCATTGAAAGTTAACTTAGGCTGAAATTATTATGCTCTGGAAATAATGCAGTGAAAATAAGACATGCATTACCTTTCAAAAAATAGATAAATATGGATTTCATTCATGCTTAACTTTTGCTATTCTATTCATTACTGCCTTTGAAACAGAACTAGAGAAAGGTTTTTTCTTCTTCACCCATTCACTGAAGGTTATTGGTATCCAAAGTTCATTTTGTTCAACTTTCTATTCAAATTTCTAGTTTTCTTCTCCTTCTGGTATCCTCACTCGTAACCATTTCTTTGCCTGTTCTGAAGACCCACTACAAAGAATCCCAAGACTCGTTTTCTTCAGCAACATGAGATCCTCGCCAAACCTATTATAATCCTATGTATTCTTTCTCTTCCACCTACATCTATTTTTTTCCTTTTTCTGAGAAGTCATTGATTTTTTTCACTTTGTAAGTTTCAAATAAACCTAAAAACAATAACAAACTAAAGATGCATGGCCAGGTGTGTGTTTTTTGCCTTGGCAACTTTTCCCAGATACGAAAATAAATTTTCTTTTTAATGACAGAGGCTCCTATAACAAAACATACAATTGAATAAATAATCCATTAGCTTTATTATGTATGTGAGAATGGCTACACATTAACATATTGGAAAATAATGTGCTTCAACATACAAAATTATGTTTAAATTTGGCTTTGCTCAGCCTAGGCCATGCTTAATATGTTCTGTCGGTACCTTTGATTTGCCCTTTTCTCCTCTTACAGCCCTTTGCTATCAGGTCTTATCTAAAGTGCCTTTTTTCATGCAGATCCGATTCAAATGACTTTTCTAACCTGGTCTCTTTCTTTCCCATAGCCCTGCTATTTTCTGCATAGCACTTTATAAACATGAGTAAGAAACTGCTCCCATCCTAGGAGCTGGTCCTTAGTCCACTGGTAGAGACAAACATGCACTTTTGAGCTGAGAGTTGGCACATGAGTTCAGTGTGGGAACAGCATTTCCAGCAGAAGCAAGGGATATTTCAAACAGGTAGTCTCCTGTGCCTAGTACATGAGTGCCTCAGTTGGGGCATTTTGTAAAGAAGAAAAATCTTACCGGATGGGAAGACTTGAACCTTGAAAGTATAATTGGAGCCAGATCATAAAAGTTCTTTTCATTTTGTCCTATAATCAAGAAAAAGCCGTAACAGGGGTGCGATATACTCGGTTCAACTACTATGACTTTAAAAGTGTTAAATGAGATTGTGTGAAACTGCTTTGAAACAGGAAATGCTGTATAATTCAAGCATACAGAAGCACTTCAGTATTTAAAGATGATTCTTTTATGGCACTCAATTTTCGTAGCTCCTAGTTACATCACCTGTCCAAACTCTGTGATGCTACTGTGATTCACTTTTAAGAAGCTTACCATTGTTAGCATGTGAACAAGAACAAAAACTTCCCTGCTGCGATCTCCTCCTTTCCATGCCCCACGATAAGGAGAAAAGTTGAGATCAGAAGGAAAACATTTACGTGTGATCTCGGATAGTTCGGGTTGAGTCAGCTTCAGATAGTTCGGGTTAAGTCAGCTTCAGTTAATAAAGGGGTGTGAGCCTGGTTTAAAATACAAAGCAGATCAAGAAAGATCACTTCACAAGAAATAGGGTAAAGTCATCTTATTGGAAGAAAATTTTCATCCTTCAAGTAGAATCAAGTCCTATTATCTTAAAACCTCAAATCCCAACCCATTAGTGCATGAAGAAGAAGTGTACTGTGACTTTTCTCTAATAGAGATTCCCATCTGCCCTGTTCAGAGGGAGCCACATTCCTTGGTTTGATGTCTGTTATTCTCACGAATGTTTCTTATACTTTTACTTCCTGTTTCAGAATCAATCAGTAGAATAAGCTTTGAGATTTCCTAGTTTTACAAAATTAGCATCATTCTGCAACCTTATGTGTTTTTAACTTGAGTATATTGTTGAGCATATCTGAAATGGTACAGGTACTGCAAGTTCATATATTATCTCTATTAGCACATTACTCCATTTTATGAATATGCCATGAGTTTTGTTTTTTTTGTTTTTTTTTTTTTGTCCATTTACTTGTCCAGTCCAGGGTGCTTAGATTATTTGCAGTATTTTGTTACAAGTTAAAAACGCTACAATATGTTTTTATTCTTGTCTTCTTGGAGTAAAATTGCTTGGATGAAAATATATCATGTTCAAATTTATTGCATTTTGCTATGTTTCTTGTCATCTTAATGTATTTTCACACCAGCCATGTGTAAGCATTTTCATTTCTTAGTATCATTGCTAGCACATGGTGTAACAGCACTTTTTGTATTTCTCATATTATTTTTGAGACAGTATATATTTAAGTTTACTGGCCATTTCTGTTTTCTCTTTTGTGAAATGACTACCAATCTTCCTAGAATAAAATCCTGACTGTCAACTGATTTGCTGTTTGAATTTCAGCAAATTATTTAACTTCTCTATAAAATGGTAGTAATATCACTTACCTCATTGGAATGTTGTAGGGATTACATGGCTTAATTTACATAAAGCTTTTGAAACAATGTTTGGCCTATATATACAGAATACAAATATAAGCTGTTATTATCTCATTGTGATTTTAATTTGCATTTGCCTGATGATTAGTGATAATAAGCATTTTTTTCACATTGTTATTGGCCCTTTGTCTTTTTTTGAGAAATGTCAGTTCAAATATTTTGTTCATTTTTTTTTTAATCCAGTGATTTGTTTTCTTGCTATTGAGTTATTTGAGTTCCTTGTATGTTTTGGATATTAATCCTTTATCAGATGTATGTTTGCAAATATTGTCTCCTGTTCTATAGGCTGTCTCTTCACTCTGTTGACTGTTGCCCTAGCTGTGCTGAAGCTCTTCAGTATGATGTAATCCCATTTGTTTAGGTTTGCTTTTATTGCCTGTGTTTTGAGGTCATATCAAAAAAATCTTTGGCCAGTTCTATGTCAAGAAGCTTTTTTCCTATTGTTTCTTCTAATAAATTTAAAGATTCAGGTCTTAAGTTTAAGGTTTAATCTATTGTGAGTTGATTTTGTATATGGTGTAAGATGAGTCCAATTTTATTCTTCTGCATATGATATCCGGTTTCCCATCACCATTCATCAAAGAGACTGTCCTTTTCCTATTGCATGCTTTTGGCATCTTTGTTGAAGATTAATTGACCAAAATGCATGGATTTATTTCTGGACTCTATATTTTGTTTCATTGTTCTACATGTCTGTTTTTATCCAGTACCATGATGTTTGAGTTACTATAGCTTTGTAGTATCTTTTGAAATCAGGTATTGTGATGCCTCCAGCTTTGTTCTTCTTGGTCCATGTTGCTTTGACTTTTTTTTGTGGTTTCACACAAATTTTAGAATTTTTTTTCTATTTCTGAGGAAAATGCCACTGGAATTTTGATAGGGGTTGCATTGAATATGTAGATTGCTTTAGTTGGTATGGACATTTTAACACTATCAATTCGAATCCATAAAAATGGGATATCTTCCCATTTATCTGTGTTTTCTTCAGCCTCTTGAATCAAAGTTTTATAGTTTTCAGCATACAGATCTTTCACCTCCTTGGTTAAATGTATGCCTAAGTATTTTATTCTTTTTGATGCTATTGTAAATGAGATCTTTTTTAAAATTTCTTTTTCAGATAGTTTGTTATTAGTATATAAATTACTACTGATTTTTTATGTCCATTTTATATCCTGCAACTTTACTGAATTTGTTTATTAGTTCTAACAGTTTTTGGGGGGAGTCTTCAGGGATTTTCTCTATATAAAAAATGTCATCTGCAGAAACAGACAGTTATAATTCTTGCTTTTCAATTTAGATGCCTTTTATTTCTTTTTCTTGCCTAATTACTCTGGCTAGGACTTCCTGTACTATACTGAATAGATGTAGTGAGAGTATGTACCCTTGTTCTGTTCCCTATCTTGGGGGAAAAATTTTTAGTTTTTCACCTTTTTCACCATTGAGTATGTTAGCTGTGGGCTTGTCATACATGATCTCTATAATGTTGAAGTATAATCTTTCTATACCTAATTTGTTAAGAGTTTTTATGATGAAAAGATGCTGATGTTTTTCAAAAGATTTTTCTGCATATATTAAGATGACCATATGATTTTTATCTTTCATATGGTTAATGCAGTATATCACATTTATTGATTGTATATGGTGATCCATCTTTGCATCCAAGGGTAAATCTCACCTAAATGAATGGTCTTTGTAATGTGCTGCTGAATTTGGATTTCTAGTATTTCTTAAGGATTTTTGCATCTATGTTCATCAGGGATATTGGTCTGTAATTTTCTTTTCCTGCAGTGTCCCTGTCTGGCTTTTATATTAGAATAACGCTGATTTTGTAAATTGAATTTGATAGCATTTCTTTCCCCTCAAGTTTTTGGGAGAGTTTGAGAAGAATTGATATTAATTCTTCCTTAAATGTTTGCTAGAATTTACCAGTGAAGTAATCAGGACCTGAGCTTTTTGTTGTTGTTGTTGAGAGATATTTTGATCACTGATTCAATCTCTTTACTCATTATTGCTCTATTTAGATTTTCTATTTCTTCATGAATCATCCTTGGTGGGTTGTATGATTCTAGGAATTTATCCATTTCTTTTGTGTTATCCAATTTGTTGGCAATGTATAATGGCTCAGGCTGTTATATGGCTAATGGCTAATGTATTCTCTTATAATCCTTTGTATTTCTGTGGTGTCAGTTGTAATACTTCCTCTTTCATTTCTTATTTTAGTTGTTTGAGTCTTTTCTCTTTCTTTAGCTAAGGACTTGCCAATTTTAGTTATCTTTTCAAAAAACCATCTCTTAGTTTCATTGATATTTACACTGATTTTTAAACTATCTATTTCATTTATTTCTGCTCTGATATTTATTATTTCCTTCCTTCTGCTGACTTTGAGGTGAGCCTGCACTCTGAATCTACTGGAGCAAGACTGGACCTTGGGTCCACTGAAGCCTGTGGATGTGGGGACTGACATGGAGCTTGGGCTGTCTTGGTCCTGGGACAGGCCTGGGAACCTGGGTCTGCAGGGGCCAGTCTCAAGCCTGTGTCCATGAGTGCTGGCCTAGTACATGAGACTATGGGGCTAGCATAGAGCCTGGGTACATGGAGCCTGGCCAAGAGACTGCATCTGTGGATGCTGGCCTGAAGGCTAGGTCCGCAGTGGCTAGGTCTCTGGCACTGACATGGGCCTGGGGACTGGGTCAGCTGGGAACATGTGGCCATTGCAACCAGCCGAGAGTCTGGGGCAACAGGGGCCAGCTTGATGCCGGGCAAGCCTGCAGCCTATATCTACAGAGGCTAATCTGGATCCTGGGGCTGCTGGAATCAGCCCAGCACTGGGTTTCTCTGGGGTGTACCTGGTGCTGGGCTCCACACAAAGTCAGGTGGTGACATCACTCTACTTTCCCACCCAGAGGGCATCTCTGTGCTGTGCTGCCTGGGCATGGAAAAGGGTGACATGGGTCATGTGAAACTGTCCTTCCACTCTCTTCAGTGCATTTCTTAGTTCCATACTACACTCAGGTGTCATAGTCTCTCACCTGGATTCCTTAATGCTTGCAAAGGTGTCTTCAAGTGTGGATAGTTGTTCACATTGATGACAACTGCTGAAAGGTTCTATTCCACCATCTTGAAGACTGAACATTTCTTAAGATGCAGGCTTCAAAATGATTGATTTGACAAACTTTTTATTCTAATATGAGCATTTAATTTTATGATTTTTTCTCTAAACATTACCTATCTCTGTCCCTCAGATTTTGATGTGTAGTGCTTCATTACCACTCAGTTCAAAATACTTTCTGACTTGCCTCGTCATTTCTTTTATGACCCATGAGTTATTTAGAAGTATATTGTTTGGTTTGAAAATATGGATGAATATTTAAAATATTCTGCTATTGATTTCTAATTTAATTCATTTGTGGACATGGACCGTTCTTTTGTGTGGTTTTAATGTTTTTGCATTTACTGAGACCTGTTTTATGATCTATCTTATTCAATGTTCCATGGGAAATTGAAAAGAATATACCTCCTGCTCTTGTTGGGTGGAGTTGCTCGATAAATGTCAAGATGGTTGGTGATGTTTTCAATTCTTGTAAATCCTTACTTTCTCTACTTGATCTATTAATGATTAAGAATAAGTTGTTGAACTTTGCAAATACAATTGTAGATATGTATATCTAGCCACTCAGTTCCACTAATTTTTCTTTCATATATATTGAAGCTGGGCTATCAGATATACACATAGACTAATCTTATGTTCTCTCAAATATTTTACCCCTATAATATGTGAATTCAGCCTCTTTATCCCTGGTACTATTCTTTGCTCTGAAATCTACATTTTCTGATATTAATGCAGTCATTCCAGCTTTCTTTTAATTAGTGCGAGCATATTATATATATGTATTTATGACATTGACTTATGAGTTTTACTGAATTTATGTCTTTATATCTGAAGTGGGTTTCTTGCTGAAAGTATGTAGTTGGGTCTTACTTTTTTATTCAACAATCTTTGTTTTGTAATTGGAGTATATAGCCTATTTATATATAATGTGGTTATAATATGATTAGGTTTAAATCTGTCATCTTGCAATTTGTTTCATTTTTTTCATTTTTTTTTGCTCCCTTTTTCTTTTTCTTCCCATATTCTGGATTGATTATATTTTATCATTCTATTTTATCTCTATTTGCTTATCATTTATAGCTTTCTAAAATAGTGTTAGTGGTTGTTCTAGAGTTTATAATATACATCTGTAACTTCATGCTCTAAATTAGGATGATATATCATTTCATATATAAAGAAATACAATATGCTATATAAAGGAATACAATATATTCCTGTAATACAAAATATACACAAAATATTTTATTCCCTTGAATACTGTTGGGAAGTACCCTGGGTTACAATTAGATGTTTTGTACTCAGTTTGAGCCTTTTGAGAGTTGCTTTTAAGCTTTGTTATAGCAATATCAGAGCAAACTTGGGTTTATAGCTAATTTGTTCCCACCACTGAGAAAATTCCTTCTGAGGACTCTGTCTCAATGCTCTTTCAATAGGCAAGATTTCCTACTCGATTTTATGAGTTCTCAGCATTATACTATGCTTTTTTTCGTTGGTTCTTTCTTCATCTTGAGTAAATTCTATACATGCATGTGCAGAACTGTGCTCAGTAGAAGTTTCAAGGAGAGCCTCTTACAGATCTCTAGAGTTCTTTTTCTCCAGGGCTCCACCTTCACCAATACTTTGCCTGGACTCCAGTACTTGCCTTCTCCACTCAGCAAAGCCACTAGACTGTTTTGTCCCCACTCCTCACATTGTAGCTTTGAAACTTTTTCCAGGCGTTGATCTGGGTCTATCACAGTGTCACCTCATTTGTCTTCCTTTTCTCAGGGATCACTGTCCTGGGCTACATGTTGTCCAAAGTCTGAAACTGTGTTTAAAAACATATATTTTGATTATTTTTTAGTGATTTTAGCTGGGACAGTTAATCCAGTTCTGGCTATTTTGTTGTGGCTATAAGCAGAAGTCCTTCTTAAATTATTAAAGGCACTTAGAATGCTACTTATTTTCTATATAATTATTCAATTATATAGTAATCTGGCAACTATATCAAATCTTCTTACAAGTTTTAGTAACTTATCTGTATGGTTTCTTGGATTATATACTTAGAATATTAAATTGGATATAAATATTGTCAATTTTGTCTCTTTCCAATTCTTTGCCTATTTCTTTTTATCTTAAAATTTTCCATAGAAATTTGACAATTTTGCTCAATGAGAAATGACATTTAAAGTGTGCTTTAAGACAAAATAAATTTAGAAAAATATATGCATTTTTATAGTTTTTTAAAAAATCTTTTGTTTTGGCATTATGCTGAAAATCAAATATATCTTGCAGTAATACAATATGCCAATTCATAAAATGTAAGTTAACAGGATTCTCAATTTAACATTTTCAAAGTTAATATTAAGATAGAGAGTTTTACATCTATGATAGTACATATAAAAGTGTATTATAATCTCATCTCCATCTCCGTGTGGCTCACAAATTTGACATTGCTCCATAAAAGCTTTTAGATTCACCTTCAACAGTGCCACATCCAAAGAATCACAAATCTGTCTTTGGAATATCTCCTCATAAAATCTTTATCTTTACACATACCTCCAATGTAATGTCTAACATAATGGAACATTGCAGACATCTTGGTTCTTATTCATATGTTTAATGGGAATACTTTTTCTAACCTGTCACCATTAAGTCTGATGTATGTTAAAGTTTTTACTAGAAACTCTTACTCGGGGAAAAAAAATCCTTTCTCTTCCTGCTTTGAAAATGGCCTCTTTTGTTGTTATTTTTCTTGATGAGTCAGTATTAAATTTTTAAAATTAATTTTGCCATTATAAACATACTATTTTGTTTAGATTGAGACCTTGCTGGCTAACATGGTGAAACCTCGTCTCTACTAAAAATACAAAAAATTAGTGGGGCGTGGTGGCAGGTGCCTGTAGTCCCAGCTACTCAGGAGGCTGAGGCAGGAGAATGGCGTGAACCTGGGAGGCGAAACTTGCAGTGAGCCGAGATCACGCCACTACACTCCAACCTGGGCGACAGAGGGAGACTCTGTCCCCAAAAAAAAAAAAAAAAAGAATATGTAAATGTGTTGTATTATGTTTTGTGATGTATTATCTTTATATTTCTGAGATGAACACTTCTTGCTATAATTTTTTATTATAATGACAATTTTAATTTGCTGATAGCTTATTGAAAATTTTTGTATATATACTATGTGAGATTGTCATCTTATTTCTTATCTTAAAATTGACTAGTTTCAGTATAGTTTATAATCTTTTTAAGGATATGAGTAGTTTTTCATTCTCTTCTATCCTTTGATAAATATACTTTAATGATTGTTTTGTCTTCCTGACAAAACTTTCATCATTTTTATCTGTTAATATTCCTTATCTTGAAATCTATATGATTTTACCATAAACACTCCAACCTTCTTATGTGTACTATTTGCATGGTAGGTATACTTACTGTCAACCAAAACCTTTCTATTTCTTTATTTTTAATATGTTTCTCTTGTAGATAGCATATAGTTGAATCTTGCTTTTTTATTTCTTACAAAAATTTCTGCCTTATAATTGGAGTGATTGATGATCTAATGTAATTCTTGATATAGTTGGATTTATATCTATCATTTTCCTATTATGAGTTGCATTTGTCTCTTTGTTTTTGTACTTCTCTTTCTCCTTTTTGGCATTCTTTTGGAATATATAAATTTTTTAGGAATTTTATTTTCTTTTACTTAATTTTTTTATTTTTGTAGCTATTTTCTTTTTTAGTGGTTGTTCCTATAATTACAATGAATCTTTACCTCCTCATAGTTTACACAGTTAATACTAAACCACTTTGTATACAGTGTACAAATCCTGCAAGTGCATGATCACTTCACCACACCCTCAGTTTTGATTCTCTAGTTGTCATATGTACTGTATTTGCATGTGCTATAATCCCTATAATACTAATTTTAAAATATTACAGGGATTGTAACACATGTAAATGCAATACATCTTATTTCTTCCAGTAGATTCATGTTTCTTTATAGTTTTATCTTAGCCTGAAGAACTCCCTCTAGCATTTCTTATAGTAGAGATTAGTTTATTTCATTTTTCTGAAAATGTCTTCATTTTATCTACATTCTTAAAGGATATTTTCATTGAATATAGAATTCTTGGTTGACATTTTTTTTCTTCTAGTATTTTAAAAAAGTTGTTTTTTTTTTTTTTCTGGCTCTCACTATTTCTGATGAGAAGCCTGAGGTTATTCAAATCATTATTCACTTATATGGAATTTATCATTTTCCTCTGTCTTTTTTCTAGATGTTCTCTTTATCTTTGGTTTTTAGTAGTCTGTCTATGATGTATTAAGGCCTCTGTGTGTGTGCATGAGTATGTACATATGTATAACTTTATCCTGTTAGGGTTCACTGAGTTTCTTGAATCTGTAAATTATGTCTTCCATCACAATTGTGTAATTTCAGACATTATTTCTTCAAAATTTTTTTCTGCTTTATTGTCTCTTTTTTCTCCTCTGAGAGACACACACACACACACTTGACATTTTGATATTGTCCCACAGTTCTCTGAGGTTCTATTATTTATTTTTCTGAATCGTCTTCCTTCTTATTCAGGTTGGATATTTTATATTGAGGAGTCATCAAGTTCACTAATTCTTCTGTCTTCTCTATTTTGCTGATAAACTCATCCAGCAAAATTTTTATTTCAGATATATTTTAGTTTTCTAATTTTCATTTGTAATAGTTTTAACTTCTCTGCTGAGATTTTCTATCTTATATTTGTTTTAACAATCTATTCCTTGCTATCCTTGCGCACAGTTATAATGGCTACTTCAAAATCTTTATCTGGATGGTCTCAGGGTTAGTCTCTGACATTCTTTCTTCTTGAGAACGTTTATTATTTTCTGTTCTGTTGTATACCAAGTAATATAAGATTGTTGAACACTGTGATACATTGTAGAGACTCTAAATTCTAAATTATGTTACTCTGAAGGATTTTCATTCTTATTGAAAAAATGTTAAGCAGTAGCTGAACTTGAACTTCTGATTCTATCTCCCCTGTGTGGGTAAAACCTTAGTTGGCCTTTTGAAGTCTAGAGATTCAGACTGCTTTTTATGCAAAATTGTTTCCCTGTGATTGTCCTTTCTTCTTTGTAATATGCTCCTTCACTTACCAACAGCTGCAGTTGCCCGAGTCTTTGCCCCTGGCCTTTCAAGTCAGTAAGTCCATGGGTTTCCATATGAATTTTAGTTGCTTTGTGTGGCAACACCTGCAGACTGCTCTCATTCTAAAAGCAGTTAACAAGTGGAGAGTCACACCCTACTGTTATCTTATTCATAACTTCCCTCCAGTGTCTCCCACATTATTTTCACTCTCCAGTGCCTGCAGGTAGTTGCTTTTTCAACATTTTGTTTAGAGTTGCTATCTGTGGAAGGGTTGGTTCAATAAGAATTTGCTTAGCCACGAATGGAAGAGGAACATTTTTCTATTCTTTGAAATAAAAAAGGGAAAATGAAAAGTTTTTATCTTAAAGTTTTCTAAAATGCATCTGCAAAATTACATCTGTGGTAACTTGGGGTGTGGCAATTTAAATTACTGATTCAATTTCTATAATTGTATTTAAATTTTGTAATTTAAGGAATACTTTAAAATTATATTTTCAGAAAGGTATTAATTTTATCTTCTTCAAATGCATTAACTTAAATTTTTGATATATTGTCAAAATATATATAAATATATATATAAGTATATATTCTACCGTAGTTATGTCCCCTTTTAATTTCTGATACAGCTATATATACTTTTTTTCTTCCTGTCTTAGTTTGCTCAGGCTACTATTACAAAATACCTTGGACTGGGTGAAATAGAAATAGAAATTTCTTGCTCACAGTTCTGGAGGCTGGGAAGTCCAAGATCAAAGCATCAGCAGATTTGGTGTCTGGTGAGGGCTTGTCTTCTCCTTCATAGATGGCACCTTCTTGCTGTATCTTTACATGGTAGAAGGGCAAAGAGTTCCTCTTAAGTTTCTTTAATAAGTAAGGATACTTATTAAAAGTGTTATTCCATTCATAAACATGGAGCCCTCATGACGTAATTACCTCCCAAAGGCCACAGCTCTTGATATTATCACATTGGGGATTAAGTTTTAACAGATGAATTTTGGGAGGACACATATACTCAAACCACAGCACCTCCCTGTAAAAGTTGGCTTAAAGACTTGTATATTTTATTCATTTTTTTGGGGGGGGAAGGTAAATAACTTTTATATTTACTGATCCTCTTTGTTATTTCCTATTTTGCTACATTCTCTTTTATACATTTATGTTTTCCTTTTTTCTTTAGACCTGTGTTTATTTTGTTAAAAAAAACTTAGACCTTTTAATGTAGGTACTTTATTTATTTAAAAAATATATTTTAGGCTATAAACATTAAAGATAATGTTTCAAAATACTTTTTTATTTTATATTTTAATTATTTTAAATGTATTTTTCTTTAAAATGCTATTTATGAATGCCTTTATACCAGTCATTGATATTAAAAACCTTTATTATATTTTCATTTTGTTTTATACTTTAATTGTGTTTATGGTCTAATATATAGCTTGAAGGAGCAATTTGGTACATATTTTATGGGTATATAACATATATATATGGAGATATACATATATTCATATAACCTATATATGTATGTGTTTTTCCCCTATGTATCATACACCTACCTCATAGCTCAAATCTTTGTCTTTTTGGTCATCTTGGGTGAATAAAGTCAAGACAGAAGATAGAACGCAGAGTCAGAAAGAAAATAGTTTAAATAATAATATAAGAGAAAGTATCAATTGGAGTGTTTGTATACATGGAGAGTGGGAGGAAGGAGGTGATATCAAGTCTTCATGCTTTTCCAGGAACCTCAAGGGGCTAATTTATTATAACAGGAATTTTCATCAAGTGGGATGCTGAAAACACAATATGAAATGTTAGCATTAAAAGGGAAACTTAAAAATTGCCTAGTTTTTTTTTTAATAGATAAAGTTAACCAAAGTCATGGAAAAGACTTGAATCAAGGGCCTTGTTTATAAGTTATTTTCTTTACACTAGTAATTCCCAATTTCAACTTCTCAGACTATTAGAGATTTATATTTCACTATTTCAAAAAGCCAAATGTAATATATCTTTAGCCTCAGAAGCACCTCACAACCTAAAAATGCCTTGTAGAAAGCCAATATGGTACTGCTGGCTATCTCGTGGTAATAGAAAAATATCTTTTAAACCACTGATACTGATGAAAAAAAAAAAACAGTGATAACAAAAGATGTCCTTTGTGGGAAATTTGGGAGCTATTGCTTTATATCATGCACATAATTCATTCATTCTGACATGAAAAACGTACATTTTATCAAAATCCTTCCACAGTCAGTGCACAATATTATTCAGGTGGTTTTATAGGAGTCTAGGAATCAAGGAATATTTATTTCTACAAATAATCTATATTGGTTTCTTGTTCACCACAAGAGTCATTCGTGGAAGCTGGCTTTAAATTGCATATAAGCCATTTTTAATAATAACTTAATGACATCTCACTGTGACATACCACCTGAGGTTCGTTTTCCTTTTAGATATGAATAGCAATCATTTCACTAGGCAACTAAAAATTAAGCATCAAAAAATAAATATTTTTTGAAAATAACTTTAAAAGTTATTTTTACCTGGAGACAAAAGATGCAGTCTAATCAAGACAGCAAAAGTTGTGTATGCTTTGCATAATTTTGCTTGTAAATATTAATGTTTTGAATAGTTTATAAATCATTGCGGTTTATAAAATTGCAAATTTACTAACAGACCAATGATTCAAGTCCTTTGAATTTTCATTCTTTTTAATGTTCCACCTTTCCTCTTTGTATAACCTGACGATAATTCAAAAAAGAAGAACTCATCCAATTTATATACCTTGTTCATTGGGTAATGGAAACTTATAAAATTTACATTAACAAAGAGAGAGAACTTCTTGACCAAGAAGTACTTCATACCAGCTTTCATCTGGGTCTCATCAGATGTTATTAACATGCTAAGTATTCATCTAGCTTCAAAGAATGTTTTAATTTAAGATCACATGGGCAGAAGTTACCACATTTAAATGTGAGTGAATAATTACATAAACAGGTTTAAATGTAAATTTGCAGGTTATCCAAGCGCATTAAAATCTTTAACTTAAAACTATTTTCAAATTGTAGAATTAAGATTGGCCACAAAGATTATTTTGGCATTAAAATATATACAGTTAGAACTCCTAAAAACATCGAAGACATCATCAAACCCTCAGGCTTAGATAAGGAAACTAAAGTGCAGGGAGTCAAATCTACTTTTCCAAGATGATTTGTCTGCTTTCAAGCAAAATTTGCAGTAAAATTGTGCATTGCAATTTCTATCATTATTCTACCTATAATGAGAATACTGGGCCCAGATGAGGTTTTTTTGTTTGTTTGTTTGTTTTTTGCTTTCAACCCTTAAATCATTTAAATCATTTTCACAAATGATTTTAAGCCCCTTCATTGCTTTCTGAAAAAGCAAAACACTTCTAGAGGTTGCTCGGCTGGGCACCCAGAGCCCACTGTTGGTCTTGTCCCTTTAAACACTCAGCCTCTAGATACAATTGTGTGATTTAGAATGAGAATCTGCTCCTGAAGATCAACCTCATTCTAAATTTAACCCAGAGATTTGATGCAATAAATCTATGAGAGACCTTGGGTATTCAAATGTTAGCATTAGAAAACAGTATTTCCGGTATCAGTTGGGAGCTTTTAGATAATCAGAAACCAGAGTTCTTTCAATGTTTTGTTTGATTTTATTTTTATTATTATTATTTTATTTTTATTTTTATTCTTATTGTAGAAACAGAATCTCACTCTGTGGCCCAAACTAGAGTGCAGTGGCATGAATATAGCTCACTGCCTCAAGCTTTTGGACTCAAGTGATCCTCCTGCTTCAGCCTCCCAGGTAGCTGGGACTACAAACATGAGCCTCCACGCCTAGCTAATTCTTTTAATTTTTTTATTTTGTACAGATTGGGATCCTCTATGTTGCCCAGGCTTGTCTCACACTCTTGGCCTCAAGCGATTCTCCTGACTCCGTCTCCCAAAGCACTGGGATTATAGGCATGAGCCACTGTGCTCATGTCTAATTTTTATTTTAATTGTGTCTTTGTTTTTGAGCAGTTATCTCCCAGGAGAGAAAGGTATCTGGCATAATCTTCCAGAATCCGGGATTCAAACTGTGTGGCAGTACAAATGATTGAGAAGGAGGCTGATTTCCTCAAAGGAGGCAGCACAGCTGCCCAGAGTGATGCTGACTTCATTTAACATGGGGGACACACTGGATTAGTGGGAGGCTGATGATCATTTTAGTCTTTATATGAATCCTTTCTCAGTCACAGGCAAGTTGTTTAATTTGACAGTGGTTAAGCAATCTGTGATTCATAGCTCCACAGACAAGAGAGGATGTAATTTCCTGGTCTTTATTATTGAAATCAATAAGCAAATTATATAGGAGGCCATGCATGTCTGAAATAATAAAGCAGAGTGGCCAGAAACTATTTCTCTATTACTCCTCTTTATGAGGACCCAGAGAAAGCTGGGATTTACAAAACAAATAAATAAAAGCTATTCTGACCTGCCGGTTGTTTACTTATTTGAAGCACACTGCATACAACTTATGTTGTATGAAATAAAAGTGCCTAACAGGAAGCCATACTTTTTAAGGTTAACAGTGAATAATCAAAACAGTCCAGAAAGTGTGTGGGATGTGATGTAAGTCTCACCATGCAGGAGGTCACATGTGGGGATGGGAGCCAGGCAGAGGTATGACAGATATTCAAACACGGCATAAACCCCAGGCTGAATGATTATGCTTAAATCCCCTCTTCCAAATCAACTCACCATATGCTATGTTCCACGTTTTTGCTTCATAAATTATGTAACAAAAAATGCTTTGCACATAAATCATATTTTGTTAGACTCAGCTCCAAATGGGTCCATGTAACTTATTTTAAGTCCAATCTCATCTTTTTCTTTTTTTCCCTCAGCATGAATTCTTTCTTTTTATCATAATCTATTACTTAGTGCCTTAGTTTCATTTTGGCATTACCAGTTACCTAACATGCTTTCATGAAAAATTCTTAGGAAAGTAAGAATTATTTTGTATTTAGGGTGAATTGAACACATGAACGCTCAACTTAAATGAGAAAATATATTGAAAGCAGATTATATTTCTTTCAGACAACTTAATGTTTCATGGGCATGCATTTTAAAGAGATTATTAATACCACTTATTTTAAACACAATGTTTTATCTGACATCATTTATTTTTACAACAAAATGTGACTCAGTCCAAATACACATGTATGAAGATCAGTGGTAAAATCCTAGGATGATTTTAATATGGTAACTGTGGAAGCAGGTGGCTCTGTGATATGGATTTTTTAAGGAGGAAAACAAGTCACCCAGGCCAAAAAGTTGAAAAGTTTGGCCCTAGAATTTCTATTATTTTTCCTCAAAGGATAAGCACAACATGGTTATATAGTAAACACTGCACTATGTGTCATATCTGCGTTTAAGTTTGGAAGAGATGTTCAACCTGACTTAGCCTTGTCATATTCTCTTATTGTTGGAGAAACAAAGATCTAGAGAGGTAACATGATTGACTCTAAGTCACAAAGCAGCTCCAGAACTCAGGTTTCCCAATTCCCTCATTTTAATGGGAAGGACAGAGCCGGCGGGTTCAGGCAGAACTGGGTCTGAATGTCAGCTTGTGTGACCATAGACCCAAGGGGCCTAACTTCTCTGGGGCCAGCTTTCCTCATGGGTGATAAAACCACTCTGGAGATGGAAGTTTCTGTCTTTCAAGTTGGATGGCTGGGTTGAAAATTTATGTAAAATGCTGATCTCAGCCCCAAAGTGTGTCACGTGTGCCAGATTGGTAGCTACGATAGTGCCTGGGATTGATACAAACTTGGGTAGAGGAAAAAAAAATCCACATAGCAGTTTGGCTTTTCCTTAGCCACTTATTTTAAAACCACGAATTGAAGTCGGCCATTGTTCAGCTTTATTTTACAGACAAGCATATTGAATAATTAAAAGTACAATTCACTTGCTAATCTTTGTTTCCTAATACTGATTTAGCCTGAATAACTTTGGTCAGAGAATACAAAATGAGACAAGAAACTGAGTTAGGAACAGTGGGAAACGGGAGCCAAATTTTTGGACTGAGTGCCCCCAGACTATTTTAAATTTAGTAGCAGAATGAGGCAATACTCTAGCTCTCACAATTGCACTCTATTGCATCATGGTTCTCTCTGGTATAATTGTGATGTATGTAAAGTACCTTGGCCCTCAACTACATAATTAAGGCAATTTTAAAATTTAACAGGAAAATGCATTGTCCATCATTTGAGGGACAATGTAATAATATATAATTAAAATGAAACATAAGTTCTATCAGAGCTAGAGATACAGGCATAAGGATCTGATCTGAGGGAAAAAAATGAACTCTTGGCTATAGAGATGTGTTAAACTACAAAATTCTACCCAGGAGATAGAAAAAAATTGCTATCTTTTTCTTTAAAAAGAGAAGTAGCTACAGAAATATTATAATTTAAAAATCCTGTCATCATCCAAAGTATCACCTAAAGTCTCTAGGACATTTAGAAAAAATTTACTGATCAATTTCCACACAAATTCTCTCAAAACTAGCATGTGAGCCTATTGGTCACCAGAATGTCTTCTTGCTTTAAGTATGGGAAATACTGTTTCCCAGGAGTATTTTTTTTCCTTATATTCCTGTTAAATTTTCCATTTTCACCTAAAACAATGTCATTTTTTTCCTCAAATTTCCATTGTATATCACATTAATGCTAACAAAATCCCTCATAAATTGATAGCAATGAAGATATTGAAAATGACAGCCTAAGTTGATTCCTATATTATTATGTAACATTCCAGAATCATCAAGGCTTTTTCTTGTCAACCTTTATGTACCATTTGTTTATTCTGTATCTATTTATTCATATGGTCATTCATTATTTTTCTATTTATTAAATCTTGTTTTTTACTGATGGGTCTAATTTGGCATGTCTCAAAATTATCCAGAATTCTTAAAAGTAATACATTATGGTTGTCCAGCTATAATGCTTTAAAAAAGTTAAAAGTATGATTCATAAAATTAATATACACCAAAGACTTGTTAGCTCAAGAGTGAGCAAACTAGGTAGAATATAAAGCATTTCCAAGAGTCTGTGAAGTACACAGTCTTTACAGGTATTTTAAAAATAGACCTTTGTCATAGGGTTGCTAGGTTAGTACAAAACTGGCTAATACCCTACAGGGCAATGAAACCATAACTTTTGGAAATATCTTTTCTACTGAAATGAAACCTGTCAAGTTAACATGTTACTTCCTAAAACTTGAGCTGTCAATCAAATCCAATTAGCAAAACGTAAAAATGCATTATTATAGGAAATTAAATAATCCTTGTTTGAAATTGATAAAGTGTTCCAATATGACATTGAAAGGACATACTACTCATCTTTTTTTGCCTTTTTTCCTAGTTTTAAATAATCTTCCTTAACATGGTTCACATAAATCCTTTTATAATTCTTTAATTTCTTTTTCATCCCATTGTGTATTAGATTTCTATTGCTATCTTAATGAATTAATCATAAACTCAGGGGCTTAAAGTAACACAAATTTGTTATTAAATTTGGACTAAATTTGTGGACTAAGAATGCCCCCAAACTATTTTAATTATAGGTCCATAGATGGAAAGTCTGGGTTGGGTTTCACCAAACTAAAATAAACATGACAGTAAGCTGTGTTCCTTTCTGGAGGCTCTAGGGGACAATCTCATTCAGTTTGTTGGCAGAAATGAATTTACTGTGGGTGCAAGAAGAAGGTCCTCAAATTCTTATTGACTGTCAGCTGACAGACATTCCCAGCTTCTTAGAGCCTGTCACACTGCTTGGCTCATGGTCCCCACTTGCATCTTCAAAGCTAGAAATGAAGGATGAAGTACTTCTCATAGTGAGTCTTTTTAACCCACCCTTCTGCCTTTCCCTTCCTCTCTTGAGGACTCAAGTCACTAGACTGGCCCCTCTGCCCCCAGATAATCCAGGATGATCCCCCCCATCTCTAGATCTATACCGTTAATCACACTGCAAACTCTCCTTTGCCATGTTTAAGGTAACATAGTCACAGGTTTGGTGGGTTAGGGGTAGACGTTGTTGTGTGTGTGTGTGTGTGGGCAGGCTTTTATTGAAAGCCCTATAGTTTCCCCATTGAGTTGTTTTAGAACATTTGTGAAAAGTAAATTTTCCATAAAGGCAGGAATTTGTTTCTGGACTCAATTATTTTCCATTGATGTGCATGCGTCTAAGCTTGTGCCAGCACCACGTTGTCTTGATTACTGTGGCTTTAACAAAATTTTTGAAATCAAGTAGTTCTTTGTTTTTAACAGTATTTTGTTTTTAACAGGTTGTCGGAATATGCAGATAAGTTTTAGCATCAGCTTATGAATTTTTGCAAAAAAAAGCCTGCTGGGCTTTTGAATTGTGTTGAATTTCTAAACTAATTTGGAGAGAATTTCCATCTTGAGTCTTCTAATCCATCAATATGAAATGTCTATTTATGTACATATTTAATTTCTCTCAGCAACATTTTGTAGTTTTCAATAGATGTCATCTTCTTTTGTTAATTTCCAAAAAGTTTACATTTTCATATGTGTGAATGAAATTTTCTTCATTTAATTTTTGTGTTTTTGTATTTCTAGTATATAAAAATGCAATTGATTTTTATATATTGATCTTGTATCCCAAGGCCTTCCTAAACTCATTGATGAGTTCTAGATTTTTTTAATGGATTTTTTGGGATTCTCTCCATATAGAATCATTTTCTTTTTAAATAAAGACAGTTTTACTCCTTTATTTCCACTTTGGATACATTTAATTAGTTGATTGATTGATTGGTTGGTTGTTTTCTTGGAATGGCTAGAAAATCCAGTATAATTGTGAATACAAATAATAAAAGTAGACATCTTTCTACTGTTCTTAAGGGGGGATTTTCAGTCTTTTGCCATTAGATATGATGTTACCTGTAGTGTTTTCCTAAATTCTTTTTGTCAGTTTAAAAAGCGTTTGTTCTATTTCCAGTTTTTTAAGATTTTTTTTTTAAATCATAAATAGGTCTTACATGCCGTCCAATTATTTTCCTACATCTGTTGAGATAATCACGGAGTATTTTAGTCCTTTATAAATTGAATGTGATTGGTATATTACATTAAATTGGTTTTTGGATGTCAAATGAACCCAGCATTCTTGGATAAACCCCATCGGGTCATAGTATATAATCATTTTTATATTTTGCTGGATTCACTTTTTTAATACTTTGTTAAGGAATTTTGCAACCATGTTAATGAGAGATACTGGTCTGTGATGTTTTTCCTCTTGTGATATCTTTGGCTTTGCTATCAGGGTACTACTAGCCTTGTAAAATGATTTGGGATTGTTCCTTAGTCCACTATCTTCTGAAACATCAACAGTAAGTGATGAACTGCCATGATTTCTTCTGTGACTATTTGATAGAACTTACCATAGAGGCCAGTTGGGCCTAGGCTTTTCTTTGTGGGAAGATTTCGAATCCCCTAGTTCAGTTTCTGTGCTTGCCATGGATGTATTCAGATTTTCTATTTCTTCTTGACTGAGTTTCAGTAATGTGTGATGCTTAGGAATGTGCCTGTTTCGTCCACGTTGTCTAACGTTTCACGACAGGACTGTTCAGAACATCCGCTGTCTCTCCTTTAGTGTGACAAGGCTTTCTTCCTCTGCCAACCGTCTGTGTGCGGGTAAGCGGCGCAGCCGCAGTCCGGGGCGTTTTCACGTGTGCGCTGGATTTCCGTTTCCTCAACGCTCGCATCTCTCGGGCACGCCGCGCCCTTCGGGGCGGAGTCTCGGCCTGCACCCTCCCTCGCATGCGCCGTGTCTGCAGGCGGCAACCGCTTACCAGGGTCAACCTCAGGCGAGTAGAGCAGCGGGAGGCACATGGCAGCCACGGTTCGAAGCCAGGACGGTTCGAAGCCAGCCGTTTGCCAGCTTTTGTATGACCTGTGAGCTAAAAACTACTTTCCATTTAAAAACAAATGTTAAAAAAAAGTGGAAGAAAAAGCAGGAGGAGGAGGCAGAGAGGAAATAGAGCCTGTTTGTAGCCCACAAAACACAACATGTTCACTCCTGCCCGTCCCTACAGAGCTTTCCCACGGGACCGCTGTGGGCCTCCCAGTCCCTCCTGCCGCCCCGCGGGCCCTGGCGCTGCCGTCTCCCCAAAGCCACAGAGGCCCTTCCAGCAGCAGAAAACCCTCTACAGTTCGTCCCACCCTGGACAAGGTGGGCAGCCCAGGCCAGAGTGACATAGTTCCCACGTTTTTCCCAGAAGTTCGACAGTTTTTAAGCATCCGTGCCTCTCAAATTTGTGTTAAGCCTTTGCTCAATTTCTACAGTATGGAAATGGATGATTTTGTTCATTTTTTTTCAGCTTTGTGCTTGCCTATTTGGAAGACAATTTCCTGATCTCATTTAGCAATAGCTAAAAGTGCTATCTCTTTTTTTCACAAATCTTTTTTAAGTAAACTGCATACAATACTGAAAATAAAAATAAAATACGAATCCATCATGACAATACCTCCTTGGTGATTTATTAAGCAGAACAACTTGGCACATAGAAATTTGAAAATTTAAGAGCTAACAAGGCAAGAATGTTACAATTTTATTTATTTTCAGGATTTAAAAAGGTCATGGGATTGCAAAGCTGCCAAGTGGCTGACTGGGGCCGCAGTACATTACAGAGGTATAGACAGATCATTCCGTGGATGGACTGAAACTGGAGACTGAGTAATTGGTGGCAACTTTTCCAAAGGATCATGTTTTTTTCTAAATGTGAAATCTGCAGCCCAAGCATCTTTTCTGGTGGGGAATAAATCAGTCAACCACAGATACTGAATACCTCATTAGCACCACAGTTACGAAAATGAAGAAACCCCGATACGGTTCATTTATCTATCCTGTCACAATAACCAAATTTCCTCAAAGTTAACATCACTGCTGCTTTCACTGACACCTCACGTAGGAGTCAGGAAACCCGCAAGCAGATCTCTGAGTCCCCAAGGCAGGCAAAGTGAAGGCGTGATCCCTGGAGCTGATCTCGTGTCACTCCATTTCCCCATGACTCATACTTTTAAGTCACATTGGCTTGTTTGTGACTCTGCTACAGTAACCTGCCTGCGTATTCCCTTTGAAATAAGGAAAATTATGTGCTTAAAATGGGCCTCTTCTATTTTCACACAGAAGTCTTTTCCCCTGCCTCTCTTCATTCCTTATTTCTTAACTTATCACAAAGCTCCTCTCGCCTTAGAACCTGCAATATTAATATCCTCCTGTAAGGAAATAAACTGAACCCACCCACAAGGTGAAAGTGCTTTGTGAAACTGTCAAAATTCTGTTCATGTCATTGGCCCAAGTGTAGGTGAGAGAATATGACCATAGAGGGCCTGGACACACAGGGACCTGAGGCAGAGCAGGGCTTCGGAGCCACGTGGAGGATGGAGAATGAAGACACCAAGTTTCCAATAGAGAATTACCAGCGGTCACCTGCACTCATGTTTACACAGCAATGTGCGGAAATGCAGAAGAAAAGATCTCCTCAACTACAAATTTGACTTCACTAATTTCCCTTACCAATATATAGCCAGCTACACATTGTTGTTAAATTAAAACACTTTAAAAAGTCAAATGGTCGGGCGCAGTGCCAAGGGGCTTCACTTTGGGAGGCCGAGGCAGGCGGAGGTCAGGAGATTGAGACCATCCTGGCTAACACGGTGAAACCCCGACTCTACTAAAAATATAAAATATTAGCCGGGTGTGGTGGCAGGTGCCTGTAGTCCCAGCTACTCGTGAGGCTGAGGCAGGAGAATGGCGTGAACCCGGGAGGCGGAGATTGCAGTGAGCTGAGATTGTGCCAGTGCACTCCAGCCTGGGCAACAGAGCAAGACTCCGTCTCAAAACAAACAAACAAACAAACAAAAAGTCAAATCGACTTTTGTTAGATTTTCTTCCAATCTACCTGTTCTGATTCTCTTTTATTAAGCAGACTCTTAGCTATTTGATATGTTCTGCATGGAAGACACAACCTGAATATTTCTGTATGTTTCTCTTCAACTTCTGATTTTGCAATATTCTTTCCTTAGGGACTTCTTGAAGAGAGCTCACAGGGAAAATTACTACCCCCAGGACTCCATCAGATTTTCATGTCAGTTAGGAACTTTGGCAGTAGTTTTAACAGTTCCTCGTTGTGAATATGATCACTTTGTTAGAACAACTCCTTCCTGCTTCCTCCAATGCTTTAGAAACTCTTCCTTCGTGTTATATTCAATAGGAAAATGAGCAACAGTTCAGCTGTTACGCATACAGTGATCTTTATCATTCTTATTCATAAGTAAAGCAAAAACTGTTAAGATGAGTAGACATATAATAACCAAAGAAAACTTACATATACAACAAAACAATAATATTTTTAAAATGGGGTGTAAAAGAAATATTTTCTTTGCAAAAGTGACCCCTTAGTATAGTGATTAGTAAATTATCACTTCTTCCAGCTCACAAAAAATAATCCCAACTTCCAGCTGAAATAAAAATCGCATTTATTTTGCTAATCTACATAAAAATCGTTTAAATTTGTTTCAGTGAAATAAGACTAGAAACAAAATTGTGGGATGTATTTTTATGGAATTTTGCAAACTTAAATGCAAAGAAGTCACAAATCTAAATATTATAGAGTTTGATCTATTATGAGTTTGTAACAAAAATAAGATATATAGTGTTCTTTTTTATATTTTAGCAATTTTAAAATGTAATACGATCTTCATTGTATCATGATTTAGTAACTTTGCCTAACTTGTTTAAACGTAACTGAAAACTGAGAAAGAGGGTTTTTTTAAATCAAATGTTTGGATGAATATTTGAGTATAGTATGAAAATCTCATACAAATAAATAAGATTTTCAGACAAGGTTACCTTTTTCTTTTTCTTTCTTTTTTTTCTTTACAGATAGAGTCTTTTTAAAATTATTATTATACTTTAAGTTCTGGGATACATGTGGAAGGTGCAGGTTTGTTACATAGATATATACACGTGCCATGGTGGTTTGATACACCCATCAACCCGTCATCTACATTAGGTATTTCTCCTAATGCTCTCCCTCCCCTAACCCCCCAACCCCCAATAGGCCCCAATGTATGATGTTCCCCTCCCTGTGTCCACGTGTTCTCATTGTTCAGCTCCCACTTATGAGTGTGAACAAGCGGTGTTTGATTTTCTGTTCCTGTGTTAGTTTGCTGAGAATGATGGTTTCCAGCTTCATCCATGTCCCTGCAAAGGACATGAACTCATCCTTTTTTATAGCTGCATAGTATTCCATGGTGTATACGTGCCACATTTTCTTTATCCAGTCTATCATTGATGGGCATTTGGGTTGGTTCCAAGTCTTTGCTATTGTGAATAGTGCTGCAGTAAACGTATGTGTTCATGTGTCTTTATAGTAGAATTATTTATTTATTTATTTATTTATTTATTTATTTATTTATTTTTGAGACAGAGTCTTGCTCTGTCACCCAGGCTGGATGGAGTGCAGTGGCGCGATCTCAGCTCACTGCGAGCTCTGCCTCCTGTGTTCATGCTATTCTCCTGCCTCAGCCTCCAGAGTAGCTGGGACTACAGGTGCCAGCCACCACACCTGGCTCACTTTTTGTATTTTTAGTAGAGACGGGGTTTCACCATGTTAACCAGGCTGGTCTTGATCTTCTGACCTCGTGATCCGCCCACCTCGCCCTCCCAAAGTGCTGGAATTACAGGCGTGAACCACCGCCCCCGACCAGTAGAATGATTTATAATCCTTTGGGTATATACCCAGTAATGGGATGGCTGTGTCAAATGGTATTTCTGGTTTTAGATCCTTGAGGAATCACCACACTGTCTTCCACAATGGTTGAACTGATTTACACTCCCACCAACAGTGTAAAAGCATTCCTATTTTTCCACATCCTCTCCAGCATCGGTTGTTTCCTGACTTTTTAATGATCGCCATTCTAACTGGTGTGAGATGGTATCTCATTGTGGCTTTCATTTGCATTAGAGATAGAGTCTTGCTCTGTCACTCAGGCTGGAGGGCAATGGCATGATCATAGCTCACTGCAGCTACGAACTCTTGGACTCAAGTTATCCTCTCGCCTCAACCTCTTCTGTAGCTGGGACTACAGGCGTGTGCCACCATGCCCGGCTAATTTTTTAAATTTTTTTGTAGAGGTGGGATCTCACTATGTTGTCCAGGCTGGTCTTGAATTCCTGGCCTCAAGCAGTCCTCTCACCTGGGCCTCCCAAAGTGCTAGGATTACAGTCATGAGCCACAATTACCAGTCTAAGCTTACCTTTTTCAAGAACAATTCAGAAACCTTAAATGTAGATAATACAGTGTTTTTGAATAGGTCTGTAAAAAGAGAGCTTTGTTTAAGATAAAATAAAAATGCACACATATCTTTAAAAATAGCCTTTATTCCCATATTCTTTGCAAGAGTAAATATCTTCCTTTTTCTTTTCTTTTTTCTTTTTTTCTTTTTTTTTTTTCTGTACAGTGTCTCAGTCTGCCACCCAGGCTGGAGTGCAATAGTGCACTCATGGCTCACTGTAGCCTCAAACTCCTGGGATCAAGTGATCGTCCTGCCTCAGCCTCTCAAGTAGCTGGGAATAGAGGTGTATGCCACCATGTCCAGCTGTTTTTTTTTTTTTTTTTTTTTTTTTTGTCAAGATGAGGGTCTTTCTGTGTTGCCCAGGCTGGTCTTGAACTCCTGGCCTCAGGTGACCCTCCTACCCTGGCCTCCCAAAGTGCTGGGATTATAAGCGTGAGCCAGTGTGCCCAGCCTCTTTCCCGTATTGTTTACCAGATGAAACCTACAGCTTAGTCTTTCTAATCTTGACACTTCTCCCTCATTAAACCTGTAATCATTTGATGTAAGTCTTTCCAGCCAAGAGGAAAGGTGAGCAGATGCTTCTATAGAACTCAGTGCTGCAGCCAGTGGGAGTGTTCAGACCAAAAGCAAGAGCCACTCTGCCGTTCTTCCACCTGTTGTGTCTGCTTTTTTCAACATCAGGCCTGTCTTGCTGCCAGCCCCAGTGAAAATCCAGCTGACTCTCAACTTTATCATCATTGGCCATCTTGAGTCATCAATTGGTTTACTGTAGCTGATATGCCTACACTTCCTTCATTTGAACCCAGGTTGAATCATAAATATTTCATTTACTTTAAAGGATTCCAAAGTGTGTGTATAATATCAGATTTTAATTTTTTCCCCACTGCAAGGTGTTAGAGCAGAAATATTATAATACTGAATTAGAGTTCTGAGAAAGCACGGTTCTGGCTGATGCAATGCAGAAACCCAGCTTTTGTTGCAATTTTTCTGGCTTGGTCAAATTACTCACTTGATGTTCTTGGGCAAACTATTTAAAGCATCTCCTTATGATTCTTCAACTGAAAAATGGGGATACTGTAAAATATAAACTGAAAACATGAGGGTATTAGAGGCCCCACAAACACACACACACACACACACACACACACACACACAAAGAGTTCAGCATGTGTCATTATAACAGGAACTTTTTTGAAGAACTTAATTTCTTTGAGACTTAATTCATAACACTGGAACATATAACCTATGCTAGAGATTTCTGTCTTTTCATTTTAGAACTATTCACTTTATGAAATTTCCATAGAGCTCCCAATGTAAATACATTTCCTCTCTCTCTATGGGACAGTCACTATAGAATTATTTCAAATATTTTATGTTTAAGTTAAGTTAACCTTTGTTAAAATGGAAAAGAATGGGAGTGAGCCCCTTTAGTAAGACAAGCTCTTTAGTGCAGATATGGTATCTGGCATAAAGCCAAACCTTCAGGTGCAAGCCTCCTAGGGTGTTCTTAATTGAGCAGCCCTTGCTTAAGAGGTGTGTGTTACCACAGGCTCAGGAGAAGCACAGAAGTTACAGATAAATAAAGATCTTGGAGCTAAATTTATAAAAAGAACCTTAGGGAACTGTATCATCAACCCCCATTGTTTCAGAATGTTGGAGTAAGTTCATAAATCTCACTAATGGAAGCACAAATATTCCTGAACCGTTGCCTACCTTTTATCAATCTGACCATTTTAGGGAAAGATTTTTCACTAAACTAGAGTGGCGGTGCCCACCTTGAAAGGGAAGAGGCCGAGTTGCTTTCCATTTATTGTTCAGACCCCAGGGGAGTGGGGAGGGAGTGGGGGATGCATCCCAGAGGCAGTGAGTGGGGACCTGGGAGGGGACTATTGGGGAACTACTGAGGACAGGGCGAGTGATTGCTGAACCTCTGTGATGAGACACGAAATCTACATTTACTTTGCCTTTAGCCAGCCTCTCCTCCATAAGAACCATACATTCAGTGGTTTTAAGACGAATTGTGAGAGATTATTTCCAAGTTTCTGAAGACCAGTGAAATCTTGGGTGGCTACTACAGGACTCCACCAAGCCTTGAACCTGGGGCTGCAATGCAAAAAGAGTTCATAAAATGCAGCAGCAATGTAAACTCAAAAATAGTATGAGGAGAAAAGAAAACAGTACTCTTAAGGATGTTTTTCTTTTAATATTGTTGTTTGGTATTTCTAAGTATACTTTTCTTTACTGGTGTTGATTTGATTGACTTATTTCCTTTGCGTTAACAAAAGGGTGCTTGTCCAGACTGGTGCCTGAGTCCTCTCTTCCCAAGGGCATACCCCCATGGGAAAGCAGCTTTGTGCAGAATAAGCCACCATGTGACCTGCACTGCCACCTACTGGTATTTATCTCAAACTGCAGCTCAGGCTAACAGACCTGGGTTTGTATAATATGATTAGCCTGGGAATTACAAAATATTTGCAAACTCTGCATCCAACAAAGGTCTAATATCCAGAATTATAAGAAACTCAAACAAATCAACAAGCGAAGGGTGAACGACCCCATTAAAAATGGGCAAAGGACATGAGCAGACATTTCTTGAAAGAAGATATACACGTGGGCAACAAACATGAAAAAATGCTCAACATCATTATCATCAGAGAAATGCAAATCAAAACCTCAGTGAGATACCATATCATATCAGAGGAATGGCTATTATTAAAAGGTAAAAAAACAACAGATGCTGGTCAGGCTACGGAGAAAAGGGGACGCTTATACACTGCTGGTGGGAATGTAAATTAGCTCAGCCATTGTGGAAAGCCGTTTGAAGATTTCTCAAAAAACTTAAAACAGAATTAGCATTTGACCCAGCAAACCCATTACTGTGTGTATATCCAAAGGAAAATAGATTATTGTACCAAAAAGATATATGCACGCGTATGTTCATTGCAGCACTGTTCACGATAGCAAAGACATGAAATCAACCTAAGGTGACCATCAGTGGTGGACTGGTTAAAGCAAATGTGGTACATATACACTATGGAACACTATGCAGCCATAAAAAGGGTAAAATTATGTCCTTCACAGCAACATGGATGTAGCTGGAATCCGTAATCCTAATTGAATTAATGCAGAAACAGAAAACCAAATACATCATGTTCTCACTTACCAGTGGGAACTAAACATTAACCACATATGGACATAAACATGGGAAAAATGGAGACACTGCAGACTACTAGAGGTGGTAGGGAGAGAGCAGGCAAGGGCTGAAAAACCGCCTATTGGGTACTATGCTCACCACCTGGGTGTAATATACTCATGTAACAAATCTGCACATGTAGTCCCTGTGTCTAAAGTAAAAGTTATTTTTTTTAAATGCAAAAATAGCAGACCATACCCAGAGTGAGTAAGAATTTTGGAGATGTTCTAGCCATTGGTTCAATCCCTTAATTTTACTTCTGGCACACTGAGAGCAGAGAAGAAAGATACACCATGCACATGGTCCAAAGAGAAACAAAGCCTGCCATTAGGTAAAGCTGGAAGGACAGGTTTTTTAATCCATAACGTACCATCGTAGTAGGAAAAAGTCCAGCATGAATTGAACTCAAGTTTTATTTGTGCAGAGGAGACTGGGCATTTTAAAGCAAGAGCGAGAGAAGAGAGCATGGGTGACGGGGGATCAGTCTGGTCAGAGAAGTGGAAAATTACAAAAAGCAGGAAATCGGGGATTGGTCCGTGTGAAACCCACATTGTTTTGTTAACTGGAGCTTGTCAAGATGAGGCCCTTACCCTCCCACAGAGGCTAGGAGATGGGAGCCCTCTCTCCAGGGGTTGGCTGGAGCAAACAGTAGACTCCTTGGGCAGCCTGCAGTGTCCTCAGGCAGGCACTGAAGCCGAGCCGGGGTCGGGGTCGTCCCTGGGGATGCAGCTTTCAACTGTGAGAAACGAACTTAGTGTTTGGAGGCCACTACAAACATGTCTGTATAGACCGAGGCCAAGGCCAGGGTAAGAATGGGCTCAGAGAAGCCTGGCTAAATTTCAAAGACAGAATCTTTGTCAACATTTATTAAAGCGAATGTGCACCTTTTGAATAAGACAGTCTGTCTTTTCACTTAACAAAAAAGTTTTGAATTCTAGACATTATACTGTATGAGAACCTCAGAAATATTTTGATTCTACCCTTTAGTAATCCATAATTATAGAAAACAAATTACTCAGGCAGACATGTTAGATATAGTCTCATCGATAGTAACCCTGAAAAGAAATATTAATTTATTCTAGAGGTTCAATAATACGTTTGAATTCCAGCCTCAAAAAAAAAAAAAAAACCATTGCAAAGGAAGATCCACATCTATATGAAAGCAGTAGTAATCTGAGAGTCAAGCATTGAATTTGCAAGTCAGGCAGAGATGACTTGCCTAGTAAATTTACAGAAAAAGAAAACCATAAGTAGCAGAATTGTTGAACGTAACTTCTGAAGAAATACTGTAAACGGCAGGAACTCCTGTGAAGTGGCTGGGGATGACCAGCTCTGTCTGTTGACAGGGGCTTACCAACAGGTGTACTGGGTATACTAGGAGGTTCTTAGAGAAGCAGCAACACATATTCACATACTAATATTGTTACTCAAAATCTGTAACTTTATTTCAGATGATTTACATCTAAGTGGTAAGAAAAAATAGCTTTAGGGTGGGAGGGATGCATGTTTTATGGTTTAATAATACAATTCTAGAAGTTTCACTTGTAGATTCTACTGCAGAACTTGCCTCTGGTACCTGATTTGTCAGTGTTATATGCTATCGGTATACTGAATCTACTGAGTTTATTACCTCTATCTTACTTTATACAGAAGGAAGGAAGGGAGGAAGAGAAGAGGGTGGGAAGGAGAGAGGGATAAAGGAAGGAAGGGAGGAAGAAGAGAAGGAAGGGAGAGAAGGGTAGGGGAGGGCAGAGGAGAGGAGGGGAGGAGAGGGGAGGAGAGCAGAGGGGAGGGGAGGAGGAGAGGGGAGGGGAGGAGAGGAGAAGGGAGGGGAGGAAGGGGGGGAGAGGGGAGGGGAGGAGAGGAGAGGAGGAGAGGAGAGGGGAGGGGAGGAGAGGAGAGGGGAGGGAAGGAGAGGAGAGGGGAGGAGAGGAGAGGAGAGGAGGAGAGGAGAGGGGAGGGGAGGAGAGGAGAGGGGAGGAGAGGAGAGGAGAGGGGAGGGGAGGAGAGGAGAGGAAAGGGAAAGAAAAGCACATTCTTTTCATTCCTGAATTTGTCAGTCTTTGCCCATCAAATTAACAGGTTACAGTACTATAAATAAAATTCCTTGATTCCATCCTTGCTTTAGACTAAAGTTGTATTATCATTGATGACTCCAATAGGAACACTTTATTACTAAGAAGCAAGAATAGCGCCTCTGCTTATGATTTTGAATTAACTCATTAGATACCCACATTTGCCCCATACTATGCACTTAGACACACTGATTCTACAATCAAAATCTTTCTCTATTGCTCCGATAATAAGCTACAAAACTCTGAAAACAGTGTGATATATTTTAGGCCTCTAAGCTGAAGCGTATACATCTAAAAGCTGACATATCTAGCTGAATGATTTATACATTCACTTTTCAGACTGGCTTTATGCCCAAGCAAGAGAGGGCCTGGATATGCCCAATGCCATGTGCAAAGCACTCATTTTAAACTAGCAAGTCATTATGAAGCATGTATATTTCTATTTCTCACTGTTCCAGCACTTTGTGTGGAAGGTTACCACAAAGATAGATCACATCAGAGAGTTTTAAGAAAGTATTTGGGGCCATTTAAAGTCAATGGCACGCTGCAGAATTATATGAGTTCCTGTGGGAGCCTGCTCTTCAGCAGCGAAGTTTGTGGTTTTTGCTAATTCTGGAAATAAATGGATGGCTCCTTTGGCATTTTTAGACATTCCCATCACATGAGGCAAGAACAGTTCAAATAGGACTTAACTAACAAGAAGAATAAGGAACAGCTAATTCTCCCTTTCTCCATAATTGTCCAGGAGAAACATGCTCTTTTCTATCTTTGAATTCAACTCACTGAACTCATAAATCATCAGAGCCGTCCCTAAATTGAAGAGTAAGCAAATTTCAAATGGTTGCTTTGCCAAAATTGTTCCATGCTGAGTGTGGCATCAAGAGCTTCAAAGTTCCCCTCTTTCTCCTCAAGTATTTAGCTGTAGGCACACCAGAAGACCTTGGCATGGTTTGCTGGCAGCCATACCAATGACAGCAAGACGGTAATTTTGTGGAAGGAACTGACTCTGTAACAGAAGAGCACACACATTGTTTAGTCCAAAAGGGAGCAGGTGGGAGCAGAGCACCCCAGGAAGTCTGTCTCCTTAATGGCAGGGAGTCGAGCTCCATAGTTGATAGACGCTGGTCAAGAGGCAGAAACAGGCAAAGGCAGGAAAGACGCACATGCATAGGCTAAAATCTCGCTAGGGTGTGCTGAGTGTGGGTGCGTGGCATTCTCGGAAAACAAAAGCAATACATATCTCCTCATCCCTTTTCCTTATTTGTGAGAAATCCTTACTCTGAGGAAGCAAATAGTGATGAGTTAATACTGGAAAACCGGGCAGCACACTTGGCAAATTATTATCACTTCCTTTGGTGTTCATGGTAATAACATTAATCATTAGAAATTCCTGCAGCGTGACATTATTTCCTCCTCTTTGATCTCAGAAGGAAATCTCAAGCAAACTGTCATTTGCCAAACGGACCAGTGAAGAGATTTTTTTTTTCTCTTCGTGGTTGTAAGTGATTTTAAAATGAAGACCCATTGTCAAATCTATGAAGAAAAAGTGAGGCATAGTCCAGGTTTGACTGGACTGGATTAAACCTAGATTCATGCCCTAATATTAGCGAAAGCAAACCATCATTCACATTTAGGTGTCAGTTCTGTCAAACAACAGTATATTGCACACAAATAACTTAGAATGTCTTTCAGCAGCTGACACATACAATCTTTCTTTTGTTTAACCATGGTTATAACTTTGTTTAAGTGCTCATTGCATTATTTTCCATATTATATTTACTATTAAGTCCAACAATATTCCTCTTTTTTCACTCCATATAATGTGCTCATAATAATAGGAGACAAAGCTGGAGGCATTAAAACTAGTTCACAGTGTTAGACAGTTTAAAGAATGCTAGTTTGAGAGTTAAAGACTAAAGCAGGAACTTGTAAAGTGACAGTTCCATGTCATGGTCTGTTTATTCAAATTAGCTCAATTTTAAGCATAGAGAATGTTGAGGTTTAAACTATCTTATTCTTTCAAAAGTGAATGCCTTTATCTTTCTTACACAGACTTCATAAATTTCATGATACCTTCACATAGAAAATACTTAGCCCAGTTTGATTATTGTTACTTTTCTTTAACAGCCGACTGCTACTGGGTCCTATAAATGCAGAGTGAAATGTTCTTATTATCATCTGGCTGTAATGTTGACTAAAGCACTTACATTTATATCATCTTCTGTGTTGATAGCACCTGTTGTCATTGTCAACAGAGAGGTATATATTGTTTACATTGATTTGGATTTTGTTTCTTTGTTTTTCATTTGTTAAGTAGCAAATCACTGACCGTTATGTTGCTTGGACACCCGCTTTTTTTTTATTTTTAGTGTCAAAGGATTTGGCTTTAGTTTTCAGACTTTACTCTGCTTCAATAAAGCATTTAATGACTATGTAAAATATGGACTAAAATATTGTACATTCATGGAGGTTTAACCACTGGATATTTATGCCTGTATTACCCTGATACAAATATTCAGCTGTATCTGAATAGTTAAAATGTCTTTTAGAATACCACGTGGGTTAGACAGAAGTTCACTATCAATAATTTAGAATATATGTAATCTTACATGCTGCCAAGAAGGAAGTAAAAATAAGTACATAATCTTTGAGAGGTCAGGATTCATTTTTTCTGTCGTGTATTCATTCATTAAAATGATCGAATATTCAATGTTACTCTCAGTATTGAAATTGGGAGCAAATGTAGTCCTTGCTTTCATGGAGCTTATAGTCTCTGGAGGTGATAGACTTTAACTAATTAATAACACTCAGATAATACAAATATGGCTTGTCCTGTGAAGAAAAACTCGAGGGAGTAGTGAGAGTGCAATGGAGTAGATTGAAGGCAGCAAAACTCTTCTGTGAAGAGGAGCAGTTTAGGTGGGAGCTGATGATGAGATCGCCATGATTAAATGGATTAGGCTTATGTTGATCCACAGCAAGAGAAACAGTGTTCCAGGCCAAGGAGCAAATCCTCACATGCACTGCGAGGAAGAGGAACACAAAGACATGGCTGGAGAGTGGGGATACTGATAGAAACATCGACTCTGACTTTAGTTTTTAGAACAGTTTTAGGTTCATAAAAAAATTAGGAAGATGGTACAGATAGTTCCCATACACCCAAGCCAGTTCCCACTATCATTAACAGCTTATATTAGCATGGTACCTTTGCATAATTAATGAACTAATATTATAAATATCTTATGAACTGAAGCCCATAGCTTATTCAGACTTCCTTAGGTTTTTTTTGTTTTTAACTTAGTCGCACTCAGTTCCCCAGGCTGGAGTGCAGTGGCATGATCTTGGCTCACTGCAACCTCCACCTCCCAGGTTCAAGAGATTCTCCTGCCTCAGCCTCCTGAGTAACTGGGATTACAGGCATGCACCACTACACCTGGCTAATTTTTGTATTTTTAGCAGAGAAGGGGTTTCACCATGTTGGCCAGGCTGGTCTCGAACTCCTGACCTCAGGTGATCCACCAGCCTTGGCCTCCCACAGTGCTGGGATTACAGGAGTGAGCCACTGTGCCTGGCCCAGACTTCCTTAGTTTCTACCCAACATCAGCTTTAGGTTCCGGAATCCTATGGGACACCATGTTACATTTAGTGGCCGTGACTCCTCAGGCTCCTCTTGGCTGTCATAGTTTCTCAGACTTCCTGTGTTTTTGATGACCCCAACAATTTTGAGAAGTCCTCTTTTGTAGGTTGCCCTCTGTTGGAAATTTTCTGACTTTTTTTCCCCTCATGATTAGACTAGATTTGTGTCTTTTGTAGAGGAAAATCACAAAGCTAAGCCGCCATTTTCATTGCATCATATCGTGGGCAAGCACTGTCAGCATGATTTGTGACTGTTGGTTCTGACTTCGACTTGAATCACCTGGCTGAGGTCGTGTTTTCTTCCCTGTAAAGTGGCTCCTCCGCTGCCTCGCCCTGCACTTTCCAGAATCTACCCCTTGGAAGGGAGTCTGTATGTGTAGCTCACACTTAGGGATTAGGAGTTATGCTCCAATCCCTCAAGGCTGGAGTAGCTTCCTTAAAGGCAAAACAGTGGCATAAGTTATTAGAAATGATTTGGCAGGGGATTTGATTTGACTCCCCGATTTATTCATTTATTCAATCATTCTTTATATCAGTGTAGACTCGTGGATTTTTTTTTTTTTTTTTGAGACAGGGTCTTGCTCTGTTGCCAGGCTGTAGTGCAGTGGTGCTATCTGGGCTCACTGCAACTTCTGTCTCTTGGGTTCAAGCGATTCTCCTGCCTCAGCCTCCTGAGTAGCTGGGATTACAGGCACGCGCCGCCACGCCCAGCTTATTTTTGTATTTTAGTAGAAATGGGGTTTCACCATGTTGGCCAAGATGGTGTCGATCTCCTGACCTTGTAATCCACCCATCTTGGCCTTCCAAAGTGGTGGGATTACAGGTGTGAGCCACTGCACCAGGCCATGGATATTTCTTTTATAGTTTGGATTATAATCCAACACGACTTATTTTGTGGCTCAAATCGTTCCAGCTTTGGCCATTGGGAGCGCTTTCAGTTGGCTTTGTGCCCCCTTCACACACCCTCATGATGTGAGGTTTTCTGTGGGGAGGAGGGTGCACGCCCTGCTTTCTGTGACTACTGGATGCTCCAGGCTCATCCTGTATACACCTGGCCTTGGTGTTAGTATCAGCCCTCTCTACAAGAAGACTTGGTTTGTTTTATTGGAGGAGGTAGTCAATGCAAGATCTAGGTGTGTTCATTGATACGAGGGTGCCATTTGTTTTAGATCTTCTCAGCTGATAGAGCAAAGAAATAGATGTGTGTATCCTAACGCATGTATATACATACATCTATAAATATTTCCATAGGTGGCCATCTGTATCTATATTAAGCTAAATGTGAGCTTATACTGATGTCTCCAATTCAAATATGCTAACAAAGGCATCATTCTAGCCTCCTTCTCTTATCTGTAAATTCTAACCAAAAAATAACCTGGCTTTTCCAACCCACCTTCATTTATATACCTATTCATGTTTAGCTTTGTATGAGTTTGCCAAACTCTAAAGTGGCTGTATCTTTTTTGTTCCCACCAAAAATGAATGAGAGCTCCCTTTGCTCTGTATCCTCATAAGCATTGGTCACGTGAGTTGCTTATATTTCAGCCATTCGAATAGTTGTATAAAGGTGTCATATCACTGAACAGCTACATAAACGATGGTGGGTGAGAGAAGCCAGGTTCTTACAGTTAGACTGAGAATTTACAGAGAAGTAAGGGGAGGGCTAAGAATCGTGAAGCTGTATTCCCATGGGAGACAACTTTGCCAGCTACAGTACAGTGCTTACGTGCAGTTGCTGTTCTTTAATTTTTAGAAACTTTGCTCAATTCCAAAGTTATTTAGGTCAGCCCCTTTCTCCTGACCCTATTCAGTGAGGTAATTTGATATATTTATGATACAGTCGCATTCCTCTGTCATATTCTGCATATCTTTCTGGGATTCCCAGCCTCCTATTTTTTAAATTGTGCATACCTTAAGGCTCACTCTTGATGCTGTGAAGTTTGATGAGTTTTCAGAGATGCATAATGTCGTGCATCCACCATTACAGCATCACACAGGATGGTTTCACCATCGCCCCAAGCCCAGTGCTTGATCCCCTCTGACTTCACTTCCTAGCAATCAGGATTTGTGTTTTCATAGATGGCAGGTTTTCATTTTACAAGTCATATAATTGGATCATATCATATGTAGCCTCTCACACTGGCTTTTTTCACTTACCAACGTGCATTTCAGTTTCCTCCTTGTCTTTGTGACTTGATTGCACTTTTTTTTAACCACTGAATAATATTCCATTATATGGATCTACTAGCTTATGCATTCACCTATAGAAGGACTTCTTGGTTCCTTTCAATTTTGGCAATTATATATAAAGCTGCTTAAACATTCATACATGTTTTTGTGTAGATATAAGTTTTCAAATCAAATATGGATGAGATTACTGGATTGTATAGTAAGATTATGTTTAGTTTTGTAAGAGTTTGCCAAGTTGTCTTCTAAAGCTGCTATACCATTTTTCATTCCCACAAAAAATGAGAGTTCCTGTTGGTCTGTATCCTCATAGGAATTTGGTAATGTGAGTTTCTTTGATTTTAACCATTCTAATGAGTGTATAATGGTATCAGCATGCTGTTTTCAATCAAATTTCCCTGATGACGCGCGACACTGAGCATCTCCTCACATGCTCGTTTGCTGTCTCTGTATCTTTGACAGCCTGGTCTTTTTCCAGTTCTTTTGCCCAGTTTTGAATTGTGTTGTTTTCTTACTGTTGAGTTTTAAGAGTTTCTTAGAGTTCTTTGTAGATTTTGAATATAAGTCCTCTATCAAATATCTGTTTTGCAAATATATTCTCCTATTCTGTGGCTTGTCTTTTCATTCTCTTGATAGTGTCTTTTGTGGAGAAGTTTTAAATTTTAATAAAACTGACATTTTTATTCTTTCACTGATTATGTCTTTTGATGTTATATCTAAAAATCCATTGCCAAACTCAAAATCACATTAATTTTTCTCCTCTTGTTTATTCCAGAAGTTTTATAATATTTTGGTTTATATTTAGGTTGAAGATCTGTTTTGAGTCAGTTTTTGTGAAAAGTGTAAGTTCAATATATTTACTTTTTATATTTGCATATGCATGTCCAATTATTCCAGTACCATTTGTTGAAAAGACTATTTTTTCTGTCTATTGAATTGCTTTTCTCCTTTATTAAGGATTAATTGACTTTATTTGTGCAGAAAGAACGTTACATTTTTTAACAATACTATTCAGTTATAATTTCACACCATAAAATTCTCTGAGATTTAGTGTACAAATCAATGTGTATAAACTTATAGACTTATGCTACTATTAATGCAATTCAGTTTTAGAACATTTCTTTCACTCCCAAAAGATCTCTTGTGTCCATTTTTATTAATCCACACTCTTTCCCCAGCCCTAGGCAACCATTAATTTAATCTACTCTGTGCCCCTATAAGATTTGCCTTTTCTTACTGGTATGAACACTTGCATACAAGTCCTTGTGTGGCTATGTGTGTTATTTCTCCTGAGTAGATTCCTCTGAGTAGAACTGCTGATTCATGTGGTAGGGGGTGTATTATTATTATCTTTTATTTTTTTGGATATTACCATTTTACTGATTGTGAAATAGTTTCTCATGCATGTTTTAATTTGAATTTCCCTGATTAATTAATGGCATGGAGAATATTTTCATGTTTGTTAGCCATTGATATATCTTTTTAAGTGAATATCTATTCAAATATTATGCTCAGTTTTTAATTGAGTTGTCTTCTAATAGAGCTGTAGGAGCCTTTTACATAGTCTGGGTACAAGTCCTTTGTCAAATATATGATTTGCAAATATGTTTTCCAGCGTGTAGCTTGTCTTTTCATTTCCTAATGGTATATTTTGGATGATGAAGTTTTTAATTTTGATGAAGAACAATTTATCTTTTTTTGTTTACTCATGAATTGAGCTTTCAGTGTCATGTCTAAGAACTCTTCTCTAACACAAGTTCGCAAAAAATACTTCTATGTTTTTATTCTGGATGTTTTATAATATTAACTCTAACGTTTAAGTCTATGATCTATCTAGAGTTAGTTTTTGTGTATTATATGAGTAAAGTGTGTAAATTTCTCTCTCTCTTTTTTTTTTTTTTTGAGACAGAGTCTCGCTCTGTCTCCCAGGCTAGTGTGTGCAGTGGCAGAATCTCGGCTCACTGCATCCTCTGCCATCTAGGCTCAAGCAATCCTCCCACCTCAGCCTCCCAAGTAGTTGGGACTATAACTGCATGCCACCATGCCTGGCTAATATTTTTTTTTGGTGGGGAGGACGGAGTCTCGCTGTGTCACCCAGGTTGGAGTGCACAGGTACGATCTTGGCTCACTGCAATCTCTGCCTCCTGGGTTCAAGCGATTCTCCTGCCTCAGTCTCCTGAGTAGCTGGGATTATAGGCACCTGCCACCATGCCCAGCTAATTTTTGTATTTTTAGTAGAGACAGGGTTTTACCATGTTGGTCAGGCTGGTCTAGAACTCCTGACCTCGTGATCCGCTCACCTCGGACTCCCAAAGTGCTGAGATTACAGGCATGAGCCACTGCACCCAGAAATTTCTGTATTTTTAATAGAGATGAGGTCTCGCCATGTTGCCCAGGCTGGTCTTGACCTCCTGGGCTCAAGTAATCCTCCTCCTGGGCTCAAGTAATCCTCTCAAAGTGCTGGGATTACAGGCATGAGCCACTGTGCCCAGCCTAAATTCCTCTTTTTGCATGAATTTATCCAGGGGTTCCAACACATTTGTAGAAAAGACTATCCTTTCCCTACTGAAGTACCTTGACAGCTTTGTCAAAAATTAGTTGATTTTATATGTAAGGAGCTATTTCTGGATTCCTGACTCTACTTTATTGATCTGTATTTCCATGCTTATGTCAGTACCACACTGTCTTGATTATTGTATCTTTATAGAAATTTCAAATTCAGGAAGTGTAAGTAGTCTAAATTCATTTTTATTTTTCAAAATTATTGTGGCTAATTTGATTCCTTTGTGTTTTTATATAAATGTTAGCACCAGCTTGTTAATTTCTGCAAAAATTTTAAATGAGAAAAGCCTGCTGAATTCTTGATAGGGATTGTGTTGAATCTATAGATCAATTTGGTAAGAATTTGCCATCTTAACAACACTCAGTCTTTGAATCCATAAACATGGACTATCTCTCTGTTCACTTAGATCTTCTCTGATTTTTCATAGCGATGTTTTATGGTTTTCAGTGTGCAAGCTCTGCACTACTTTTGTTAAAATATCCCTCATATTTTATTCTTTTTATGCTATTGTGAATATAATTTTTTAGAACTGATAAAGAGATGGAAATGATAGGCTGGGCGTGGTGGCTCATACCTGTAATCCCAGCACTTTGGGAGGCTGAGGCGGGCAGATCATGAGGTCAGGAGATCCAGACCATCCTGGCTAACACGGTGAAACTCCATCTCTACCAAAAATACAAAAAAATTAGCCAGGCGTGATGGCGGGCGCCTGTAGTCCCAGCTACTGAGGAAGCTGAGGCAGGAGAATGGCGTGAACCCGGGAGGTGGAGCTTGCAGTGAGCCGAGATCCCGCCACTGCACTCCAGCCTGAGTGACAGAGCGAGACTCTGCCTTAAAAAAAAAAAAAAAAAAATGGAAATGACATAATAAGACACATGATTTCCACGTTTCTCAATCCCTCATCAAACTCACCTTCCTTAGAGCTCCCTGTTTTAATAAATGGCATTGCCATTCACGGAGTTCTCAGACCAAAACCTTAGAATCCGCTTTCTTTTCTGGTTTTCTCTGCTACTGTTTTTTTAACATGGCAGCAAACCTTGAGAGCTCCGCATGTTAGATTATAAAAGCCAAGAGTGGAAAGAAGGGATGATGAGGAATTAGTTAAAGAGCAGTTACAATAGTTCTCAAAAAATGAGTTACAAAAGTTCTCAAACATGGTTTGCACAAGGAGGTTGGCAGTAGAGACGGAGAGAAGTGAGTAGATTTGAAATATATTTCAGAGTTAAGGACTATTGTGTTTTTATAATGGACTCAGTATGAGTGAATGGGTTAATAAGGGCCATTTATTGTACAGGTAGGAAAACTGAAAGAAGGGTGGGCTTGGGAGAAATTTAGGAGGTGGAAAATACATGTAACTAATATTACATACGTTAAATATTAAGTCTTATGTGCGACCCTCTAGACTCAGATTCTGGAACTCAAAGCAGTGGTGACCTACTCAGTCTCTGAATAGCATATCACACAGTCCAGCTGCTTTTCCTCCTTTATTTGGCTTCCAGGACACCACGTACTATTGGGTTACTTTTTCCCTCTATCCCATTAGCGTGTTCTCTATCTGCGTTGATGGATCTTCCTCCTCTTTATGACATCTAAATATTGCACTGCCCAAGTTACTGTTTTCCTTATACTTTGTTTTTCTCTATCATTACTTGCTCTCTGGTTGATAATATCTAATTGCATAGGTTTTAATTCTGTATCTACTGTGAAAATTCCCAAATGGATATCTCTAGCCAGAACATTCACTTGAACTACAGAATGGTGTCATCACGTCCACTTGTATGGCTGCATCTCACATTTAACATGGCAGGTCTGAACTCTCGATTTCCTTTCTAGTTCTTCCCCAGCCAAGTTTGCTTTTCTTACTGGGCCCCTCAGTAAGTGGTATCACCTTCAGGCAGTTGCTCAGGCCAAAACCTGGGAGGTGTCCTTTATTATTTCTTTCTGTGTCTCAGCCCATACCTAAACCTTTGGCACATCTTGTCACTGGTAAACTTGTCAGTGGCTCTTGCCATTACCCGTATCTATAACCCATTTTCCCATATTGAGCCCCTTAAAAAGTTGACAAGATTTTATGTATTAACATTTTCAAAACAGAAATTGTATTATACTGCTTCTCATCATATCCACCACTGCTACCCTAGTCCAAGCCTCTGTCATTTCTATCCTGATTTTACTTCTACCACTTGTTTCTCTAAAATCTATTTGGCATAGACCAATCATAATGATATTTAAAACATAAGCCAGATGAGCCACTTCCTGGCCTAAAAATGAGGGAACGAGGGGCTGCGTGAACTCTCTGAGTGCATTCTCATTCTGCTCTCCTCCTTCAGACACCTGCAGATGCACTCTGCTCCTATCTCACAGCAACTTAATGGCCTTATGCTATTCCTGGCCATAGAAGATATTTGTTGTTGAGAAAATTACTGAATATTATTACACATAGCTGTAAGCAATATTAACTTTTTTCTTTCTTTTTTTTTTTTTTTTTTTACCATAGCACATTTATTAAAAGCCAGAAGCTAGAAGACGAGGAAAGAAGAGGTGGTTAAAGAAAGATACAGTAACAGCAGTAATATCTAACAGGAAGGCTACAGGGGAAAATACAGAAATTCCATAAAGAACAAACACTGTAACTCAAAACCAAAGCTTTGCTAGTCACTAGTGCCCGCTACATCCTAACAGGTGCCGCGTATTTAATTGTGAAGTCTTTAACAATCACAAGAATATCTCTGAATCATTAAGAGAATGTTGAAAAATAGCCACATAAAGAAAGCAATAAAGGAGCTAAATGACTTAGTAGAAAAACAGACTTTATAAATAAGTTTAATTTTCCAAATATTTTATTGCTTAAGAAAGTGACTTCCCTGATTTGGAGAATTTAGTTCCAAGAAGGGATTCATTTCCTAGTGATGTTGAGGGTTGCTCTGCCCAGGTACCCTTAAGATATATAATTGGAGAATTTTTTATTAGTATGACACAAAGAGACTCAGCCTTAATAAGAATTTTATGCTCAACATGAAATTAATATTTTGCTTTTGAAATAGTGTAGTGCCATTATTTTACTCTTAACATTTAACAATTTTTTTTAAAAGAAAGTAACACGCCATTTTTATTTCTTGTTAAAATAATGTTAATTGTAAAAATGTAGACAGTGGGGAGAAAAATCATTCATAGTCCCACCAGCAAAAGACAAACACTGTTAAAACGTATGTGTGTTATTTTAGCCTCTTTTTTTTTTTTACATTGCTATGCTCTTCTAAAGATTCCTCAGGTTATCTAATTTTTATTATCGATAGAAACTAAAGTTATTACCCTTTGTGTTTCCAAATGTGTGTAACATCTCAATAATGTGCTTTAAAAGAATAAATTATTTCAATATCCATGAACCCCAGATATGGCTCATGCCTTAGTTTATTTAAGTCTATCACCTTTATCTAACAATAACTATAATACATTTTGTTTACTTTAAATACTTTATAAAAATATTATCATATTAAGAAAAATAAAACCAATAGAATATTTAAGTTATAGTATTAAAATATTTAGAATAAAAATGGACAAATATGAAATAGAGGGAGCTACTTATTTGCAATAAGTCACCTCTCTGGGAAAAAAATCCAAACTTGATTTTAATTTAAAATGTATTCGAGCTGCTTAGGTAAGTTAGGATCCCAAATGGAATATACAAATACTATTTTAAAATACTGTAATTTAATTTTCATGTGTATGGCCAAAACTGTAGAAAGGACTCGGTAGTTCACGACAAAAGGAGATCAGTGTATTACCATTCAGATTAAATATTTTATTTCTATTCTAAAGGATATTCCAATTTTGGAAACAAATTAAATTGGCATAATCATTTACATACGTGGAAATATTTTACCAAGCTTTAACTTATCAGAAATCTTAACCTTTACATTTTTATATCACTTACTCTCCCCTTAACAGACAAGACAGCTTGTTTTCCAAGCTTGTTTGAACAAGGTCTAACGCTTAAACTATAATGATAATCAGAACTATGGGAGAAAATTTGCTCTTACTTGCTCTCTTAAATAGTATTATGTCTAAATGTATCTTAGAAGTCAAGGAGGCCCATGGGCTTCTTTCAGCAGTTCTTTCTCTGAGGTCCCTCATAGATGGTCATCCTCCAGGCTTGCCTAGTGGCTGGGCTCTCACAAGCCATTCACTTCATAGTGATTTATTATTCATTCATTTGGCCAGTACATATGTAACATCTGCTGTCTGCCTGCCAGTATATTTGACACTGAGTACATAAAGATGGACACACGTGGAGAAACAGGAACACTTTTGTTTTATTTAGTTTGCATGAGCTGGTATCTCTCTTTTTGCTACTTTTGTCTTTTCAAAAATGGTGACTGTGAAGAATAATTTTAATTTTCTTTTTAAACATCTATTAAAAATATAAAGCAGAGTAAAAAGATAAATGTAAGACAAATGTGTTTTCTAAGACATAGTCCTATAAATATTTGCATAGTAATGGCATCTCTTTATTTCCCCTCCCAATCATAATAGTCACCCTCTCTAAAAGCGTGCACCCTAACACAAATGCATACACCTTACATTTCTAGGCTAAAAACATTTGGCTTCCTATTACACACTTCCCAATATCATTACCATATTTAAAACTACCTTTTGTCTACGCATGTCTGTAATCTGCTTTTAAATATAGTAACCAGAACTAAAAAGGTAACCAAATATTTTAAATACGGTAACCAGAACTAAACATGGATTTCTAGACATAAACTAACCAAGTGCCACTATATTTTTGTGTGTGTTGAACACTAATAGTTTAGTTTAAACTGCAGTCATTTTCAGAAGGAAGAAACACAACCAATCACACCACTGGCTCATATTGAGCTCACTGTGAACAAATAAACTTCTATGTCTTATTCACAGCGAATATCGGTAATTTGGGTTTTCTATTTATTTTATCCTTTCTACATTTCATCTTGCTCAGTTTTTGCCTTTTCTTTTGTTAGAGACAGGGTCACCCTTTGTTGTCCACGCTGGGGTGCTGTGGCTATTCACAGGCGTAATCATAGCTCACTGCAGTCTCCAACTCCTGGCCTCAAGCTGTCCTCCAGTCTCAGCCTCCAGAGTAGCTGAAACTACAGGTGTCTGCCACTGCCTCCAGCTCCCATCTTGCTGTTTTAGTTTTAATCTCATGTTTTCAGCCTATTAAACTTTTGGAATCATATTTTTGCTACTAGATGTACAGTTAGCCATGCCTCTTTGATTTAAATGATTTGTAAACTTGATACTCTCTATATCTTCAAGTTATTGATCTAAAAAAAGTGTGCACTGAGTCGGGGCCATGGACAAAAACTTCAGAAGAAAACAGATATCCTCTTTCAGCCTGATAATGGACAAATAATCAATCCTTTTTATTCTACAAGCCACAAGAAGACCTTGTTATTGAAACTTTTCAATCTTCTTATAAAAAATATCTTGATAACAACCCGAAGGCATGTCGTATTTACTGATTAGTATTGTTTGATAAAATTTCTCATGCAACCCATGCTAATCACTATTATTACATTTACTATCATTTTATTTTCATTTGCCAAGTACTAATGGAACACATCTTTGATGATCTGTTCTGAAATTTCATCAGAGTTAGACCTATATTTTATTTTCTTCTTTAGAAATAATTTACAATTGTTCTAATTTTATATGGTATGATATCTATAGGAGAGCATATATGTGTATATACATTCTTTTGTAACTGAAAGATAGGATTAGATCATCTAATCAAATCTCATTTTTAAAATGAACAAATACAGGCATAAGGAGATATATTTATGTCAGTGTAAAACTAATTATGTGTTTCATTTAGTGAGGTCCTTCACCATCTGCCAAGGACAATCCTAATTTACTTAAAGAAGTTAACTTCCAAGTTGAAGATACCCTCAGAGTTTCCAAATATGACTTTCCATCATTATGATGTTGAGCATATTTCAAAACTACAGTCAAGGGATTTTGTGATTGGCCTGACTCCATCTATTCCAAATAACTTACATTAATAAGAATTATCATTAGGTGATAAAGAGATGAATTGGACACAACCATCGCATTAAGTATAATACATGAGACTGTTGACCTTATATCTAATAACTGAAGGACACACCAAAAAAAGACAGGTTTCTGTGACATAAGCTGCAAGGCAGACCCAAAATTACTGATGTTTCTGTGATACAAGCTTGTTATAGAATATTTAACGTTTTATCTATAAATAATTTGAATTCTGCAGAGCTTGTTTGCAGGCGTTTTAAATCAGTATTAACTGTATCATCTTATTAACAATCAAAATTAAAAACCAATGGCAATTTATTTTTGCCTTTCTCAAATAAATTACATTTCTGTCTGCTACACAGATATAGCCTATTAATGTGATTTATTTAAAAAGATGAAAATAAAGCATGAATAAATAAAGCAAAAAAGACACAACCCTTAAAATGCTAATTCTCTTCTTTCCCATTATGTCTGAAAGTATACTCCCCTTTGCAAATGCCGGGCTCTGTGCTGCTTGGGTCAGGTCTACCGAAGTAAAGTGCTGTACAAGATTGCTGCAGTGGAAGTTCGAGCTTTTCTTTCATTTCGAATCAATCCAGACAGCTGTTCCTGGTCACTTTATGAAACTCTGTAGGCTTCCTCTTTGCTTTGGTTGTATGAAACTGGTTTGAAGACTTCAGCTTAAAAAAAAATAATAGTACAGTGGCATTCTGGTTGTCAGAAAAGCAGACTCTTGGTGCCTTAAGATCAAGAGATGGCTGGGCGTGGTGGTTCATGCCTGTAATCCCAGCATTTTGGGAGGTCGAGGCGGGTGGATCACATGAGGTCAGGAGTTCGAGACCAGCCTGACCAACATGGTGAAACCCCGTCTCTACTAAAAATACAAAAATTAGCTGGATATGGTGGTGTGCACCTGTAATCTCAGCTACTTGGGAGGCTGAGGCAGGAGAATCACTTGAACTCGAGAGGCGAGGGTTGCAGTGAGCCGAGATCATGCTATTGCACTCCAGCCTGGGCAACAAGAGCAAAACTCCATCTCAAAAAAAAAAGAGCAAGAGACTAATACATAATTTCAAGATTAATAATTACATTCACATCTACAATAACAGCAATTATTTACTGAATATTACCTATATGTCAGGTCTTTTTTTTTAATTTTAAAATTTCACAATCCGTAAGTGAATGCATCCTTATTGTAAATAATTCAGTCAATACACAGCAAACAAAATTCAACCTTGATAAATCTCTGTTCCTCCAATCCCCTACCCATATGCCTTCCCCTTAGAATTGATCACTGTTGCTCTTCATTTACATATGATACATATGATTTTACATATGTTCTATAAATATGTTTTATATGCCACATATGTTTATATGTGTAAATTCTATATTATATACTATTTTTTATTGTGGGCTTTAAAATATATATGGGACCAGTTTTTATATATTGTTCTTCAATTTAAAAAATAACAACAGTATGACTGAAAATTTCTTGGCAATATGTACAGATATGCATCGTTGCATTGAACCATGAACTACTAATTATCTTACAGTATTGTAAGTAGGGCATTTAGAGGCTGTCCTACCTTCTCAGTGATGAACAATACCTGTTTAGAGTATTTCTCTAGTGCAGACTCAAGGATTGGAGCTGTTAGATGAAAGAGTGTTTACATTTTACATTTTATAATATTCTACCAAATTCACCCCCCAAAAGAATGCATGGGTTTGTATTCACCAACACTGGTAGGAATGACTGCCTGCCTGTCAACAGGCTGTCTGACTATGGTGTTGTCGTATCCATCGCCATAGTTATCCCATACGTTTTCTAACCTGATGCATGCAGGTTGGCATCTTACTGATATTTTAATTTGCATTTCTTTGATTATCATTGTGGTTGAAAATTTTTGGTTTCTATTTATTGGCTATTCATGTTTCTTTTGTGAGTTGCCTGTCTTTATTTTTTGCTCATTTGTAAATTGTATTGTTTATACTTCTAAAACTAATTTTAGGAGTTTTTCGCATAGTCAAATATTCTAGATGTTTTTGGTTGTATATAATAATAATAACACCCAATGGTAATTGAGTCCTGGTACTGCTCTAAGCACTTTTTATAGATGACTGCATTTCATTCTTTCAGTACAGTGAGCCGGCACATCTGTCCCCATTTTACAAATAAGGGAATTGAGACACAGAGAGCTGAAAGACTGGGGTGTGTGTGTGTGTGTGTGTGTGTGTGTGCGCGCACGTAGCTTCTCATTTCGTCTGGAGGTCTCTCTCAGCAGAGTGGCTACAAACTTTAGCCCTGCCCTGATGAGATTCCTGGGCATTTGGTCACGGATGTTGACAGTGTGCCTTTTACTAACGACTTCATTCTGGCAGACAGCCTACTGCCTAAATGTCCAACCTGTGACCAGGCCTCCCTTCCACAAGAAGCTTGTTGATACTGGCAGACACCCTGTGGCTCTTGCCTGACCTGTGTGCAGTTTATTCCTACCAGGATGGCCGATCTCTAGGAGAGTCTTGACGGAGAAAGAAGCTGGGTTCAGGTGAGTCGGCCAGGTGAGACACAGTGGAGGCAGTACAGCGAAATCCAGAACAGAGCAGTTTTATTACTCACAGACCCCGCGGCGGGAGGGCAGCAGACCTTACGGGGCCAGCAGGAAGCGGGGAGCAGTCAGGGCTGTCAGGGACACAGGCTCAAGCAGAAGGTGCGGCTGACTGAGAGAGGGAGGACTTGGGGGCTGTGCCTTTATTGGGGTCCATGGGTGTTTTCCCCTAGGCCTTCCCTGTGCAGGTGTGGATGGGCGACTGTAAAGAAACCACGGCAAAGCGAGGAACTTTGTTATAGTTTCTGGTGCTGACCAGGAGGCTTCACCACCACCAGCAGCCGTGGGGTGTGCTGGGTTTCAGGTCAGTGAGATGAGGAAGAAGCAGGCTGTATCACAACTACTCACACGCGAGGGGAGGTTTAACTAGGACAAAGGTGATGGGGTGCGGCTGAGCTTCAAAAAATATATTAACGGCTGAGCAAGGTGGCTCACGCCTGTAATCCCAGCACTTTGGGAGGCCAGGGTGGGTGGATCCCCTGAGGTCAGGAGTTCAAGACCAGCCTGACCAACATGATAAAACTCCGTCTCTACTTAAAAAAAAAAAAATCCCAAAATTAGGTGTGGTGGCGCACGCCTGTAATCCCAGCTACTCGGGAGGCTGAGGCAGGAGAATCGCCTGAATCTAGGAGGCAGAGGTTGCGGTGAGCCAAGATTGCCCCATTGTACTCCTACTCCAGCCTGGTCGACATAAGCGAAACTCCGTCTGGGGGGGAATATATATATATATATATATATATATATATATATATATATATATATATAAAATGTCTGGCTTAGGAATGGATGCCAAAGCAGCAACTATATTAAACAAATTGATGACAATGACCTTGCCCAAGGTCACAGTTGGTGGCAGAGCTGGGCACAAAGTCAGACAGTCAGACAAACGCAGTCTACATCCTTTCTTCACCAATGTGTGGTATTGTCTTTGTATGTTTTCTAAGTGGAAGAGTTTCTCCCAGTCTGTCTCTTGACTTCTATTTATATTACTTTTATTATTATTATTATACAAAAATTTACATTCTATGTAGCCAAACTTGTCTGTCTTTCCCATTATTGTTTTTTTCCCAGTTATTACTTACAAGGCCTTCCATATTCTGAAAATTATTCTATTTTTTACAATAATATTATGGTTTTACTGAATCTGGAATATATGACATGTGAGCTGTAAAGTTATTTTTACCCCACAAATGGATAAATAGGTTTTCAAATTCTATTTTTATTGTATTTTCCTATCCATCCTTTTCCTACAATTTTGAATGATTTACCTTTATCATTCTGCACATGAGTTATACACATGGGTCAGTTTCTATATTTCCTATTCTGTTTCACAGATTGATTTTTTCCTTTCTTATGCCAAATCCTCACTTAAAACAGTAATGGAGATTAACTGAATTATTACAACTTTATGGTATGTTTTTATGTTGTTAAGGGCTAGTTCTTTAGCTTCACCTCACAGTCTTGTTCTTTTTAAAAAATTCCTTTGTTGGCCAGGTGTGGTGGCTCACACCTGTAATCCCAGCACTTTGGGAGGCCGAGGTGGGTGGATCACATGAGGTCAGGAGTTCAAGACCAGCCTGACCAACATAATGAAACCCCATCTCTACTAAAAACACAAAAAATTAGCTGGGCAAGGTGGCGGGTGCCTGTAATCCCAGCTACTTGGGAGGCTGAGGCAGGAGAATTGTTTGAACCCAGGGGGCAGGGGTTGCAGTGAGCCGAGATGGCGCAACTGCACTCCAGCCTGGGCGACAGTGCGAGACTCCATCTCAAAAAAAAAAAATTCCTTTGTCTATGTTTTTAAATTCACTCTTCCAGATGAAGCTTTGAATGGTAGTGTTTCTTGGAAACATGCTTATCTTTAAAAATTGAACAGAATTTATTAATTTAGGAATTAAAAACTTTTCTATTATATGGAACTCTCTTAACCTGGCGTAGGATGTAGGTCTGTTTTCACTTTCTTTTATGTTCTTAAATTCAATTTTATGTTTTTTTCATACAGGACTCACCCTTTTCTAATTAGGTATCTTCCTATGTAGATAAGTGTGTTGCTAGTGTAATTGAACATTTTAAGTTATATTTTCAAGTAGCCTAGTGCTGATGTTACTGATTTTGTCCTGCTTTTATTTTATATTTTGAGCTGGCTAAAGTGACTTACCAGTTTGTCAGTTGATTTTTTTTTGGCTTTTCTAGGTAGAATTTCTTTTTTCGTTGTTTCCAGTAATCCTATCACTCACGTTTAGCTTGTATATTTTTGGCAGGACTTTCTCTACAGTTTTGAATAGTACCAGTGATAGGGAGTATTTGTGTCTTGTTGCTGGGATATTTAACAAGCAGGCTTCTGATGTTTTCTGCTAAGTATATGCTGCAGGTTAAATACTGTTGGTACCCACCCTTTGTCAGGAGGTCATCCTCCACCCATTGGTTGCTAAGTAATTGTTCTATTCATTTGTCAGTTTGTTTTGTTTGTATTTAGAAAAGTGGGTGGATTTTATTAAGTAATACTCCAGTACCATTTTTATCTCTAAGACTCACAAAAATGATGCCAGGCTAGAGTGTGATGTGAGCTTCAATAGGATTAAGTAGAGGGACAGAAGCAGCATCACAAATACTAGAGAGAGGGTGGGGAGCTCTTAATAACCAAAGAAAGCCAAGGAGAGAAAACTCTACTTTGCCCTTTTTTCTGATGTTTCCCTCCAAAAAGTGGCAGAAGCCAGTTCTAAGGTGATTGGCTTCTCACAACCAAAACCGCATAGCAGTTAAAGACAAAATCTCCACGACTGTGTCCTAACCTAAAGTGACACAACCTGGGTAGATCTGAGTAGAATGAAAACACCGATTCGTCTGATTGCTCTTTGTAAATCAGGTATGTCCCAACTCTGGTATTCCTGGTCTTTGCTATTTGTTTAAACCAAATAGATGAACTGTTGTAAATTACATCAGCCAAATTCCATTCCAGGCCAATTTGGCAGCTGTCACATAGATATAAATGCAAGATTCATTTGGGTAGAAATATATGATTATCTAAAATTCAAATCAAATTCACTGATTGTGATAACGTATTTCTGCTTTGTGATTTCTACAACAACTATTTATCCTACTTGGATATGGTTGTATAATATCTTTCTAATGATTTTGTTGTGGCTATCGTTTAGATGCAAAATATAATTTCTTTTAGAAGAAACACAAAATTATGTTTAATAATGAAAAACAAAGCTATCCGCATAACAGCGAAATTTCTGATAACTACAGAAAAATTTTCTTGCTGTTTTAGTGTTCTTTTACTCAAAAAAAAAAAAAAAAGAAGAAGAAGAAGAAAGAAGGAGACCATGAAGGGCTTGTGAGCCAAAGGTCTGAGGCTTTTGGAGATGAGGGCAAGAGAAGCAGATATTGGGAAAAAGCTGTCAGAAGCCAGATCATACCCCTGCCCCCCATGAATGCTTCCTCATCTCAAGTGACGGAAGGCAATTTCCAAGCGCATGCTATGAGGTTCTGGGAATTTGGAGCCACGTGGCCTGGTCTGGCTCAGACATGAAAAATTTTATTTTACTTTAGTTACTCAAATTTTACTTCATTTTGGTTAAGAAGCTATTCAATGTCCTATTTAGACTCTTTGTGAAGAGAAGCCTTTACAGTAATCTTAATATTGCTGAAACTTATCAGATTTTTTTACCAAAAAGATGCAAAATTCCCTTGTTATTTTTTTCATTTGATCTAAGTTATAATGATAAATACAACATATCTTGCAAAAGAAAACAAATTAGCTCCTTTCGTAAGAGGAAGTTCTTCCTAGAAATTCCATTGTCTTTATTAAGAATTAAATGTGGTGGCTCGTGCCTGTAATCCCAGCACTTTGGAAGGCCAAGGTGGGTGGATCGCTTGAGTCCAGGAGTTTGAACCCACCCTGGGCAACATGGTGAGACCCCTTCTGTACACACATACACACACACACACGCACACACACACACACACACACAATTAGCCAGGTATGGTGGCATGCACCTGTAGTTCCAGCTACTCAGGAGACTGATGCAGAAGGATCACCTGAGCCCAGAAGGCAAATGTTGCAGTGAGCCAAGATCGTGGCACTTCACTCCAGCCTGGGTGACAGAGCCAAACCTTGTCTAAAATAAATAATAAATAAATAAATAAATGTGAATGCCCAGAGTAGTAGGAAACTTGGACAGCAGGATTCCTGCAAATATTTATGATTATATTATCACCTATTTTATTCCTTTTCCCCCTGCTGGTACAGATGCAGCTGGAGAGCCTGGGGTGAGAACATGAGCAGTCTATAATCAGAAAATCCCTTTGGGATAAATTGACAAAAATATAAACCACTCCACAAAGGAGAAATTGTAAATGGTAAGTGAATGGGATAATATTTTTAGTGAAAGAAGAGATTCAAATTTAAAAGATTGATATTTTATATTTATTAATTTGTATTTAAATAATATCTAGTTCTAGTAAAATGGATGTTCACACACCACTGGTAATAATGAAGGGGGAACAATCCCTTTAGAGAGCCATTTGTAAATGCATCAAGAGCAAAAACAATTTCCACCCATGGGTCACACATAAACAGTAAATAGCCCAAAAGGAGGAAAAATCTGTTACATAAAATTACATCCATTTCAACATCATTGATCATCATAAAAAATGAAGGAAAAACTCCTAGATTGTTTGCAAATAGGGTTTGATTAAGTAAATGATGGCACCTGCATGAAATCCCTAGCAATCTCACTTCTGAGGATTTATCCAAAGGAGATATACTAAAAGAATGCAAAATGTAATTGCAACATAATTTTCTTTTCTTTTTTTCTTTTTCTCTCTTTTTTAAGAGACAGGGTCTCACTCTGTTGCCCAGGCTGGAGTGCAACAGTGTGATCATAGCACACTGCAGCCTCGACCTGCTGGGCTCAAGGGATCCTCCTGCCTTGGCCTCCCAAAATGCTGGGATTACAAATTGTAATCTGTATTATAGTCTGACTGTTATGTTGGAAAAGCAAGACTCTTGGTACGGTATCAGGTATCAGCTTGCTATCTGCTGACTTCTTGTTACAACCATTCTGTAAAACTCATTCCTCCCATCTTCCTGGATGACAAGGAGCTCAGATCTCGTGGTCCCCCAACTCATTCTTAGATAGTGAAGAGTCCTACTGATGCTTATGGTTAGAAAAACAAAGAAGAATCACTTACAAATTAGTTTCTTTACTCTAGTAGAGTGATTACAGCTTCATATTTATTTAAAAAGATTCTTTCTTGTCTCCTCAGCCTCAGTCCTGTGATGGGAGGGAGGAAGATTTCCCCTCTGTTTTTCCCTCCTTTGCTTTTGTGGCTTCCCTCTCCGACCCCTTACACACTACATACATTCACTTAAAGGAGGCTGCCATGTTTCACTTCACTGATTGGAATGAGAAGGGACAGGCGCTCCTTTGGTCTGGCAGGTATTTAAGCCAACACGTCCCTCCTGGATGCTCACATGGGTTCTTTGAAGACCGTATTTCCAGGGATCTTTTACTTAGCGTTCTCTTAATATTGGTGAGACTTCTTTTTTAACAGGTTGCTGGTAATTTCGCTAATCTTTGAGGCATCTGGGAAGTCTTTCTCTTTCTGACGTGTTTTAGACAGTATTTGAGACAATTGCCACACATCCTTTGTCCAACAATGCAGTAACCTCTCCTTGCCAGCCAAGGTCTCCTGTGTTTTACATTTCTCTTGTCTGAGCCAGACCAGGCCACGAGGTTCCAAATTCCCAGAGCCTCATAGCATGCTCTTGGAAATCGCCTTACGTCACTTGAGATGAGGAGGAAGCATTCGTGGGGGGCAGGGATATGACCCGGCTTAACACAGTTTTTCCCAATATCTGCACAGGTCCTTCATGGCTCCTTCCCTCCTTCCCTCCTTCCCTCCTCTTTCTTTCTCTCTTTCTCCCTTTCTTTCTTTCTTTCTTTCTTTCTTTCTTTCTTTCTTTCTTTCTTTCTTTCTTTCTTCCTTCCTTCCTTCCTTCCTTCCTTCCTTCCTTCCTTCCTTCCTTCCTTTCTTTCTTTCTCTCTTTCTTTCTCTTTTTTTTGAGACAGAGTCTTGCTGTGTCACCCAGGCTGGAGTGCAGTGGCGCAATCTCACTCACAACCTCCACCTCCCAGTTTCCAGCGATTCTCCTGCCTCAGCCTCCCGAGTAGCTGAGATTACAGGCAAGCGCCACCACGCCCTGCTAATTTTTGTATTTTTAGGAGAGACGGGGTTTCACCATGTTGGCCAGGCTGGTCTCGAACTCCTGACCTCATGTGATCCACCCACCTCGGCCTCCGAAATGCTGCGATTACAGGCATGAGCCCCTGCGCCCGGCCCTTCATGGTTTCTTGACTTAACTTTGGAATATGGTAGCTAGTATTTTGGGACTTCAGTGATGGTCTAAATAATTATCACATTTTAAAGCCCTGTACCAATTACATTGTTTATTATGATCACAAAGCAGAAAAATTCTAAATATCCAACAATACAGACATTATTCAGTAAATTATTACTTAAATTTAATACAGTGCTGCCATAAAAACAAACAGTGGTTACCACTGGGGACATGTTTAGGATGTAACACTAGGCATATAATACATGACACAAACTTACATATACTCTATGAGGACAATTATATAAAATAATATATAAAGTATTGTAAAGTGTTAAAGTATTAAGATTTTAAACAATATTTTATTTTTTCTCACAGCAGAAAAATTTTTACACATTAAAAATCATTTTTTTGGAAAATAATTTATTGTGAAAGGCTAACTCAAAGCATTTGAAAACTTGTATGTCCTGTAGAAATAGTATTTGTTGGAGTTTGAGACACAGAGGTTTTTTGCTCTTTAAAATATTGTTTAATTTTGTATGTCTTTTGACAGTGGCATGATAACATTGGAAGCAGGCTCTATAGACTCAGCAGGAAACCATGCCAGTGCTATAAGCTTATGCTTTGTTATTCTAGAATTGTGCATTCTTTGATGGCTGGGATCATATTTAATTCAGTTTTATATTTCTTTTTTTTGTTGTTTTTTGAGATGGAGTCTTGCTCTGTTGCCCAGGCTGCAGTGCAGTGGAGCCAACCTCCACCTCCCAGGTTCAAGCGATTCTCCTGCCTCAGCCTCCTGAGTAGCTGGGACTACAGGCACCCGCCACCACACCCAGCTAATTTTGTAGTTTTAGTAGAGATGGGGTTTCACCATGTTGGCCAGGATGGTCTCGATCTCTTGACCTCATGATCCACTCACTTTGGCCTCCCAAAGTGCTGGGATTACAGGTGTAAGCCACTGCACCAGCTGCATTTTTATATTTCTAAAACTTGCACAGTTATTCACAGAGGAAGTATCAATAAATATATGAATTAATAAATGCACTCATAAATCAAATAGATATTTATATTGGGTCCTATTTTTAAATTCTTACTTCTGTTATCTTTTCTATGGTCTTAATTCAAGCTATGTGATACAAGGCACATCTAATTAATTTATGGTGTTGCATGCCATATATACACACACACACACATATATATATATACACACAAACACATGTATCTTTCTTCAGGCATCTGAGAATGTAGGATAATTATTAGCTAGAAAATCATGGTAACTTTATCATCTAACTTAGCACCCAACCTTCTTCTCTCTTCTTATTTATCACGGTTCTTGGCTAATGTCCCACGGAGCTATTTCTCCTATTCTCACGTCATGATTTGGTAGTAAATTTGTATTTAGGGATGTAATCTTCCTCTTATTTCGGTAAAAACATGACGTGCAGTGTGAAACACCAGTTATATAGCTTCTATGAAAAGCCAACTTGAGGAATTTAGATAAAATGTCAACTTTATGATTTTGAATATCTGAAGGTCCTGCCTGCTCTGGTTTTTCTTCTTGATTAATTATCTGACAAATTTTTACTTCACATCTGCTTTTTATTACCTCAGAAAATGACATGAGAAGGAAGAAGATCACTTCAGAGAGCCTGCAGCTCAGAACAGTGGGAACATCAAAGGTTCCCCATGTGTCATTTCATCTGATCTTCATGTTGTAAGGGGTCTGTATTACTGTTTCCATTTTAAAGACCACGAAACCAAAGGGCTAGGGAAGTAACTCGCTCACATTCCCACATTAAATGGAAAAGTTGAATCTGAAGCCAGATCTTTCTGATTCCAAAAGTTTAGGAGTCAATAAAGCCAATTTGTTTCCCACTTTGTGTAGGAGTGGGCAACTATTTATTTCCTGGATGTCAGCTTCTTCATCTGGAGTTTCCTCCAGTTTCCCTGTACTTCTAGAATCCCATGATTGTAATTTCTACTGATATAATCAATAGGATTTACTTATTTTGAATCTCAGACTTTGCAGAATGATATGCTTGTTTCAGACCCTTTAAACACCAGGAGTCAGATGCAGTTCATCAGCTGACAGAAGGCTCAGTCATGTACTGCAGCATATGCTTTAGAGGAGTGCACACCACTGTGGTCTGAAACAAAAGCTTCCTGAAGGCTTAGCGAGCTCTGCACTGCGGTAGGCACGATATCTGGTGCAAGAACAAGCCTGTATTCGGAGGTTCAGGAACGCTGGCTCTTAGCCCTTTCCAAGACATTTCTTTCAAGCGCATAGAGATGAATGAAGCAGATTGATCAAAGTGCTATCCTTACAACTCTTTGTAGTGTGATTGCTGCAAACTGTTCTTGTGGGAGCATTCAGGGCCAAGTTTCTGTCATCTATATTTTATAATATCCATGAGTTGAGAATTCTTTGTAATTCTCATTTTTATGTATATTACAGGCAGCTAGAATGGGAGAAATATAAGCCTATTACAATTTGGAGGGAGACCTTTAAAGACAATTTTTTAAATGCAAAGGCATTGTTGCATTAGGCACAGCATTCACAGTATAATTAGAGTAAATCGAAATGCTCCTGCATCAGTTTCATTTTTGGAAAATGTTAATTGCTTGTTGCTTTATGTGCTGTTGATATGATGGACTTCCTTAATTAGATTATGAGTTTTGGTTGGAAAGTCCAGCTTCAGGGTAATTAAAACACTGGATAATTCAGCATATTTCCTAAAACTTATACTCTGAAAATATTCTTGTAACTATCTTGCCATGTCTTCCCTCTTTTATATGACTTTTACCTTTTTTATTCTTCATGGAAGAACAGTATTAGGGATTGTTCCTGATGGGTTCCTGTTAGAAATAGATTTTAATTTGGACAATCCTTCTCTTGGTGTATTGGATGAGCTGCATCCGTCAAAAAGAGAGGCTTGCAGTGGTCATTTGAAGTCCTGCCTCTGTCTGCCAGGCTGTGCTTGGGCAGCAAGAACCCCTACCTACGCCCAGAAATAAAGTGTCATTTAATTGTTGGCGTATTTCTGGTGCATTTCTGGGAGCTTATGGACATTGTAAAGTAATACCCTGGACGTATGGTTCAATATCAGCCCCTATGAATTGCAGCAAAGACTTATTTCTTTGGGGAAAGAAAGAGATAGAAAACAAAAAGAGGATAAACATGAAGCAAGTGACTATAAAATATAAAAAACAGAGATACTTAGATTCCAAGAGAAAATGCCAAAGGAAAGGAGCAAGTAAGATTATGGACACTTGTGAAATCAAATGAGAGAGGAAAATGTGGCAATGCAGTCCACAGAAGAGAAAAGGGGTAAGTGAATTTTTCTGGGAGGAAAAATGATCATCAAAATGGTCAATGGATTACAGAAAATAACTTATGAAAGCCTCAGAACTGTTCCATCCTCATACATTTGGCTTCAATTTCCCTGGGGCCCAGTGGAAACAGGGTCAGCCATGCCTGAAGCCCTGAGCTTCCTGGCACCCATCCAATGGCCTCCTCCTGGTCCCCAGCACAGCCTGCTTCTAAAGGGGCAATGAGATGTAATGGAACACACCAATCTCCACATTGCAGCTTTGATTCAGGATGAGTTAGCTCACCCTACAGAGTCAGTTTCCTCCTTGGAAAAAGGAGATAATAATACATAGTATTAGCATAAATAATAATACATAGTATTAGAATATAACAGGAATAAATAACATAAATTAAGATAATATTAATATGTGGAAACCTCCTTGAGCATGCTAACGACTCAATACATTCTTCTTCCTCATGACTTGTTTTTCTTTTTAATAACAGTAGTGTCTCTGTTCACTTTCAAGGTGACATTGATACTTTCCTCCTTTAGGCACTGGTTTTGCATTAGCTTTCTGGGCGCCTAGACTCGGATTTGGCAGTGTTGCCTTTTCTTGTATATAAAGAAGCCCGGGCCTCACAAACCCTCTCCTTTTTGCAACTGTGGTAAAATATTCCAACTTCTTTTACTGCTCTGTGACTTACACAGTGTTGTCACTTACTTTCCATATCTTAAACTCTACAAGACATAAGTTTTGGCCAGGTGTGGTGGCTCACACCTGTAATCCCAGCACTTTGGGAGGCTGAGGCAGGCAGATCACGAGATCAGGAGATCCAGATCATCTGGCTAACACGGTGAAACCTCATCTCTACTAAAAATACAAAAAAAAAAAAAAAAGTAGCCGGATGTGGTGGCATGTGCCTGTAATACCAGCTACTCGGGAGGCTGAGGCAGGAGAATCACTTGAACCTGGGAGGTGGAGGTTGCAGTGAGCTGAGATCGTGCCACTGCACTCCAGCCTGGGCCAAGTTAATGTAGTTGATCTTTATTTAAATTTTTCACATATTTACCAGTCTTGTCATATTTTATTCCCTTCTATATTCACAACTTTCTAACTGGGATTATTTTCCTTCTGCCAGAAAATTGTATTTAGTGACAAGCTCTGTTCTGTGTGTCTGAAAATGTCTTTATTTTGCCTTCATTCCCATTGGAAGATTTTTGCTGGAAATGAATTTCTGAGTTTTCTGTTAGCATTTTGAAAATATGATTCTACGATTTTCCAGCTTGCCCTGTTTCTGTTGAAAAATCTGTTTTCAGTTTACGTAGCAAGTTACATGCCTGCTATCTCTGAGTACTTTTAAGATTTCCATGTATTTGATGTTCAGCAGTTTCATTAAAATGGATTGAATATATATTATTTATTTTGTTTGATATTTCTTGGGATTCCAGTATCTCTGAATTGATGTCTTTCATCATTTCTGAATAATTTTCAGCCACTCACTCTTCAAATACTGCCTTTGTTTTCTTCACCCTTCTTAAACGACAATCTTACCTTTTCTTTCATTTATTTGGTAGCATTGTGAAGACTTTATATTCACTGCCTCCACTTCTTTAGTGTCATTCCTTGCTTGGGCTGCCATAACAAAATGTCATAGCTTGGGTGGCTTGTAAAACAGAAAATTTTTCTTACCATTCTGGGGGCTAGGAAGCCCCATGATCTGGGTGCCTGCAGATTTAGTTCTTGGTAAGGGACTTCTTCCTGGCTTGCAGATGACAGCCTCCTATTTGTCTTTTAAAGACATTAATCTAATTTAGTCCCATTTGTCTTTGTTGTTGTTGCATTTACGTTTGAGAACTTGGTTATAAATTCTTTGCTAGGCCAACGTCCAGAAGAATTTTTCGTAGGTTTTCTTCTAGGATCTTTATAGTTTTTGGTTTTACATTCAGGTCTTTAATCTGTCTTGAGTTAATTTTAGTATATGGTGAGAGGTATGGATCCAGCTCCATTCTTCTGCATACAGCTCTCCAATTTTCCCAGTACCATTTATTGAATAGGGTGTCCTTTCTCCAGTGTATATTTTTGTTGATTTTGTCAAAGATCAGTTATTTGTAGGAATGTGGCTTTATTTGCGGATTCTCTATTGTGTTTCAGTGTTCTTCATGTCTATTTTTACACCAGTACCATGCTGTTTTAGTTTCTGTAGTTTGTAGTATACTTTGAGATCAGATGATGTGATACTTCCAGCTGTGCTCATTCTGCTTAGAACTTCTTTGGCTATTTGGGCTCTTTTTTGGTTCCATATGAATTTTAGGATTTTTTTTTCTAATTCTGAAAAATGATGTTGGTAATTTGATAGGAATTGTGTTGAATCTGTAGATTACTTTAGGCAGTATGGTCATTTTAATGATATTGATTCTTCCAATCCATAAGCATGGAATGTTTTTCTATTGTTTGTGTCATCCATGATTCCTTTCATCAGTGTTTTGTATTTGCTTCTGCACAGCAAAAGAAACAATCAATAAACAGATAATCTACAGAATGGTAAAAAATATTTGTGAGCTATGCATTTGACCAAAGGCTAATATCCAGAATCTACAAGGAATTCAGACAACTCAACAAGGCAAAAACAACCCCATTAAAAAGTGGGGGAAAGACATGAAAAGACATTTTTTCAAAAGAAGACATACAAATGGTCAAGAAAAATATAAGCAAATTCTCAACATCACTAATCATCAGATAAATGCAAATTAAAACCACAAGAATATACCATCTTACACCAGAGAAAATGCCTATTATTAAAAAGTCTAAAAACAACAGATGTTGGTGAGGATGCAAGAAAAAGGGAACACATATACATTGTTTTTGGAAATGTAAATTAGTTCAACCTTTCTGAACAACAGTACAGAGATTTCTCAGAGAACTAAAAAAAGAACTACCATTCAATCTAGCAATCTGACTACTGGGTATCTACCCAAAGGGAAATAAATCATTACATCCAAAAGACACCTGCACTCCTGTGTTTATCACAACACTATTCACAATAGCAAACATATGGAATCAAACTAAGAGTCCATTAACAGACGACTGCATAAAGAAGATGTGGCATATATATTCCTTGTAATACTACGTGAACATAAAAAGAATAAAATCGGCTGATTGCAGTGGCTCACACCTGTAATCCCAGCACTTTGGGAGGCTGAGGCGGGTGGATCATGAAGTCAGGAGATTGAGACGATTCTGGCCAACACAGTGAAACCTCATCTCTATTAAAAATACAAAAAATTAGCCGGTCGTGGTGGCGGGCGCCTGTAGTCCCAGTTACTCGGGAGGCTGAGGCAGGAGAATGGCGTGAACCCGGGAGGCAGAGCTTGCAGTGAGCCGAGATCGCACCACTGCACTCCAGCCTGGGCGACAGAGCCAGACTCCGTCTCAAAAATAATAATAAAAAAAAAGAATAGAATTATGTCTTGCAGCAACATGGATGGAACTGGAGGCCATTATCCTAAGTAAAATAAATCAGAAACAGCACATTCTCACTTATTAGTGGGAACTAAACAATGTGTACACAAAAACATACAGAATGGAAAATTAGATATTGGAGACTACAAAAGCTGGAAGGTGGGAGGGGGGTGAGGGTTGAAAATTAACTGTTGTGTACAGTGTTTCCTGCTCAGGTGATGAGTACACTAAATGCCCAGACTTCACCAGTACACAGTATATGCCTGTAAGAAACCTGCACTTTCACCTCCTAAATCTATAAAAATAAAATCAGTAAGGACACTCATCTTCTCATGAGGGCTCTACCTTCATGACCTAATTACCTCCCCAAGGTCCCTTTTCCAAATTCCATCACATTGGAATGAGGGCTCCAACATATGGGTTTTAGGGCGTCACAATCCAGCCGGTAGCATTTACCAAATATTGCTATTCATTGCTCTATATCTTAAATTTTTCCTAACATACTAAAGCTGATTTCTTCAAGCTTTCCTGTTTATTTTTGCTCCCTAAATCTAGTCTTTACTTATTTCTCATTCTCTTCCATTTCTCTGTATGGTTCATCAATGTTTGTCATCTTGTTCTTTTCATTTTAAAATTTCTTCTCTTCCTGATTTCAAGAGAAAACTGGCTGGGCATGGTGGCTCACACCTGTAATCCCAGCACTTTGGGAGGCCGAGTCGGGTGGATCACCTGAGGTCAGGAGTTTGAGACCAGTCTGGCCAACATGGAGAAACCCCGTCTCCTCTAAAAATACAAAAATTAGCTGGGCATGGTGGCGGGCGCCTGTAATCTCCACTACTCGGGAGGCTGAGGCAGGAGAATTGCTGGAACCCGGGAAGCGGAGGTTTGCACTCCAGCCTGGGCAACAACAGCGAGACTCTGTCTAAAAAAAAAAAAAAGAAAGAAAGAAAACCAACTTTATATCATTCTTCCACATTTCCCACATCCCCTTTCTCCTCTCACTTTCACTAAGAGTTATTTTACAATCTCTTTGCTTTCTCTATCATCTCTCCCTCAGAGATCCCCCTCCCTGCCCACTCTTATCCAGGGTTATCCCACCTCTAGCCAGGGCTGCCCTTCAGTGGGCAGGCACTCCCTTGGCAACGTCGTGCATTTATGGCCACTGTGCCTTCGGGGCTGTCAGTGCTGTGCTCCACTGGCCACTTTGAATATGTCCTTAATACCACCCCTGATTATGATCCCAACTGCTGTGACTGTCACTGTTCCAGGGCCCATATGTTCACCGGCTTTGGAAACATTTCCATTTGACTTACTTCAGACTTTGTGTTTTTGTTTTTGTTTTTTCGAGGCGGAGTCTCGCTCTGTCGCCCAGGCTGGAGTGCAGGGGCGCGATCTCGGCTCACTGCAAGCTCCGCCTCCCGGGTTCACGCCATTCTCCTGCCTCAGTCTCCCGAGTAGCTGGGACTACAGGCGCCCGCCACCACGCCCGGCTAATTTTTTGTATTTTTAGTAGAGACGGGGTTTCACCGTGTTAGCCAGGATGGTCTCGATCTCCTGACCTCGTGATCCACCTGCCTCGGCCTCCCAAAGTGCTGGGATTACAGTCGTGAGCCACTGAGCCCGGCCTTACTTCAGACTTCTTAAACTGAATGTGCCTAGAGCTAAAATCACTGTCTCCACCCTCACTTCCACCCCCTTTTTGCCCCCAAATGTTCTTAATGATATCTACATACTTCTAAATAGTAGCACTTTTTTTTTCAGTCACGCAGGCATGAAACATCAAGAACATTTTTAGATTTTATCTTTTCTTTTATTCTATCTATTGACAGTTTGTTTCTTTTTTTTCTTTGCATACTTCTCTGAAATCTTTCCTCTTTCTTTCCATTACCATTGGCATAACTGAATCCAAGCATGTTGTAATGCGGACTTCACACTGATTCCTACTCATCTCATCCATCCAACGTGCCAGAGCCACACTGATGTCAAAACGGCACACTTTCCAAACATTGTTTCCCATTCACGAATGCCACCGTGGCCTGGAGTGATGACACTTCCTGGATTATCTGTGTGAAAAACCCAGTTTTGTTTTTGTTTTTAATTTCCAATTCTCAGGTAACAATATCTTTGTAAAATATAATAAGATGAATTGTGCAAGAATGAACAAAACACATATAAAACACATTGCCATTTTTAAGTTCTGTGTCTCAACAGATATAAAATTACTTCATCAAACTGCTATACAGTTTTTACCCTTTCACTATTCAATTTCTCTTCATGGGCACTAATCCTTTGAAAACTAGCACAGTCTACAGACCACACGCCAAGTGGACCGCGCTTCAATCACCATGACGCGGACCCTCTACTGTACCTACAGGGCAGGATCAATAGAGGAATCTTAAAATATGCAGATGTCCATGCACCTGAGAGCTAATGAATAGGATCTCTGGGAGTGCTGCCAAGGCGTGGGCATTTCAAAAAAAAGCTGCAAAATCGACTCTGATTCTGAGCCAGGCCTGAGTACTACTGGCTTTGGAAAAGAGTGAAAACTTACAATTCTCTATAATCTAGTTCCAATCTATATTTTAAATATTATCAAAACCACTTCTTTCTTTCACATACCCCATATTCTAGTCAGCCAGGGTGGTTGGCCTTCCTACAATATGATCTGTTCTAGGCTGGGCATGGTGGCTCATGCATGTAATCCCAGCACTTTGGGAGGCCGAGGCAGGTGGATCATGAGGTCAGGAGATCGAGATCACCCTGGTTAACATGGTGAACCCCTGTCTCTACTAAAAATACAAAAGCAAAATTAACTGGGTGTGGTGGCGTGCACCTGTCATCCCAGCTATTCGGGAGGCTGAGGCAGGAGAATGGTGTGAACCCAGGAGGCAGAGCTTGCAGTGAGCCAAGATCACGCCACTGCACTCCAGCCTGGGCGACAGAGCGAGACTCGGTCTCAAAAAAAAAAAAAAAAAAAAAAGATCTGTTCTTTCCCACCTCTGTTGTGCACTTCCTATTTTTTCTCCAGTTTTCCAGTCTGGAATGTCCTTTCCACCATCTCCACCTGTCAAAATCCAGTTCATTCTTCAGTGCCCACGCACTGAAATGCCCTATGTATGAGACCATTACTAATTAATTGCAAACATTAATTTTACTCTCATCTAAATGTATTACTTTGGCACTTATGATACCTATCAGTTTATTTGGATTATGGTTGTATAGGCATTGTGTCATGGGGGAAAAATAGTTATATTCAGGAGAACTGCATATGAGTATAGATTTCTCCTCTTTCTAGCTGTATCACCTTGGGTAAATCCAATTCCTTTTCCAAACCTGAACACTGGGAATGAAATTCTTAACCTTCATCACAAGATAGTTATTATAAGTAAATATATGTAAAACAATATAAATACAAGATATTATTGTCTGCTTTGTTAGATTATGAGCACGTTTGAGGATAAAAGTAAGTAATATAAATCTCTACATTTCTACACACCCAGAAAAATATTTCCCACAGCAAGAATTCAGTATGAATTTTTCAACTTAGTGAATAAATGAGTAAGTAGATTCCTTACATAGTAAGATTTCTAGGATGTTTCCCATAGGCCATCCCGTTCAAAATTACTTCCAGCGGTTTATTTATTGTTAATGCCTGCCATTCCAGCATTAAAGTTTCTCCTTTGGATTAGCAGCAACTATGTTATCAAAGATAATTTTTTAAGTCGTTCTTACTTACGCCTTTATGTAAATCTCCTCATCAAAGTATTTTATCTCCTGACAAAGAAGTGTCCCGAGTCACATAAAGACACAGAGAAGTTACTGGAGAGATGGGAGAGTGGTTTTGGGCATACCAAAGATAAATTTAGTTAATTTCACCTTTTTTTTAATGAAAGGAAGTTGACCTGATCAAATTACAACAGCTTGTCTTTATTGATAAGTTACTACATAATAGATATGTTATTAATGAATTTCCTAGAAATAGTTATCAGTAACATTTGTTGTTATAGTCAGAAAGTAGGTGTTAGTCAACTAGGAGGTAATGGAGAAATAATCTGAACTCACATTTGATGCTAGAGTCCAAGCTCTTGATCATTAAACTCAACTGCATTTAGAGCAGACTTCAGTGAAACCCAAGGAATATTTACTGCCATTCAATAATTACTTGTCTAAAAGCTAACTGGGGCTAAGGTTGAGTGTAAAAATGTCTAGGACATAGAGTCCTGATCTCAAAGACCCTATATTCCAGTGGCAGAAAAAGTCAAATAAAAATTACAAAATCCAAACCAGAGTATGATGGTCTCATGCAAGGAGACTTGAGCATGGCGTCGGCTGGGAGAGGTGAGTGATGTCATGCTTCCAGGAGAAGGCCTCGTCACCAATCGTCTTAGTGAAAAGGCGCCAAGAAGCCTCTTCAGCATGAGCAGAGAATAGGCAGAACAAGAGAATAAGATGAGAAGTGCGGAGTATTCCATGCCGGAAGGAATCTGCAAAGGCGTGGAAGTGAGAGTGTCAGGTGCTTGGGGACACTTATTCAGAGGTTGTGTCTGGAGGGTGTAGTTAGAGAATTGAAGAGACAGGTGACATAAGTAGAATCCAGTGAAGATTCAGAACCCACAATTATTTTAGGGCTCATTTACCCTGTGGTTTAGAAGAAAAGAGAAAGATGCAATATTATGGATCTTGAATTAAGATCTCTGGAAAAAAGAATGCATGCTGAATTCTTATTTGAAAGAAAGTGTAATCCAGACCTTCACTCATACTTCTCTATGCCTTTATTTTTGCAATTGCTTTCAACAGGAGCCACCTAGTCAGGTACATGTTAACATTTACCACAAATAGATACTGGAAGCCAAGGAAAGTTTCATGATTAAGATTCCTGACAAAGCCATGACACTTGCTTTAGTTAAATTCAATCTACATGAAAATTATTGCACTAAATATTAAACACCAAAGGATTCTAGGGATATGGCAGTTAGAACGCATTCCAACTGTGCTTCCCTCCTAACTCCAATCAACTGGTCAACCATCCCTCCTGGGTCCAGCAGCTATGGGTTCTTTAGGTGTTCAGGCCTGGGAGGTATGAGCAAGGCCTCTGGGAAAAGCTGAGGCTGCTGATTGCTGCAGTCCCCCAAAATCAATGTGGGACAAACTGTAGATACAAGGAGAAAGATACCAGGAAGAGAGAGAGAGACAGACAGACAGACATAGAGAGAGAGAAGGGATGGAGGGAGGGAATGAGGAAGGGAGAGATGGAGGGAGAGAGGAGAGAGAAACCACCCTAGGGAGACTGAAGGCTGGCTTGAGTTGATGTGGATGGGAAAACTAGGTAGATGGTCCTGGTTTGAACCATGGTTGAAAGTTTTGGCAAGAGAACAACATAATAGATTGTAGAAAAGTTTTCATAATTCATTAAAAAAAATTCCTCCAGAATAGCAAAAAGTAACAATAGCCCAGTTTCTTACAGATGTGTTCTGAAGTTATAGTAAGCAGATCAAAAGTCTTGTAAGGTTGGGAAATCTTTGGAAAAATGTGGACCTACCAGCCGCCCTTAGACATTCACTCCTCTAGCCTCTCACAGCACTCAGGGCTGGTGGACCGGATCCTAGAGAGGCTGCCCTTTCCGAGTGGGGCTTCATCTTTTTTTTTTTTTTGGAGATGGAGTCTGGCTCTGTCACCCAGGCTGGGGTGCAGTGGCTCAATCTTGGCTCACTGCAACTTCTGCCTCCTGGGTTCAAGCAATTCTCCTGCCTCAGCCTCCCAAATAGCTGGGACTACAGGTGCCCACCACCATGCCTATTTTTTTGTTTTTTTTTTGTATTTTAGTAGAGATGGGGTTTCACCATGTTGCCTAGGCTGGTCTCGAACTCCTGAGCTCAGGCAATCCACCTGCCTCGGCCTCCCAAAGTGCTGGGATTACAGGTGTGAGCCAACACGCCTGGCCAGAGCTTCATCTTAAGACTTTGAAGTACAGCCATGATCAGAAGGACTGTTTGGAGGAATGTCATTGGATGAGAGGGATCCTACAATGCCTGGGCTCTCTGCATTTTATCTTAACCCTAGCTTTTTCCTCAAACTTACCCAAGACTGGCACAAATACGGCCCTTACACCTTTATGAGCTGAAATAAAGAAACAAGATGAAATAGTCACTATATATCCTGTAAATGAGAATTGTCAGAGCAGGTAGACTAAGAATTTTATAAATGGATGATAAGTATAGTTAAGATGATAATCTAAGATGTTAACAATATAAAATAAGAAATAATCATAAAATAGAATATAGGAAAAATATTATATAATAAAATATAATTGCTGATATAAAGAACATAATAGATGGAATATTTTGATGTTTACAGCTGAAGAGTAAATAAGTGAGTTTAAAGATCAGATTAAGGAATTCCTTGAGGGAATAAAGAAAGAGAAAACATAATAGAAAAACTGAAAGATATAGAGAATACAATAAATATCAATACCTGGATGAGTCCCAAAAGGAGAGAAAAGTGAAAAGATAAGGGGAAAAATGCGGAGAATTAATAGACATTTTTCAGAATTAAAGAAACTTGAAAGACTTCAAATTGAAGAGTTTATCAAGGAAAAATGGAAAGATAAGGAACAATTTGCATTTAAATATTATAATGAGAATTAAGAATTCAAAGGCAGGAAAATTTAAAGAATGTCAGCAAGAAAGATCATCTGCAAAGAAACAATCAGATTAGCTGACTTCTCAGTAGCAAACTAAATATAATAGGAAAATTTAGGGTTATTTTTAATGTACTAAAGAAAAAGAACTATGAATCTAAAGAGAAGCTGACTCATAAAAATGAAGGCTTTATAAAAGTATTTTCATATGTTTTTTCATACATTTAAAAGGCCTCAGAACTTTTAACTATAAAATGGCCCTCATTTAAAACACATTTTGAAGAAAAAAAAAACAGATATTAAGGATAAATATATATCTTAGTAAAACTCATTTTTGTTAGGTAAGTAGAAGGATGAAAACAAGTAAAAGTCTATCCACAGCAATCTAAAACTGAAGCCCTAGGAAATAACAACATAATCACTAGAGGCAAGACAAAATAAATATTAGAAACAATCTAGTTTTTATTGTGTTAGGAGGAAGATGTGAATATATATAAATTTAGGAAATTAATAAGGACAGAATAAAAAGAGTATGGGTCATAAATATGACAATCATAATTATAAAAATAGAAAGATGTTACCTTTAAATCAGAAAGAGAAAATGTGAAGTTATCTTATTGAAAGGAGGAAAGAAGGGGGGTAGAAAGGTCTGAAGAAAGAGAAGAAATAAAAAAAAAGATGGCAGAAATAAGTTTTAATTAATTATTATTATTATTATTATTATTATTATTATTATTATTATTATTTTTGAGAGGGAGTCTTGCTCTGTTGCCCAGGCTGGAGTGCAGTGGTGCAATCTCAGCTCACTGCAACCTCCACCTCCCGGGTTCAAGCAATTCTCCCGCCTCACTTCCTGAGTAGCTGGGATTACAGGCATGCACCACCACGCCTGGTAATTTTTGTATTTTTAGTACAGACGGGGTTTCACCATGTTGGCCAGGCTGGTCTTGAACTCCTGATCTCAAGTGATCCCCCCTGCCTCGGCCCCCCAAAGTTTTGGGATTACAGGTGTGAGCCACCACACCTGGCCCTTAATTTAATAATAATTATAATTTACACCTAAATTGAAAATGTGAATAAAGATGTCAAAAATAAGATCTAATTTAATACTAATTACACAAATTAAAACCCAAGGTAAACAAAAGAACGTGACACCCTGAATTGGATGAAGAAATATCTTGTCTGGAAGAGAAACTGAAAACAGGAATACTCAGAAAGACTGAAAATAAGAGGATGGAGAAAATATGTCAAGCATTTTCTAAAATTCAACGAGTGCTGACAGACAGGTGTCAACACCGCAACAGAGCTGGGTCAAGGTCGGACGTATAATAGAACAGCAGCAGCAGCAGAGGTAGGAGGAAGGATGTAGCAGCAGCCGAAGGAGACACCGTGAGGCCAGGTCAGGGGCCCAGGAGCCTCCGCGTGGACAGCTTCAGCTCCATCCAAGCTGCCGGATTGGAGGGCGCCTGCCCCCAGCAGCAGGTGGCCTTAAAGATTCAGCTCTGAGAAACAAATGTGGAGGGGGTTTGTGGAGGGATTATTGTGGGGTGCGTGGGGCCCTCTGAGGTGATCTGCTGCAGAATAACTAATACCTATTGTAACAGAGGAGTATAGATTTATAAAATACATGACAAATGCTTAATAAAAAAGAAAAAAGTGAAATGAAAAATGAAGATCAGAGTGGTAGACAAAGGAAGAAAGGGGGAAGAGGAAGGGAGGAGGGAGGAGGAAAATGAAGACAAGAATAGGTTATAAATAAAGATAAAATGTGTCAAATGAATTTAAAAAGAATGTATTATAATCTGTACTTAATTTCTTGCTCAATCATCGGAAAGTGCCCATTTCATGCCCTGTACAGTTACCATAATTCCTTTTTTCTCCACATTCATTTTTGTTCTATTATATTTGTAGAAATGTAATCTTTCATGTTTAAAGTTCAATAATGAAAGTACCGTCTTGTAAAAAAAAACAAAAATAAAAATCAATAAAAAATAAAAATAAAATAAGTAAAACGCAAACATCCAGTGCTGTTCTGTTGTGACTGTGCGCTTTGCTTTGCCTATAAAATAGCTTTATCTCTGCTTTTAAAGAGCAACCGGATTGTGTTGCACGTTGGCCAAAATATTTGAATATTTAAATTTTAAAATTTTATTTATAGGTATATCTGAGATCTGAGATGATAGGCGACTCCATTCAAAGCAAAAGAAAACAAAACAAACAAAAATACTTTTATTGGATAAACAGCTGCCACCACCTGCTTCCTGTCATGGGGTCAGTTGAAGGAAAGAAACACAAACTTCTACTATGTTCAGCCTTTGTCTTACTTCTTCTGAAAGCTCCTAGGTAGTAGGCATTTTGCATGATGGACATTGCTCTTGGCAGAACTCACTCTTGCCTCATTTTGCAACAGCATCTGTAGCTGAGAGCCCAGAGAAGAAAAAATTCATGAAACTTTTTGTTTTCTGAGAGATATAACAGAGGAAAACAGACGTAAAAATTGATTCTACAAAGGTTGTCTACCAGAAGGGGATTCCTAGAGCATAGATTATCTTTCCTTGTTGTGAGAAATTTCCATTTGAATGCTGAAGGTGGAAGCTCATTCTGATATAAAACTTAAAATGTTAGTACAAGAAGCCCACTCACGTTGACATATATTATTCCCTATCATTTGTGTTACTACTTTAACATTATTTTAAAATAAACCTCTCATTTGGTATGTGGAAAAGATACGACCTCTATCTCATGTTGTCTTTCTGCAAAACTAACATCAAGGAAAATATTAGAAACTCTGTCTTGACTTTTTCATCATTGACTCTATTAATTGAATTTTCCTCTTTTAAGAGTCCTCAAGGCTGGGCGCGGTGGCTCACGCCTGTAATCCCAGCACTTTGGGAGGCCGAGGCAGGCAGATCACAAGGTCAGGAGATCGAGACCATCCTGGCTAACACGGTGAAACCCCATCTCTACTAAAAATACAAAAAAATTAGCTGGGCGTGGTGGTGGGCGCCTGTAGTCCCAGCTACTCGGGAGGCTGAGGGAGGAGAATGGCATGAACCCCGGAGGCGGAGCTGGCAGTGAGCCGAGATTAAGCCACTGCACTCCAGCCTGGGTGACAGAGCAAGACTCCGTCTCAAAAAAAAAGAGTCCTCAAATGTTTTCAGACTAGCAACTCTGGAATCATTATTTGTATTACTGGGAGTTATTAATACTTACTTTATAATATTGCATACAAGAATTAAGTTGCTCATCTAAAGTGAAACTTGAAAGCAAATTTAATTGCTAAGGGTTTTAATTTTTCAAAGGGAGCTGCTTCACAACCCTATCTCATGCTTGGGAGATGGATATTAAAGTGATATTTGATAAAGACAAATGGACACAGGGAAGGAGGTTTGTCAGTAATGCGGTGCTGGGCTCTGGCCTTTTTTAAATGAGTTAATGACTTTTGCTTCATGACCCATTTCTAATGGTAGCTTGGTCTTTTCAAAGAGGATGTCACTGTCATAGTTCAGCGATATTAAGGGATCACATCATTGTGGCACATTAAAAGCAAGTGACTCAGACTTAAATGTTAAATACCTCACAGAATAAAAGGCCACCAACTAGTTAAAGAAAGAAGTTATTTGCACACAATGGCTTCTAAAGATAGTTCTTAGTAAGAAAGTGTCTTGGTCCAATTCTAAAGCACAGTTACGATATCTAGGCTAAGAATTATGATATGCCCAGCTTTTCTCATTCAAATACCATCTCATTAGGGATCATATATTTTAATACACATGGTGTTTTATTTGTATAAAGGCAGTGTCTTTAACTCTTTATTCTCAAAGTACCGTTTTGCTTTAGTTTGGATTGTAAAACCATCTGATTTTGCTTTAGTTTGGATTTGCTTTAGTTTGGATTGTAAAACATCAGTGAGGAAATATGATCATTTTTCATGTATGAAAACAAAATATTCCTGTATGATCCAGGCTATAAGTCAAGTAGACAAAATCATTTCTTTGACTTTATAAAGTTATCTTTTGGATCTGGTGGGTCTAATGATAGACTAAGGATTCTGATCTAAGAATGAAAACCCTGCATTATCTAGCCCCATCACTGATGTGGATTCATGAATCATTTAACATCTCTCATCAAGGAGTTACTCTTCAAAAAATGTATTTTGCCTCTTCCTCAATTACAAAATACCCAACTCAATTAAGCTCATTCATTTAGTGTTTTTTAAAAATGTGATATTACACCGTGGGTTGTTATGGAGAAGTATAGAATTGTTCAAGTAGGTTCAACTGTTCAATAGATAAAATCACCATGTGCGCAATCTAATGAACAATTCATGGTAATAACTGAGAAACCCTAGGATTATTCTCATGCAGAATTTACAGGGAGAGAATGATGTTCACGGGTGAATGTGAGTCAGGCATGGCTTTGTGCAGGAAGGGTTTTTAACTGCTGGGAAATGTCACTCACTTCTCATCTCCTGCACTCGTTCTTAGTGGCTGCTCATTCACAGCAATTCCAGGTTGTGTAAAAGCTGCTTCAGATATGATGCTAAATATAAAGGTACAAATGAAATAATGGCAAGCAATAACTCACCCATGACCTAACACAGGGAACATAGCCGTCACGTCTTCTCCGGCATGCTCAGCCCTTGCATACCTTTCATCTGTCATTTGAGTTTAACACGTGCCCTCTTTTTAGGTCAAATTTCTCCTTTTTTTCCTAGCTATCCACAATGTCTCTAATATTTCTAGCTCTGTATCAAGATAGACATAAGTTAGAATTCTGATTCTGTTACTTATTTTCTATGAGCAGACTTGTACATTACAAATTGTATTTTGGCAACAGCAGGCAGAAGACAATAAGGGAGGGAGAGATCTGGAGAGAGAAAGAACAATTTTGAGATCATTACCAAACCCTAGGTAAGAGCTTAAGAGGATTTGAACTTAGACACAAAGAATAAAGTGGAGATTGACCCAGTGAATATTGATGAGAAGCCTACCTACGTTTGGTGAACACTTACATGTGAAGTGAGCCCAGTGAGGCTGTAGGAGCTCCACAAGCCTCAGGAACCTCCATGCTTGCCATGTGCAGGCTGGGAGCATGCAGCTTCCACTCTGTAGTCCGAGGGGGCAAGAACTGCTCCATCTCTCCCACAGTGTGTGTGTGTGTTTACGCACACGTGTGTCTGTGTTCCTACCAGCAGGAAACAGCAAGAGAAGACTAGGCTCCCTTTTTAAAGAACAGGTATAGTAAGTTGTATGCATTACTGTCGCTGACTTCAAGGGGAGAAATGGATGTGATCTTTATTTGAGTCCATCTGAAATGCAGGGTTTTATTAATGAGGAAGAAGTAGAGGACAGATACCGAAAATAAGTCTCTGTTGTGAGAAGAAACGGCAATTCCCCTGACCCCCAGCCGCCCAGCAGAGCAGAAGAATGAAAAAAAACTTGGATGTTTTTTTATGTCCTATTGGCCAACAGTAGATGAATCTATAGATAGAGATCCACACGTTTACACATATACACAGGCATATATAGGTAAACACAGGTGTATATGTGTGTGTTTGTGTGTGTGAGTTTGGGGACAACACTGTCTCAGCAAACAGCCCTACACCCTACCCTCATACCGACTTGAATCACACTTTTGGAGGAAGCTATAAAAGAAGCCAAGCGTTGGCTGGGCACGGTGGCTCACACCTGTAATCCCAGCACTTTGGGAGGCCGAGGCGGGCGGATCACGAGGTCAGGAGATCGAGACCATCCTGGCTAACAGGGTGAAACCCCGTCTCTACTAAAAATACAAAAAAATTAGCCGGGCGTGGTGGGGGGCGCCTGTGGTCCCAGCTATTCGGGAGGCTGAGGCAGGAGAATGGCGGGAACCCGGGAGGTGGAGTTTGCAGTGAGCCGAGATCGCACCCCTGCACTCCAGCCTGGGCGACAGAGCGAGACTCCGTCTCAAAGAAAAAAAAAAAAAGAAGCCAAGCGTTTAGGTTGTCTGACAACCACCCAGTGAGAAAGATAATTCTCAAACCAAATGATGCTTAAATTCTCTTTGATTTCAGCTGTAATGTTATTTTCTTTAAGTTGGGGTAGAAATGGAAAGATCTGGGAAGGAGCACAGAACTGCCAGGGTGTTACTAGAAACATCAAGTGCTCCTAAAACAGTAATAAGTAATATTATTTCAATCATTAAATTATTATTGAAGATATACTTACTTATATGTCTTAAAATTTTTTCGAGATATGCCTTTTATCCTTTCACAGTTCTTATGCTGCCCTCACTATCATTCGAAAATGCAATTTTCAAACTCATAATTAATATGCTAAATGTTCCACAAGTAAAATTATAATCTGCCAATTTTCTATTTGCAAAAATCAATTTCATACCTATTGAAACACCGGAATAAACCAAGAGCTCTTATCTGTAGCTGTATCCTGTTGTATATCCTAAGATTGAGTGTTACTGTTCTAGAATTTTATGGCTTTGTTGTTTTTTGAAAAACAAATCAAATTTAGTGCTTTGAGCCATTTCCTGTACCAGGGATTATGAAGTGTGAAAAAGAAAATAGGTTTAGTGAATCTCTACCGTTAGAATTCAGCATACTTGGGGAAGTAGCTGAGACACGTAAGCTTAGATATTTCAAGGTAGATGTATTTGGAAATTATAGTGAAGCTTTAAGTCTTAGGTGGCAGAGATAATAACCAGACAGGTCTCTTGTAACATTTTTTTTTTTTCTGGGAGATAAGAATGTTAATGAGGTCAGAGAGCAGTTCAACAATGGCATAATAAGTCATGCAGATTTTACACCGAAGCAAAGATGAAAAGGAGTGTAAGAAAGGAAGTAAGATTTTAACCTCTGGGTTTGAAAGGACTTCGCCGTCACTCACACTGGGGTTACCCATTTTAGTGTAAATAGCAGGACCAATAGCACTTGATTCTGCAGCTTCTGTTAGTACTGGTATTAAATTATCGCATTTTAAACGTCAGCAATTGCATATAAATGCATGCTCTGGGTCTCGTTGGTACAAATGGTCTCAGAAAGTTTATGACATGCTATGGGGAGGAAAAGAGAAGACTTATGTTGGCTTATAGTATCCACAGTTCTAAAGCAGAATGACTTTGTCAGCACAGAAATGCTTCTTCATTGTCATCAAGACTCTTGTGGCTTTTATAGCTGTTGCGTTTATGGATTGTAAGAACAGAAAGTCATCATATTCAGAATTTACCAAGTAATCAGTGAGACCAGGCAAACATTTTACATTATCATTTTAAAAGGCAATCTGGGGGGCTCATTGTAAGATATGTCTATTTTAAAATTATCTGGAGAATTTTGGCCAGTAATTATATTTTATGCTTCAAATATATAGTTCTCTTTTACCTATTTACCAATACAAATTTGGGATCAGATTATGAGTTCCTTGATAAGGAAGCATTTTATAATGATTAAATGTTATCTGGAGGAGAATTTCTACCATTTTGGAGTCGGTGTTAGAGGAAGCCAGTGGTGCACAGTCAGAGGGCAGGGCCTGGCCCCGTGTCCTCCTGCACACAGGAAAGTGTTTGACTCAGGACCCTCTGACAATTTAGACTTTCTCTCTTCAAGATTAAACAGTGGTTGAATTCATAACACCCAAGGACTCCTTTGATCTTACATATGATCAGAACAGGTAAATTAAGTGGAAAAACAAATAACAGTGAAGTGGAATGCTTGAAAAAATATATAGCAAATATTATGTAGCTATAAAAAGAAATAAAGTACTGATACATGTTACAACATGGTGAACCTCAAATACATTATGTTAAGCGAAATAGGCCAGCTACAAAACACTACATATTGTATAATTCCATTCATGTGAATACGTCCAGAACAAGCAAGTCTATAGAGACAGAAAGTAAATGAGGGGCTCCCCAGGGCTGGGGGAATTTCTCAAGGGGTAATGGCTAAGGGACCCAAGAGAGGTCCTTTTGGGGGTAGTGAAAAGATTCTAAAATTGATCATGGCAATAGATGCATAACTCTGTGTATACAGTAAAAGCCATTGAACTGTGTTCTTAAATGGGTGAATTGTGTGTTCTGTGAATTACATCTCAATAAAGCTGTTAAAAAATCACGTGGATTTAAGTGCCAAGGATAGATACTGGAAGAATGGAAATGGTCCCTTTTTACTGTGATGCCAGCCTCTGGTTTAAAGTGACTGGATTGTCTTTATTAATGAAGATGACCATTAGCATAGGAAATGCAAAATAAGTAGATTCATCTCAGTTACTTTCTTACTGCCTCCTACCAACTTTTTGCAGCACTTTTACCTGCTATGAGTGTTGCTGTTCTCACTAGATCTCATCAGACAATGAAGTCTCTATTGCAGGTCTCTTACATTCTATGCTTCTGCTTCAGCCATACCCACCCATCCAGCTATCAGCTGGACTCTATGTCCACAATGAGTATCAGTAATAAAAGCTAATCTGGAGAGAAGGTGACTCACAGCTAAGCAATAGTAAGAAATGTATTTGCATAACATACGCATCATCTAATTTCATTCTTACAGTTCTGTGACATGATTAGAGAAGGTATTATTATCCCCAGTTCACAGAATAAGGAATCAAGGACCAGGAAAGTTAAGTGTTTTCTCTAATGTCTAATTGCTATTACTTGCAAATCCTAGATCAGAATGTAGTACTATCTGGTATCAAAAACCATGCTCTTTCTTTCACATTATGCTGACTCTTTTACCAAAATGATAACCCTTTTGAAATGCTCTGTTCTTTTAAAATAGAGTTGTTATGTAAAACCTCCCAGCGAAAGAAATAGTCCAGAAAGCTTGAAGAGAAACTGAAATTTGAAAAATCTACCTAAAAAGGTGATAAAGGATTTTCAGTTTTGCAAAAAACGCAATACAGAGTGTCTTTGGAAAGAAAGTTCTCATATGGATTTAAAATATGATTCAATTTACAGAAGTCAGAGGTGATTGCTATGTTAAAATATGAAATAGCCTAAATTTAAGTCCTAGTTCTTAACCACCTGAGTAAATTGTGAAGCCCGCAGGAGCTTCAATTTTCTCAATAATAAAACATGAGTTTAGTTATATTTCATTCATTCATTCAACAAATATATGCCCAGTTGTTCTTCCAGATGGCATGAATCCAACAGTGAAGAAATCAGAATACGTTGCTTTTGTGAGGGGCAGCTGCTGATTTTCTCTGAGCTCCGTTTCCAGCCTTCACATGCTCTGCTATTCATCACAGGGTAAATTCTGACTATAGGAGGTACTGACAGAAGATTAGGGAAGAACAGGTATGGAAAAACCAAAGTATTTCTCCCAGTCACCCACCTTCAGTGAACCCTGCTTCTGTCAGGAAACCCGCCGTGATTGTCCATGTGGAAACCTTACCTCTTTCCATTGTGTCTGTAGCCGCAGGAGCAGTAACAGCTTCCCAAGCATGGCTCATGTCTGGTTAACTCATGATCCCCTTTCTAATAAAAATATACCTGTAGATCAAAAATCTTGACAAACCCTAAGCATGAGAAACACTAAGAAAAACATATCAAGGCACATTATAATAAGATTGTTGAAAATACATTAAGAGAAACTCTTAAATGCAGTCAGAGATAAAGAGAAACAAAAATGAGAAATCCTGCTAACTTTTTATCACAAATAATGAAAGCAAGACTGTGCCAAAAAGCAACAAGAGCAAAAGTCCCTCCCAACCTAGAATTCTGTATCCAGCAAAAATATCTTTCTAAATTGAAACCATTTACTCTTATGTCATTATTATGCATTGCATGCCTATGTCAAAATATCTCATGTACCCCATAAATATTTATACCTACTATGTATCCATAAAATTAAAAAGTAAATAAAAACATCTACTTGTGTGTTATTCAAAATTTTGATTCTTTTATATTTCAAGCATAAAATTGGAGCATACACAATTTTTAATTCTAGTTGGGGAAGAAAAACCAGAAGAAACATATTGGTGATTATTGGAGCAACTTCAATATTCTTTAGCTATTTACCCCTATTTTCTCAAAGAGTCCTGGACATTTGACCATTTCATCTCTTCATGGAGGCGCTTTTAGTACATTGTAACCTTGGCATTCCCATAGTTCTTGTGTGGTACTAGGTTGTCAACACTAGATATATTAGCTTTTTGAAGGCCTTTGATGTTTTCCTGGCTGTGTAGGTACAATATTTTGGTGCTTTTTCGTTGGATAGCTTTCATTTTACTCAAGTAGAGATCTGATTAATTTCAAGTTCGGCATTTAATGTCCAGTGCAAACTACAACTTTGGTTCCATCTGGGACACTGACAGCTTGGAGAGTTTCTGTGTTTTTGGAAAGAACTTAAGATCAGAAAAGCAAAATGGATAGTCTCAAAGACTTAACAGAGACACAAGTAAAAATTTTAAAATCACAAATTGGTCAACATTCAAAAAGAAAAACAAATTTTTGTTAGAGTTCTTATTTAATTTTTCTGTTGTTGTAAAGTTGAAGACTACTCGTACATATAAATACATTGAGATTTGTTTGTGAAACACAATAGTATTTCCATCAATCTTGGCATATTTCTTCCTGGAATTTTACTATTATAACACCTTAAAAAATAAAGGCTGCAGTTTTAGATACAACACCTCACAATTTTGGCAATATTTGACACTATGTATCATGTTTTCAAGGAATTTGTGAATAGGAAAAGATTAACCTTGATAACACAAAGATTTTCAATATGAATGGTCATGCTAGGTCAATTGGTGTATCAGACAACATTGGTTTATAGCAGAGTGAGCACCTGTCACAAATCCCCATGCTAAGTGCTGTGAGGAGCACTGTTGGGCACTAAAGGCTCAAATTTCCCTGTGTATATTAGAGTTTGTATCCTAGTATATTTAAGAAAGAATATTCTAGGTAAAAAAAATGAGTACTGTGGGGAGAGAAGAGGCAAAGAGAGATTAAGTGCAAAGTGATTTAAAACTAATTCTGCTTTCTTTTAACTTTTGGATTTGGGGCTTAAATCATTAGACCAAAAGAACACGGATCAAGTCGTTGTAACAAATTTAATTTGCTTCTTTGATGTCTCCTCAGAGGGCTAAATGTTTATTGACTTCTTGAAAAATGCTATGTGTCTTGCCAGACTTAGCTTACAAGTTTGGTTAAAGAGAGACTGACATGAGCATAAAGGAAGGGACATTGAAAGAGGCAGAGATGAAGGAAGAAATTGTAACTTACTCCTTTTATCCCACCCATCAAAGGAAAGACAAGTTGACAGTAAGTTTTCTTAAAAAAAAATTAACTGCTCTATAGTCATTTACATTCTTGATAATTTTCAGATAGTTTTAGTTGATACTTTAAATATTAAATAAAAATTGTTTGCTTATTTACCTGTATGAATATGTGCTGAAGATACTGAGTGAAGAAATTTGTTGGATTCCAAGTATTTTTCCTTAAAGGAAATATTTCAATGAGCAGAATAAATGTAAGTAAATATATCATTGCAAAATCATTTATATTATTTCAGAGAATATGGAAATTGAGCCTACTGTGTTTTTATTAGTGTGAAGCAGAGCATTAAAAATTTTCCTCTTCAGCCATTTGGTTCATCAGTTTATTCAGTGACATGTGTACTATATCTTGAGACTGATTATGACTCATATATTTACTTCTTTTCTGTAGACCTCCCCTGTGGACAGTATTTACTCTTTGGAGACAAAAGTTTAGCATTCAGTCTGTACATACTAAAAACATGATTTCTACAGAGGTCCTGGAAATAGAAAAGGCCACAATTTTGAGATTAGTTACCTTTATTATTACCTGTTGCCTCCCCCCACCCCAAATGCACAGGCACATGCACACCAAACTCAATGACTTCAAACTATAATCACTCACTATTTCTTACAAGTTCCCAGGGTGGATGGATCCAGGCAGGACAGGATCAGAAGTTGCAGTCTTAATTGCACCAACTCACGCATGTCACCAGCCGAGTGTAAGCCGTCTGGGTTGGGTTGGGGTCCTTGGGTGTGGCTCTGTCCCACTTGTCTTTTATCTTCCTCCTGAGACCCCCAAAAATGGCTGAGGCCGAGACACAGAAGGGCAAGCAGAGGTACTGTGAACCTTGTGAAGCCCATACTGTCATCTCACCTCATCCTATTGGCTAAAGCAAGTCTGAATCCTGGACCCAGAGTCACCTATTGTGGAAAGAATAGCAGACACACGTGGCAAGACAAGGACACAGACAAGGATGACTGAATGGAGTGATTGATGCGGTCTATGGAATGTGTGCTGCAAATGGAAGCATCTCTAAGGCACATTTGAGAAAGTATCAGCCATGAATAGTCCTCTAAGATTAAAAAATCTACTTCCCAAACCTTTGTAACTAGATCCCAGCACTCAAGACCTTCGCTGGGCATGTCTTTGTTTTTTGTCTCTTTTTTTTCGTGCCAACTTTGGAAACAGAAATGTCCTATAAGTGGACTAGTCACAATATTGTATATGCCTACAGCATAGAGTTATGGGGGATCCTATTTGAACGCTGCATTTTGTCACTGTATCATGAATCTATGCATCTTATGTCCCAGTCACAATACTACCATCATTTTGATGCTACTCTGTTAACTCACTTTACCAATTCTGCTGCAAATAGGAAGATTGAAACAGACCCGGCTGGGCGTGGTGGCTCACGTCTGTAATCCCCGCACTTTGGGAGGCTGAGGTGCATGGATCACCTGATGTCAGGTGTTCGAGACCAGTCTGGCCAACATGGTGAAACCCCGTCTCTACTAAAAACACAATAATTAGCCAGGCGTGGTGGAGGACGCCTGTAGTCCCAGCTACTTGGGAGACTGAGGCTGGAGAATCGTTTGAACCCGGGAGGCGGAGGTTGCAGTGAGCCGAGATTACGCCATTGCACTCTAGTCTGGGCAACAGAGCGAGACTCCGTCAACAAACAAACAAACAAAACCACAGCAACAACAACAAAACCCCAAAAAACAGACCTAACAGTCCCGTAGACAGTTGTTTTTGGATAAACGTAGAAATCGACCATTCTGGTCTTAAAGCTTGAAACTATCTGGTTCTATAAGTAGTCATTTGTTTTCTATACATTTCCAACAATTCATTGTTTGTTCTATTGATCTAAAGTTCCTAATATACCTTTGTGAAGCCTCCAAAAATTGATAGAGGACATCAGCCATTTAAAATTTTGTTGGTTTTCCTTACCTCTGATGATCTAGAGAGCTATGAGAGCTTTAAGGTTCCTGGCAAAAAAACTGCATAAAAGATTTTTTATAACTTCTGAACAGAAATAGTACATTATTTATTATTTGAAAAAGTAGGTGAGAGTAAAAATGTTTCAATGGTATTTATTTCCAAGGTAATTCAATACAGTCAATAATTTGAGTTGGTTTCAGATCTTTTCTTTTAATGAGGAAAACCTGTTACACATGCAAATTTAATGTTCAGGAAATATTGGCCTTTTCCTTAAGGAAATTATAGTGATTGGGATTTTCCTCAAACTATTGTAGTTGTGTTTATCATTATTACCATTAAGTGACATTCATTTGGATGAAGCAATAATAGTATTTAAAACATGTGAGACTTTGTAGTGATTTCTGATCCTAAGCTGTTTATCACTGGTGGGCCTTCATGTGTGTACCTGGAAACAAGATATGCACCAGTGTTGCCCTGCTTTGAAAATGTTGGTGGTCGGCACTGCATCGAGAAACCAATCTTGGAAAAGTGTGATGATGCTCTTTTAAAATAGCTGAAAATAAATTGCTGTGTGCTTTTCCTTACTTTATCCCTGTTTTGTTGTATAGTATTTAAGTGAAAGGAGATGATTAATTCTTATACTGAATTTCCAAAACTGATATTTGCATTTACCATTTTTTAAATGACATTTTTTCCAAAACTGATATTTGCATTTACCATTTTTTTTAAAATGACAACAAGAAACATTAGTTGTCTTACTTTGAAAAGTTTGGCATAGAACCTGTCACGTTTTGATGCTTTTGGTCACAGTTCTGTCACTAGAATCCTAGCAATTATGCAATGAGTAACCTAACTACTTTAACACAGTGGTTTGAAGCGCTGCAGGCAGTAACCCGCAAATGCCAAATCACAGTGTTTTAGTTTGTAACATGTTAGAGGGAATGATAGGACTTTCTGTAGTATAAACATCCTATTAACTAACGCTTGTGCTGTTAAGTAACAGGGCTTTGACTCTTGGGTTGAAGAAGGCACCAATTCCTGCTAAATTTTGAGCATTGACAGCAGTCAAAGGTTTCTCTTCAGACTCTGGAGAAGGTGACGATCACAAGGAACTGTTTCGTGAGACACAGGCCAGAAATTAAAACTACTTAATCCCTCTAGGCCCAGGGATTATTGTGGAAGAGGTAGTCATGTGAGATTGTCAGGGCTGATTTTTGAGGCATAGGATTAGTTCAGAGTTTTTCTATACATTAAACAACATTAATATCAAAAGCTCATTGATACAAGAATAGTGTCTGGACCCATGTCTTGGAATAACAGTTTTCTTGAAGCATTGATCTGCTGTTTAATAGAAAATTGGAAAAAGGTTACAAAAAGTTTATAGAAATTGGCCAGGCACAGTGGCTCATGCCTGTAGTCCCACCACTTTGGGAGGCCGAGGCTGGTGGATCACGAGGTTAGGAGTTCAAGACCAGCCTGGCCAAGATGGTGAAACCCCGTCTCTACCAAAAATATAAAAATTAGCCGGGCATGGTGGCGGGTGCTTGTAGTCCCAGGTACTCGGGAGGCTGAGGCAGAGAATTGCTTGATCCCGGGCGGTGGAGGTTGCAGTGAGCTGAGATGGTGCCATTGCACTCCAGCCTGGGTGACAGAGTGAGACTCTGTCTCAAAAAAAAAAAAAAAAAGTTTACAGAAATCTGTACCTTATAGTCAAAGTGGTTAAATTAGATAGATTTGTTTATAATATTTTATTAAAATTAGCTTTAACATTAATACCATACCATTCAAAGGAAAATTTTGGTTTTTTTAAACAAAATATGTAATATTGAGAGATAAAAGATTTTGTTTACTTTTTGAGTAAATTGCAGAGAGAAAAGGGAGTGGGGAGAGACAGATTCAGTTGGCCTCATGCTGTCTTTATTAGGTCTTTGTTTGGGAAACAGAGTCTCTATCAAAACGTAAATGTTTTTGATTTATCACTTTGGCTAAATGAAGGACTATTTTATAGTGACTTGTGATCCTATTTTGTGATATTAAGTGTCTTAAAACTTTGATATTTGGTAAACTTTCTAGGAGTAAAATTTCAAGTTCTGAATTCAGTCTTTTTGTCCTCAAACTAACTTTTCTAGATATTAGGTTCCCTGACATGCAAGACAGACATAATAGGCTTATTCATTGTGTTAGAATTATGCAGGAAGCATTGTCAAATCTGAGGTGGTGTTTATCTTCCTTTGGGTTATATTTATATAAATGTGGTGATAATATGTGTTCCAGGATTGTATGAGATTCTTAAAATTCTGGTATTTTTAAATATATGTTGTCAGTAATAATTATAATTATTAAGTTGTTGTATGCCACAGAAATAACCAAATTTTCTTGTCAACTGTGTCTCTAACTATGGCTGTCTCAAGACTTTTTGTTATCCACAATTGTTGTTTTGCTTTGATCCTTCTCAAAAAGTGACTTACAATCAGCCACAGTCCAAACATTGCTTCTTTGGAAGAGTTCATAAAAAGGACTCTTGAATGGAAGTTTCTGGTAACTTTGGAGATTGTGCCATTGGATTAGAGAGAAAACTTCTAGGCCCCTAATTGAAAGGCTGTTGTATAAAGATTGCCACTAATCCAATATGAAGCAGAACAGGAGCTGATTGCATAGACTGAACTAATAAGGACTGAGATAATCTTTTATGATTTTTATGTTTGAAATATTGCTGTTTGTTTTTGTTTTGTTTTTCAGAGTCTGAATAATTTTTTCCTTTTGAGATATTTACAGGCTTTAAGTATGCTTTAAGTGTACCGAATAGAGTATACTTTTATAAACAGAAATTGAGGCCTATTTCTCTCTCTGCTCAATTTCTTCATAATTTGTAAACTATTTGTGAATATTCTTAACTCATGGCAATGTGTTTGTTTGCATAATAACAACATGTTTGCTTTTATAATGGACCCCCCGACCCCGCCCGGTTGGAGGAACTGGTTATTTCCCAGGGCTTTGACTGAAATGACCTTGTCAGAGGCTCCAGCAAAGCAAGTCTAGGAATGCCTATGTAGACAATGATCTTGTTGCATTCTGTGTGAGTAATCAGGCTAGTATATGGGACTGAAGCTTATTTTGCAGGTAGATTGGTCCTGCTGTGATTTTGAAACCATCCCCAAGAGTCCCATAGACAGTTGCTTCTGGATAAACATAGAAATGGGCCCTTCTGCTGTTAAGGCTTGAACCTTACATTGGTTTTATCTGAATTCCTTCCTCAAGAAATGACCTTCAGGCCTCTTACAAAAAGCATCAAAGAACCCAGATCACCACACCAGATGCCATACCCCTCATTCACCAGGATCACTTCCTTGCCCCTCCCGAGTTCCTGTTTTCTTACACATTGTTACATTCTTTCCTGCTATATAAACCCCTGCTGCATCACCAAATTAAAGCCTTCTTCCTTGGCAACACTGTTGTCTCAGCGATTGGCTTTCTGTCTGGGGAGCAGCAGGACCCAGACCAAATCACTGGTGTTTCAGTAACAATTTGTCTCTGGTGGATGTGGGGGGGCTGGAGAGAGAAATACTGTGTTTCAGAACAAAACTCTAATATGAGATTAACCTTTGATTCCTGAGTGGCCATGTGGTCACCCATGGTATGGAGCTGCCCATGACACCCCTCCTCAGCAGGAAGCAGCCAGGAAGATCAACAACCAGGTTCCCCATGATTGAGGAATTGATAAATAGAAAGGGAGGCCTGAAACTGATCCAGGAGTCCCATAGACAATCATGTTTGGATAAATATAGAAATTGATCGTTCCGGTTTTTTTTTTTATTTGATGGAGTCTCACTCTATTGCCCAGGCTGGAGTGCAATGGCACAATCTCAGCTCACTACGACCTCCGCCTCCCGGGTTTAAGCGATTCTCCTGCATCAGCCTCCTGAGTACCGGTGTGCACCATCACGCCTGGCTACTTTTTGTATTTTTAGTAGAGACGGGGTTTCACTATGTTGGCCAGGCTGGTCTTGAACTCCTACCTTCTGATCCACCTGCCTCGGACCCCCAAAGTGCTGGGATTACAGGCATGAGCCACCACGCCCAGCCGTGGGCCACTGTGACCAGCCAATCCTTCTGGTCTTAAAGCTTGAAACTTACATTTGTTTTATCTGAGTTCCTTCCTTGGGAAATGACCCTTCAGACCTCTCAAAAAAAGTATCAAAGAACTGAAACTCACTAGATCATCACATCCAGACAATGAGATGCCAGATCCCTCATTCATCATGATTGCTTCCTTTCCCCTCCCTAGTTCCTGTTTTCTTACACGTTGTTACAATCCTTTCCTGCTATATAAACTCCTAGTTTGAGTAGGTCCCAGAGATAGATTTGAGACTGAGCTGCCATCTCTTGGCCTGCAGCACCTGATTAGAGCTTCTTCCTTGGCGATACTCATCACCCTAGTCGTTGGCCTTATGTGTTGGGAGCAGCGGGGACCTAGACCAAACCCCTGGTGTTTCAGTAACAATATGACAAAAATCTCATCTAAAGAACAGTCTTCTTTATGGCCATCCCTTCCTTCACCTTCCGATTCTTCTTGGAAGCCTTGTTAAAGAAAAGCAGTAAAGATTTGGGAATTAGAAAGCAAAAGAGAAATTTTTTTCTTAATAGGATTCATGGAATGGAGGAAGGACAAAAATACCACAAAGGAAGGGAGGTTTCCAGAAGAAGTTGCCCTTTCATTTGTGTTTCATTTCCTTTCCCAGATTTAGCTTGTGCCACATACAATTTAAAGGTACTCCTTTGCCAATGTAATGTTTAGACCTGTTACTTCGCATCCTCTCTGAATAAATAGCAGTTGTTAGAAAAAGACTTAACTCAAAAGCTGTAGGGGAGACCCTAGTTCTATGTTATTCACAAATGCTCTGCACTCATTGTGCTAATAGAAAGTTGTAAGAATCCTATTAAATACATATATTTTTACCCTATATTTTTATGTATTTATTCATAAAATGGAAACTAAAGCTGTGCATACAACAGCAAAAACAATATTTTGGTGCTGATTATTGCTTCCTAGACTTTAAAAATTTTCTACTGTAATAATTTTCAATAGATTAAAATATCATCATCTATGACAGCCACACAGTTTTATATTTAATTTGTTTTTAAGCAACCAGAAATTAGTATTAAAGTTTTGGGTTTTTTCAATTATAAAAATAAGGAAATAACATGATCAATCTAGTTAGCGATATTTCTTGACAGTTAGGTTTTTTTTTTTCCTTTTTAAATCATGTATCTTAAAATTACTGACTTTGGAACAGTAGGGGAACGTGAATTAGAAAGTTTTATAAAAATTTCAAAAAATGTTAGCATTAAAGTCATGGTTTTATGTTTGTAATTCATTCAAAAAGTAGTGTTTTCTGCTTATACCCACAGAAATCATCTCTGAATAATAAATAATCTTTACAGTTTTCAAAGAACTTTCAGCTGCATTTCACTGAGGTTCAAAGAGGTGACTTGTTCAAAGTTACCTAAAAAATAGGATGTGGAGCCCACATTTGCATCTGATTTTAGACCTCATGTTCTAAAAAAATGGTGTACAAACTCCATAACCTTGCAAAACCTCTCCATTCTTGTGATTTCCTCTCAAATTTTTATAAACTGAGGTTATGCCGCATACACAGCAAGATTTTCCTCAGATGTTATAGATGACATGTTCTGTCTTTACAACTAAATTGGCACTTCATTACAGGTCAAGATCTCATGTGCAGGCTGTTACTTTAGTATCTCTCTTCTGTACCCCAAAGCCTTTAACGTCTTCAAGCTTATCATCGGCTCAATAACATTTGGTGACTGAATATAAAGAAATGAATCATCATTCATGTAACTTACAGCATTTCAAAGTTCAAGCTAATTTGAAGTTTCTTTGATTTAGTACAGAGGACTTAACATGTGTGGGTACATGTTTCTAAATCATCAAGGATCTTGTAACAATAAATGGTACTGAGTTTTCAGAATATGTGAGAGTTTGATCTAAGGAGGGTTTTCAGAATTTTGTTGAATCGTTATCTCCCCTGAGGCTTAAGTTAATGCTTTCTGTTCCCATTCACTAAAGTTCCTAAATCTGCTTCTTAAAAAATAAATTTATGTTTTTCTGCTCTGAATGTTGAAAGGCTTCCAATAGGTCCTGAAAGCACAGTATTTCATTTCCTGGAGTTTCAATGAACTTTTTTTTTCTTAATAGCTCCGTGAAACTGGAGAATAATTACTTTTTCAGTTAATGTTAAACTGATGGCATTTTTAAACGAGAAGCTGGCAGCAAATATTATGTCAAGCTATAGTGCATTAAAGAGTGGTTTGGCCACTTTGCAACTCACCTCTGAAATATCAGACTTCCTTTGTCGAGCCAAGTACAGCATTAAGAAATCACACCGTAGAGGTGGAGGGGATGCTGGGATTTTTTGCTCCAGGCATAGAGTCTGTTTCTCTGCACACTACTAAGTGAGCCTGACTTTCCAATCCTTTTTACAACCCGGCAGTTCTTTTGCAAAGATCCGAAGTTCCATTTACTCACAGGCTAACAAATATGTAGATATAAATAGGTTAACATTAATAAGTCATTTAAATGCTTTACTGTTTCTCTGGTTTGTTTAAAAATTGGGGCAAATTCAGGATCTTTCCCCATACCTTTTGCAATGCCTTAAGAAGACAGGAAGGTAGTATTTTCCAGCAGTAACTCAGGCATCAGTGCGTGCTATACTGATAACTGAAATAAACTGTAGCAGAACCAACCCTTTCACTTAAACTTAACAGATATTTCAATCTATCGGGACACTTCGGAAAATATACTTTCTTGAGAGCAAAGCTCTGTATTCCATGCTTTGAAAGATATTAAGTAAAGATGAAACAATTGAGGTTACAACAACTACATAAATAACTATATTTAATATATAGTAGAAAGTATTAAATTTCATAATAGATGTACAGATAAAAGGCTCTGTATGTGGAAAAGAAAAAGATGGCTTCCTCTTCGAAGGGTTTAGGAGATGGTGAGGGAGGGATGAGGACAGAGTCAGAAGGCCTGGTTCAGAATTTGTTTTCACATGGCTAGAGCAGAGGGTTTCTCCCAGAGACAGACACACAGGAGACAAACTGTGCAGAGAGAGAGAGAGAGAGATCAATTCAAAGCCATAAATCTATAGTTAGTGATCAAGCTTGGGGTCACAGAGTTGGGAGATCAGAGCTGGGAAGATCAAAATGAGACCTGAAAGGATTAGAATTAGAATAATTTGGGAACAAGTAAAGACAGGTACACAACCTCAAACACTAAAAACAGTTCTTGGGACACTGGATTTGAGGTACTTGGTTTGGGCCGTCTTCTTAATGGGGCAGGAGGATCATGTGGAGATGTTATGTGAGGAATGAAAGGTTATGCCCCATTCTGCTCGTACTGATGGCTGTGTGTGTGTGTGTGTGTGTGTGTGTATCTGTGTGAAGAAGGACTGTGTCATTTGTGCTACAGTTTATGTTTGGAATAAAGTTTTATGTGATCCAGAAAACGGTTCACAAATGAATATATCATTCCGAATCTAAAAATCACGTTAAGTCCTATATTACCTATACTGTTAAGGTTCAGGCTATCAACAGGAAAACACAATTTCTTAATCTCATCTTTAACTGGATAAATGCGATTTTAGTGGACATAGATTCTCTAAATATATGAAAGATACAAAGGAGGCAACTGGATAATTGGTGTACTTAGAACTTGGTTCTGTTATCTTCCTTGTAAGAACTTTATTGAGGTCTGTTTTGCATATCATAAGAGTTCAGCCATTGCAGGTATACAATTCAATGACTGTTTTGTAACTCTGTGGCATGATAGGAATATCACCATAAATCGATCTCGGAGCATTTTTTCATGCCCCATCTAAAATCCCTACTGCCTATTTACAGTTAATTCTTTTTCACACTTTAATCCCCAGGCAACTACTAATCTAGTATTGATCATTAAAAATGGAATCCACAGTCTGTGGTCTTTTGTGACTGGCTTCTTTCACTTAGGGCAATGTTTTTGAGGTTCATCCATGATGTAGCATGTGCCAGCAGTTCATTCCTTTTTATTATCCAATGCTATTTCATCATATGAATAGACCATATTTTTATCCATTCGCCAACTGAGGGGTGGTCAAGTTGTTTTCAGGTCCTGGCTTTTATGAATAATGCTGTTATAAACAATGATGTGCAAGTCTTTATGTAGATAGATGTTTCTTTTCTCTTGGACAGATACTTAGGAGTGGAATTGCTTGGTGATATGGTAGGTTTATGCACAACATTTTGCGGAAATGCCAAATTATTTTCCAAAGGGGCTGAAATGGTTTTATTATCTTGATGATGATGAAGACAATATCTGCTACTACTATTTCTATGTGATGTGGGCCAAGATTAAGTTAAAAATTACATATATAAATATATATATGTATATAATTTTCCATTCAATTCTCACAAGAATTCCTTGTAGTAATCACCAATATTATTATTCCCATATATACATCTTGGGTACTTTCACTATGTTTCTGATTTCAGTTGCTCCCCAGATTGGTAGTCTGCTATTTAACAAATATACCTAATACATTTAGGGAAAAGATACCATGTGATCTAAAATAAAACAGGGAAGTATCAATATTTGTTGGTATTAGGAAGCTGGGCAATTTTTGAACAATTCTAAAGTCATGGATGGATGAACTGAATTAGATGAGTGAAGAGGCACATGTCTGCCTTGGGTGGCCAATTTATTCAAGAAATGTACTGCATTTTAGAAGATGGGGAATCAGCCTGACACCCTGGAAGTGTCTATGGTTGCTACTGTTCTAGGCTGATTGTAACTCAATCTTGGCACACATCAGCTCAGTAGAATGACTAGATGAATTCTTTGAGGTCAGAGACTGGTCCTGTTTATTGTTGTATCACTGGTGACTAGATCAAAATAAGGACACAATGTATATTTGGTTGATTATATATGGCATCAAATGAATATGCATTTTCCAGGCGTGGTCTCAGTGGTGCCAGAGTTACATCATGGTGAGTCCAAATCAAACAGAAAGTAGCAACAACCCCGAGTATCCAGACTACAGGACTGATGCTTTACAACTGTTACAACTCTAAATTCATTCCAGCAAGGTGGCGTCACCTTTGTGCTTTAAATTAGCCATTATGAATTTTTGTCCCAAGGCTAAACTAAATCTCTGCAGGTACTTGTATTGCATGCAGTCACATATTTCTTCTCGTAGAAAAACCTAAGTTAAAGATAACTCAGCAATGTGGAGCTTAGAGTGCCACATGCCTCTGTTGAGAGGGAAAGAAGAGAACATCCTACATGAGTGTACTGTGTTAAATGAAACAAAGTAGCATCGGATAAAGTCATTTTTTTTTCATGCCAGTTAAGGTTTAGGCTTAGATCCTCATATCTTCTCCTATATTAATCTTTTTAATATTAAGGAGCTTTAACTTAATAAATACTTAATAATGTTCTCTCTTTTTCTAATTGACTTTGAAAAAAGGCAAATAAACAATGGCAGATAATTAGGGCCAAAATTTATTATGACATTGATTTACTTCATGATTAAAGCTATAAGAAATGTTGGAAAGACAGCTCATATATATCTCTATATATGGACTATATATAGGTTTTATATATATATACATATATATATACACACACATATATATATACATATATATATATATATATATATACACACACACACACACATATGCGAGAGAGAGAATGTAAAAAAATGCAGCCAGGAAAAAATGCTGGGAAAATTATACCAAAATGCTAACAGAAGTTGTTAGGATCTTGCAATTGGGAGCATCTCTTTTTTTTTTCTTCAACTTTTATTTTAAGTTCAGGGGTACATGTGTAGGATGTGCAGGTTTGTTACATGGGTAAACATGTGTCATGGTGGTTTGCTGCCCAGATCATCCCATCTCCTAGATATTAAGCCCAGCATCCACTATCTATTCTTCCTGATGCTCTCCCTCTCCCTGCACCCCTCCACAGGCCCCAGTGTGTGTCCTTCCCCCATGTGTCCATGTGTTCTCATCATTCACCTCCCACTTATGAATGATTGCATGTGGTGTTTGGTTTTCTGTTCCTGCATTAGTTTGCTGAGGATACTGCTTCCAACTCCATCCATGTCCCTGCAAAGGACATAATCTCATTCCTTTGTATGGCTGCATAGTATTCCATGGTGTATGTGTGCCATATTTTCTTTATCTTGTCTATCACTGATGGACATTTAGGTTGATTCCACGTCTTTGCTATTGTGAATAGTGCTGCAGTGAACATACATGTGCATGTATCTTTATAATAGAATGATTTATATCCCTTTGAGTATATATCCAGTAGTAGGATTGCTGAGTCAAATGGTATTTCCACCTCCAGGTCTTTGAGGAATTGCCACACTGTCTTCCACAATGGTTGAAATATTTGCACTCCCATTTACAGTGTAAAAGCATCCCTTTTTCTCCACAACCTTGCCAGAATCTGTTGTTTTTTGACTTTTTAATAATAATGCCACTCATTCTGACGGGCGTGAGATGTTATCTCATCGTGGTTTTTCCTTGATGATCAGTGATGTTGAGCTTTTTTTCATGTTTGTTGGCCACATGTATGTCTTCTATTGAGAAGTGACTGTTCATGTCCTTTGCCCACTTTTTAATGGGGATATTTATTTTTTTCTTGTAAATTTGTTAAGTTCCTTGTAGACTCTTGATATTAGACCTTTGTCAGATGGATAGATTGCAAAAAATTTTCTCCCATTCTGTAGGTTGTCTCTTCACTCTGATGACAGTTTCTTTTGCTGTGCAGAAGCTTTTTAGTTTAATTAGATCCCATTTGTCAATTTTTGCTTTTGTTGCAATTGCTTTTGGTATTTTCTTCATGAAATCTTTCCCCATACCTCTATGTCCTGAATGGTATTGCCTAGATTTTATTCTAGGGTTTTTATTGTTTTGGGTTTTACATTTAAGTCTTTAATTCATCTTGAGTTAATTTTTGTGTATGTCGTAAGGAAGGGTTCCAGTTTCAATTTTCTGCATATGGCTAGCCAGCTCTCCCAGCACCATTTATTATATAGGGAGCCCTTTTCCCATTGCTTTTTTTTTTTGTCAGGTTTGTCGAAGATCAGATGGTTGTAGGTGTGCAGTCTTATTTCTGAGTTCTCTTTTCTGTTCCATCGGTCTGTGTGTCTAAGAAAATCTTCTTTTTTCTGTTTTCCAGTTTCTGTATGTGGTTACATCAAATAGAACAATAAATAATGATGAAATTAATTATTAACTCCTAGGCTAAAAAGAGATCTTTGGAGTGTAGCAGTGCGATCGTAGCTCACGGAAACCCTGGCCTCCAGCAATCCTTCTATCTTGGCCTTCCAAAGTGCTTGAATTACAGGTGTGAGTCACTGTGCCTGGCCCTAGGTTTTTTGTTTGTTTGTTTGTTTGTTTGTTGTTGTTGTAAGTAGCTTTCATTGATTGTTAAGCATGTGCCATATAGGATGTGTCCATACATCGTATCATTTAATTCTATTACTATTTCCATGGCACAGATATTACTATTTCTTTCATTTTAAGGAGTAGGAAATTGTGGCTTATATAATTAATTGTGCTAAGTCAGGTTAAGTAAGGAGTTAAGTATATCATTGAGTAAAACTCCAGTTCTGATTGATTCTTAATCAAGGCATAACCTCTTAGCTCTTGTTGAGGGCTCAAAATAGGAACCTCAAATAGGAACTAAGGACTGACTAATAAACTTGAGACCTCATAAATTTAGTGTCTTGGGGAAAAATGTGTTCTTTGTAGATTTTGGTTCTCATAAACAGAATTTTCATATGTCTGAGTTTTTCACTTGTAATCGGAATATTTAGCAACATGAAGTCAGCTTCGTGGGATCGGAAGTCAGAGAAGGCAAAAGTTTTTTGCATGTTTCCTCATGACTAATTTTAATTGTCTACCCCGCCCAATTCTAAATTGCTATCACATTCTTGCCTGACCTCAGAGATCACTCAGATTTCTTGGGGACAAAATTTGCTGGCCATATTTAGTATTCCTCGGCAATTGTCCATCTTCCAAGTAGGAGAGTTTAGGGAAATGTGCACCCTCTGTACACAAGGGAACACGAGGACCCTTTCCTGCTCAGTGAATCGTAAGGCAAATTGTTCCCGTAGCCCTAATTCAAGGGCAATGACAGCCAGATCATATGGAACCTTTCCAGTGGAGCCTTCGCAGAGTGGGTGGGTGGCATTTTCTTTCTCTTTCCTTGGGACCACCTGACTCACCGTGTCTGATTGGCCACCCTCTAAGAACAACTCTTAATGACAGCAACAGCCTTTGTCTGACAGCAAACAGGTTTCTCTGAGCCAATGTGTTTGGCCTGCAGATGAGCCCAAAACAGCTTTACACTAGAACAGTTGAATTCGTCTTTAAAAAAAATTTGTTTGTACTGACTGTTTGGAATTTGAATGGCAGGGGTAGGTGAATCTTGCTGGTGGCTGTCAAGTAAGATAGTGTTAATCTGAGTTAGATGGTTAAACAGGGAGCATAATTCAGGGAAAAAACTTCTTTTCATGTGAAATGTTAGCACTTTCCATCTTGGTGAGGGTTTCCTGCTCATTCCTTTTGAATTGATCTGAGATGTTTGCTTTGGTTTTAAAACGAAAACAAAAATAAAGAGAAGAAGCCCATATAATGTCTTCAACTCTCTTTTTACATAGTAGACTAGCTAAGAGTGCTGATGGAATTAAATAAAGAACAGTGCAACTTCCATGCTGCTTAAAACCATTTATAACACAGCGCAAAGGCACCAGGATATGTTCAGCATTGTCTAATTTAGAAAAATGAAGAGCCGAGTTGGGAGGAATAATGACCATCAGATCACAGTGTAGAATTGTGGTGAGTAAAAGCACAGCCTGTCTTTCTTTCACGGGCCACATGCAGTCTTCTCTTTGAATTGTCAGAATTTCACCAAGTAAAAGGCACTCACGGCCTCAATCCCCAAATTCATGTTCCCTGTTTCAACTGCCCCAAACATATGCAATTTGTAACAATTTACCCAATAATAAATAAATGATCTTATTGTGATGAAACAAATGGCCTTTAATCATGGAATTTTCATTGTATCTTTAATGAACATTGATTACCATCATGATTGTAATGATTGTGATCTGTTACAATAAATTTTCAAGTGAACAGTGCTACACCTGCAAGCAGCCAGGGAAGATTTGAAATCAATCCAGCAACAAAAGTTATCTTTCTAACCCTCCACGTTCTCCACTGCTATTTGTTTTGAAAGGGATTTGAAATGAACATTAAACATGTCATAAAACTTGCTTTTTGTGCTCAATAATTTATTTCTTGTTAGAACCATCTTTCAGGCTAATTAAGATGAATTGTTTGTAATTAACAGAAACCTGGCATTCATAGATTGGCTTGAAGTCTGAATTTTAAATGACTAAAAGAATAGGAACCTTGAAATTAGAAAATGATTACTTACTCTGTAATTTGCTGCCCAAGCGAGTACCTGTTCATGATGTAGATTTCCACAAATATTTAGCTTCTATTGTCTCAAGCAATACTAATACTGAAAAGCAAATCTTAAGGTTAAAAAAATGTCTTTAGAAAAGATCACAGATTCAAGTTGAGTACATCTTGAACAATTAGAACATTTCTCTGAAACTGGTTAGTTGACTTCTTCCAGATATATGTTTCTTTCCTTTTCCATTCTTTCAGATTTTCTTCATTTCTTCAATTTCTAGACTAACGACATTTTAGATGGGAAAGAATGTCAACTGATTCAACTTGGTGATCTGGGTTAAATAACATATTTTTCTCTACTATAAAGACATAGGGTTGAGCTAGATGATCTTTTAAGGCCCCTTACAGCCCCTAAATTGCAAAATTCCAACTACTTTTTCTTCATCCTTTTGTGTTCTCTTTGTACTCTGAGTAATTCTTTGGGCCAGGTTTGCTGTCTATGAAGATCCAACCCAGTGGTTCAGAGACCATTAACTTTCAGATTGCTTGGCCACGTCCCAGGTCCTCAGGATTAATAGGTCCAGGGCAGCCTTAGGAATCAGCATGTTGAGAACCCACTTGTGTTGATTCTGGGGTAGATATTCTGTGGACCCATGCCTATGGACCAAACAGTTTACTTCCTTGCTTCCTTGTTTACAAGTTTTACGTAATAACACACCATCAACAGCTGGCCTTGTGTTGAGCATCATCTATTATAAGCAAATAAAATTTAGCAAATACCATGAAAGGCAATTTTTAAAGAATTCTATTTAATGAAGATGTCTATTTTTCTTATAGTATTTTATAAAGGAGCATAAAAGAGTGAAGATACTGAAACAATGAATAAAGATTCAGTTCTAACTACCAGAAAAAGTCATTTATCAGTCTCTGTCTGGAGAAAAGTATGGCTCAAGATCAAAGATTCCATGTGGCCTGGCCAGGTTTAAGTGGAAAAAGCTAATGAATTTATAGTTATACCTAATGAATGCATAGTTAGTTTAAGCCATCAGAAATGAGAGGGTACACTGTTTACATCTTATCATATGATGTTCTAAAGGGTTTCAGGTATCTGGAGTTGAGCTTCTTGGGTTAACTCGAGTGGGCAGAATTCTGGCTGGTAGGGAGAGCTGAGTGATCTCATTGACAGGAGTCCAGGGCCCACAACGGCCTTCTGTGCCTTGTCCATGCAGACTATCCCTTGTCCATGTGGCCACCTTGTGTGCTGGTCCGTCCGTCACTGTTTTATATAGGAAATCCAGTACCATCCACTTTCCTCATCTTGCAGACTTTTACTGATGGTCTAAGGAAGGGTGATGTGCTGCATACTCCTCTGACTTCTTTATCCATATCTCCACTATATTTTCTCTCACAGTTTTAATTATTTATTTATTTTTAATTTTATTTATTTTGAGATGGAGTCTTGCTTTATCACCCAGGCTGGAGTACAATGGTGTGATCTCAGCTCACTGCAACCTCTGCCTCCCAGGTTCAAGTGATTGTCCCACCTCAGCCTCCCGAGCAGCGGGGATTACAGGTGCCTGCCACCACGCCTGGCTAATTTTTGTATTTTTTGTAGAGAGGGGGTTTCACCATGTTGACCAAGCTGGTCTTGAACTCCTGACCTCAGGTGATCTGCTCACTTCAGCCTCCCAAAGTGTTGGGATTAAAAGCCTGAGCCACTGTGCCCAGCCACTCTCACCCTTTAAAAATCTTTAAAGTAGAAATTGCTCCCTTGTTTCAGAAAGGACAGTCTTAGACACATGACTTCTTCTAATCATGATGTTTTCTAGGTAATTATGGTGCTGCCTGAAAAAAAATTCTGCTGAATCTCTCTCCTCCACCGCCTACCCATGGGGCCCCTGACATGTGAATATAGTTTGGAATGCTACTTTATTAATTGTTTTAATTCTAATACTTCTCAAACCCTTTAATGGGCCATTAAATATTGTGTATCTCCATGCATGGAGAGAAGGAGAAGTGTAACGAGTTATATTAAACAGATGGAACTTTGTTTCATAGAGCCTTTAACGACATCTTGCATAATACCAGGATCTCATGGAGCACAGTTTTAGAGAATTTCTCTTGAGAAAGAGAAAGAGAAATTTTCCCTTATGTGCTTTGAGGGAATATAAAATTGGGAAGAAATAGGAGGCACAGCATGAACTGGGAGGCTGCACCAGAGTTTCAGGTAAAGGAATGGTGTGTGGCCAGAAAGTAAAAGGGGACATTTTTGCACAAGTACTTTGAAATGTACAATTTTCTCATCAGGATCCTTTTACTTAGTGATCCCTTACCTCTTTGAATATGAGAGTCCCTCTTTCCAACAAAATTTTGAGTTTCCCCTTATGATAAAGTAATTATACTTTTTCTGTGTTTTTACTGAGATACTATATCATGATGAAAAGCTACTGTGGTCAAACAGCAATGAAATATCACTACACACTTATTAAGATGGCCAAAGTCTACAATATGAACACCAGATGCTGCTGAGGAGCAACAGGAATTCGCATTCATTGCTGGTGGGAAGGCAACATGCTACGCCCACTTTGGAAGACAGTTTGGCAGTTTCTTTAAAAATTAAACATCCTCTTATCATAGGATTCAGCAATTGCACTCTTTGATAGTTAACCAAATGCGTTAAAACTTACATCCACACAAAAACCAAAACGTGATGCTTACAGCAGCTTTATTCATAATTGCCCAAACTTGGAAGCAAGCAAGATGCCCCTCAGCAGGTGACTATATAAAAAAACTGTGCCACTTTGGACAATGGACTCATATTCCTCAACAAAGGGAACTGAACTATCAAGGAAGACAAACATGGAGGATCCTGAAATAAATATTATTTAGTGAAAGAAGCCACTCTGAAAAGGCTACATACTGTGTGATTGCAACTATATGATCTTCTGAAAAAGGCAGAAAAAGATCAGTGAGTGCCATGAATTGGGGTAGAAGGGAGGGATGAGGAGACAGAACACAGTAGATGTTTAGGGCAATGAAAATTGCTGGATGGTACTAAAATGGTGAGTATGTATCTTTATACATTTGTCAAAACCTGTAGAATATACAACACCAAGAGCGAACCTTAATGTATACCACAGACACTTTGGGGAATAATGGTGTGTCCAAGTAGGTTCGTGGATTCTAACATGTTCTGCTCTGGTTCAGGACGTTGGTAGTGGGGGAAGCTGTGCATGTGTGGAGGGAGAGGGTATATATGCACTTTCTTCACTTGCTCTAAAACTGCTCTAAAAATCAAGTATATTTCATTTTAAATCTTTAAAAATGCACTTACCCTATGACTCGGCAGTCACATTCTTGGGCATTTACCCCAGAGAAAGAAAATCTTCTGTACACACACACACACACACACACACATGCTACTATGACCTTAACAATCCATCCGAGTTAATTTGTAGTCTATTAATCAGAATAGCAGCTTGTGATTAGTTTGCAAATAGTACTTGGTGCGACTGTAGGTTGGGGGAACCCTTAAGGGGTGGTGTTAGGGACCAGCAGATTGGGACCGTTGCCTTACGGCTAAATGGCCTCTACTTTCAAGCTTTGGAGAGTATACCAGCAAAGTCTCTGTCTTGCATAGATGAGTTTCATGCTATATAAACATTTTGAGTTGCTATACACATCTGCTACTTGCATATTGATATTTTCAGCCAAACCCGTTAATGTGGGAGAATGATCATTGAAACTCAGCATAAACATCAGCCCCAAGCACGTATCAAACACCTACCATGGACACCCTTTTTTCAAAACTGAGGCTGTGAAGTCTGGGCCGAGACTTCTCCTTATGCCCTAAGTTATACGTATGTGATACACAACCGTAAAACACTACATCTAGGAAGTTCATTTTCATGACCCAATACATTTTTTGAAATGTTTTATTGAGACGTTTGCTGGTGTGGGATTTATATTTTGTATTCATATTCAGACATATCTGCTTAATCATCTGGTAAGCAGTTAATGTAAGCAGCATGCATGTATCACTTCCGTTATCATACTTATAATAAAAATACCCCTTTTGGAGCAACTGCGATGTGCCAGGAGGTTGTGTCGGTGGTTTACATACATTCATAACAATCTCGCAGTAACCCTGAAAGACAGCTATTGTACCATTTTACAGAGGTTAAGAAACATGTTAACGATGGAGCTCCTAAGTAGCAGAACTAAATTGTGCTTTAAACCCAAGCATATCCAATATTTAAATGATGGTGGTGGTGATGATGTTAACATTAATTTTCATAGTTTTAGATAAGGACTTTTTTTTCACCAATGTTTGCTTACCATTATACCTAGTGGTTAAGAGCCCAGGCTCTAGACCAAACTATCAGAGTTAAAATCTTATTTACAGAATTTCTGTGCTGTGTAATCTTGGGCAAGATATTGACTTCTTTGTGTTTTTATTTCCCCATTTTAAAATGGGGATAATAATATACTTACAGAAATGCTGTAAGAATCAAATGATGTAAAAATGTTTAGAAGAGTCCCTCGCACATAGTAAGCACTTCATCTATGTTAACTATTATTATTATTGTTAAAGATTTTTAAAACTTTAGGTGGCATTCCTGCAACATTTTTATTTTAGAATGTTTATGAGTTTTCTGTGTCATTGGCCACTGCTTGAAATTCTGATTACTCAGTATTTTCCATTCAGTGTGAAACTCCCTGGAACTGGCAGGTTCCTGCCCTTAACTGTTTTGATTGGGTTCATCCCTGAACACCTCTAATCAGCACCTTCAGATTGCTGTCCAGCCGCCATCTCCCTGATTGCAGAAATGGCACACATTTAGAAGATGCTTGAAATGAAGGCCGTGGAGCCAAAAATTTATATTTTTGAAAATTTTATGCAGTATGAGCTACATAGCATCCTTTTATTGCAAAAATATGAAATTATTCTTATCTGCTTATTTATAATATGGATACCTGGGATAACTTAGTGTCAGTGTTGATAAGAACTCAAGGTATTTTGAAGCAGATTTAGAAGTGTATTTGTGAGTCCTAATATTCTATAAGAAAAATGCTTTAAAACCTCATGGTTGCTCTATGTTAGGCTATGTAGAGTAGCTTGGAATTACATTAGTTGTAGAAACATCAACTTTGTTGATATGAGATACTTTTCTCCCAAGAGGAAGACTGAAAACAGCATATGAGCCAGTTAATCAGAATGAGCTGTTGTTTGTGGCATACCCTGATATTCATTCACTAGTGTTGATATGATTACATTCAGCATGTCACATGCAAAATATAGGTACTCATTTGTGGCAGAGTCTAGTACACAAACCCTTTCCTTCATTGATCTTTTAAGATCAAAATGTGCATTTCTAAAACTATGTTTTCAAACCATGACTGTGTATTCTGGGTTTGTGTTGTTCTTTGATCTTAAAAGCACCTTTTTGTTTTTCTAACAGTGACATGAGAACATACAACAATGGTTGAGCTCCAACTCTGTATTCAAGAAGGATCAATTTTACACAGTTTAGGTTTAATGCGACTGAAGTAAAGAAAAGTATATGAAGTATATTTTCTTTTTTGTCAGGCCATTAGTAGCAATATGTATGAGAGAAATTAGGATCTTGGAAGTTACACATCAGAATACTGTTTTATAATTACCTTATTCTTTATTTTAAAGAATAGAAACATACAAGTAATTTGGAGAAAATCGTGCACTGTATAGATTCCAGATACTCAGGTAAACGGTTGCTATAAACAGGACTTAGCGTTTTCGTTTCCTTTGTATGGCACAAAACAAATATGCCATAAGATATGTGTTTAATGGGGAAAACGATATGAAAGAAAATAATTCTTAAACAGAAGAACACTCCACAAAACGTATCCAGTGAGGACCATCAGGAGACGCAGACAAAAAAACCCTTCCCTCTCTGCTCCGAGACCCCCTGAGACAAGGCTTACATGAGAAAAGGAATGTGCATCTCATTAAAAATTGTAGTCTCAAAAATGTCGTAAATCTTTCATTTCCTACTCAAGAATGTAGTCCTCCTGCAGCCTGACAGAGACAGAGAAAGGAAGCAAGGCTTTTTTTTTCATCTTTTTCTTAAGTTAATTAAGAGTCTGCTGTAGCTCTAAAGTGTTTTCATTCTTACAAAGAAAGAAAATGATGGCAAGTGTGTTTTAAGATGTAATAGATGCTTCTTCAAAGCAATGAACATAATGCACTTGGGAATAGTATCACCACAAAATGAAAAATTTAACTCTTGCATTTTAAACTAACATAGATGAGCATGGTTGGAAAATGTGAATTTACATAAATATTCTCTTAGTACCTACAGCATTTGTGGAAACTTTTGAATACAGTAATTGAGTAATTTCGATAGAGCGTATTTCTATTCCATCGAACTCTAAGTTGGCTAAATATGAAATGCAGAAGAGTGACAAAATGGAATGCTGGTTTGACTTACGCCTTAGTAGATGGAAATCATCAGTAATAAATGCATCTTATAACAGCAAAATACTGCAAGACAAGTGGTATAAAATATTGGGTAATAAATTCAGGAAATTATAGTTTGTCTCTCGGAAGATAGTTGATGGCTCAATCTGGTAACTAATGCTCATTCTAAGGTTGTCCTCCAAATGAACGAATTCACAAAGGAAATAGACTAAAGGGTCCTGAAAAAAAGCAATCAGTTGCTTTATCCACCTTTCCTCAATTCCTCTAGGGTATCTGCAGTCTTGCCAATTAGGCCTGCAAAGGAAACAAACATACGTGTGTTCCAATCGGAGAAGTCAGAAGTCACTAATGATGCAGAAAAGCACATTCCAAGTTTTGGCAATGCCATATATGTTAGAAATTATACTACAATGCAGTTAGAAAATATATTTTTTAAAAGTCCAAAAAGATGAAGGAACTATTTGGGATCAGGCTGCAAAGCTCTTTATTATCTTTTTGCCACTATATAAATATGGAAATTGAAAATGTAAGTGTTCAGAAACTTTTGTAGTAATTTAGCAGGATAATTTTGTTTATTAATTCTAATAATTAAATGTTGGGGGCTATATTTTGTATGTCTGCTTTTTTTTTAAATTTCATTTTTATAGTAACTCAGTTTTTATTTTGTTTAACAGAGTATTGATTCTGCAACAAACTGAGAAGAAACCTGGCGATTCACAACAGAGAGCTGAGAAATCCTAAGTCTGGATTCCAGCTAAATGGGAGCAGACTAAATAGAGCGGCAGTCGGCGAACTACATGTAGCCCATGAACAAAATCCGGTCCAGCACGTGTGTTTTTTTTTACGGCCCACAAATGAGTCTGTCTTTACAGATGAATGTTAAAACTGGGTTGACAAGAGAGAACACTCACTTTGAACCGCAACTAAACAAAATATTATCACCTTTCCCCTCAAAAAAGGTTTTTGTTCTTCTCATTAGTAAATTTGTATTATGACAAAATCATAGTCAATTTTTATCATATTCTAAATTTTGACAATACAAATTGTGGGATTTTTTTCCCTGGTTATATATGTACATACATAATGCCCTGAATTGTTCCTTATGATCACGAAGCCCTAAATATTTACTGTCTGGCCCTTTACAGAAAGAAACTGTCAACTGCTAGAATAGAAAAATATTTTCCACCTCTTAACAGTTCTTACAAGTGCAAAAATATGTATATTTCCCAAGCTCACGCAATGTTTTATGTATATACATAGTAATATCATTTAAATGTTTACAGATACTATTCTAAGATAATCTAAAGTTTTCTAGCTTTATAATTACATATTTTACTCATGTATTTATGCACACATTTGTATCACAAAATAATACAATTGTCCCTAGGTATCCATGGAGGACTGGTTCCAGGACACCTAGGGACACCAAAATCCTGGGATGCTCAAGTCCCTGATATAGAAAATGGTGTAATATTTGCATATAACCCATGCACACCCTTTTTATACTTTATTTCTAGATTACTTATAATACCTAATACAATGTAAATGCTACATAAATAGTTGTTATGCTGTGTCGTTTAGGAAATAACAAGAAGGAAAAACATCTGTACATATTCGGTACAGATTCAATTTTTTTCCCTCTGAATATTTTCTGTCCACGGTTGGTTGAATCCATGGATGTGGAGCCCACAGATACAGAGGGCTGACTACATGCAAATTGTTTTTTTAAAAATAGAGAAGGGTATGAAATAAAAGCTAATAGAATCCCCTCAATCCATTTTGAAACCAAATCCAACTCTCCAGAGAGAACTTGTAATAATTTCTCTTTTAAATTCTGCTGGTGTTCCCTACTGTAATTGTAAATAACATACTTCTTCAGTTTATCAGCTTTAGGTACTAACTGTTGATTCTCTTCTACATAAGAGGAGGGATTTAGCTTGACAGTCCCTCTTCTTAAATTAAGGAAAGTTATTTTAGTTCTTCAGTTAATATTATAGTACCTTTAAATAAGGTACATAAATGGTTTTCTGTTTTTGACAATTTTAAGCATCACTTGAAGCTTCAATTTTAGGAACCTATTCTCTACACATATCTTATGTAGTTCTTTTTCTCATCTTATGTAAACTGCAACTTTATATTTACATAGGCAAGACTGATAACATTTGCATTCAGATCCATAAATTTTTACGTATTTGTTCTGTCTTTAAGCCATCTTAACATTTGAAAATCAATATATCACTTTCATGTTTTCTCCATATTTCTGGTACAGTAATTGCTTCAAGGATAGGGTTACAATTCAAGTTAGTCCAGTGAGACTGAATCCCAGGACTTATGTTTTAATTATTGGAGAAGAAAGGCTCTTCAGCTGCCACAGGTCTGTCCTTCAAACACCTGTATTAGATATTTATTGGACCATCTGGGTCTAGCCTCCATTTCTCTTACCGTTTGTTTCATATTATCTGTTTGCCTTTTTATTTTGTATTCTGTGAAATTTTCTGTACTTTAAAAAAAATTTTTTTTTCCAGCTGACTAGTGTGGAATTCAGCTTCATGGGTAGTTACCTGACAGCCTTATTTTAATTTCCAAGAGTTGTTTCTTAGTCTCTGATGAGTCCTTCCTCATTGCAACCTCTACCTATTTTATGGTAATGTATGTTCTCACATCTCTTAAGGAATTAGAATTGTTCAAGGTTCTTCATTTCTCACTTCATTATTTTTATTTGCCCCAGAATCAGCGGTCCTCACTGCAGTGTTGTTTCTCTTTCATAATCTTAGTGTTCCACAAACGTCAGACGTCCTTGGAGTTGGATAGTGGGGATCTCTCCTGGGGTTCCCTCTCCCATCTTCCCAGGTCATGGACCATCATAGATAGGATTTGCAGGGCAGGAGTAGAGGCCATGTGGGGAAAGGGAAGGGAAGATGACCCTTTACACAAAGTGAAGGCTCTTTGGAAGCATCCACAAGTCAGAGGGCTGTTGCTGAGACAGTGGTTCCCACTGTCTCACTTTGATGTCACCTAGACCATTGGTCCCCAACCTTTTGGCTCCAGGGACCAGTTTTGTGAAAGACAATTTTTCCATGAAGGGGGTGGAGGATGGTTTCAGGATGAAACTATTTCACTCAGATCATCAGGCATTTGATTCTCATAAGGAACACACAGCCTAGGTCCCTCACATGCACAGTTCACAATAGGGTTCGCGCTCCTATGAGAATGTAATCCCACCTCCAATCTGACAGGAGGCAGAGTTCAGGCAGGAATGCTTCCTTATTCCTGCTCACCTCCTGCTATGTGTACCGGTTTGCCACCCAGGGAGCTGACAACCCCTGGCCTAGAAAATGGCCTCCATTTGGATGCATTTCAACTGGGTGAAGATGTGGGTGTTCATGCTTCATGTACATCTCCCAATGGGCCGAGCTGTAGTGACAGCCAGACAGGCTGAGCTTCTAGAGAGACTCTGCTCTGAACAGAATGACATGTTGAGGCACAATGGAATAGCTGGGCTGCACTGATCATCTTTATGTACTCGTAGCATAAGGACACTGATTACTTCAGATAGGCTGATCCAAACTATGGTGAGGCTCGATTTACTCATCCCATAATGCAAAATGTCACTTCTCAATACAAAAGGAAGCCAGACACCCCCAGATATACTGCAGGCACTTCAGAACACTTGGAGTCCTGTGGGCACACTGCCCTGGCCATCTTACTGGGGAGGAGGTTGGCCGGAGCTCCATTAGGATCCCTCAGTGGACCAGCTTTCATAGTCCTTTTACTTATGAAATATTTTGACACATTTCCCTAACTTGCAACTTGGTGGGGATTTCCCATGCTCATTCAAGCCAAATTGCATTTATACAATTTAGAGACCATGGCAAGTAGTGTCAATTTGGAGATATCAGCAAAGACAGATGAAAGGTCAATAAGAACAGTTCCAAAGATTTATATGCAGCTATAGTGTTTACTTAATTTTCTGGAAATTAATCTGAGAATTTTACACTGGCATGCATTTTTAACATCTGTCATTATTTTGACCCTAGGAAGGCATTTAGTAGTAATTTTATATACGTTATTCTTCTCAGTCTGCAGTCAAGTCTGCCTCAGCAGAATGCTAATTCTTTCCAAAACCTGTTTTAGTCATTGACGTAATGTTACGACAAAGTGCTATATTAAGAAGACCAAAATAGTTAATTGTATTACTATGTAATATGTAAATAAATACATAAACGCATTAATATAATGCTAAAAACATTTTTTTTTGTTTTTTTGAGATGGAATCTCACTCTGTCACCAGGCTGGAGTGCAGTGGCTTGATCTCAACTCACTGCAATCTCTGCCTCCCGGGTTCAAGCGATTCCCTTGCCCCAGCCTCCCGAGTAGCTGGCATGCACCACCATGCCTGGCTAGGTTTTTGTATTTTAGTAGAGACGGGGTTTCACCATGTTGGCCAGGATGGTCTCGATTTCCTGACCTCGTGTTCTGCCCGCCTCGGCCTCCCAAAGTGCTGGGATTACAGGCATCAGCCATCGCACCTGGCCACTAATAACAATTTTTTTTTTTTTTTTTTTTTTTTTTTTTTTTTTTTGAGACGGAGTCTCGCTCTGTCGCCCAGGCTGGAGTGCAGTGGCGCGATCTCGGCTCACTGCAAGCTCCGCCTCCCGGGTTCCCGCCGTTCTCCTGCCTCAGCCTCCCAAGTAGCTGGGACTACAGGCGCCCGCCACCACGCCCGGCTAATTTTTTGTATTTTTAGTAGAGACGGGGTTTCACCATTTTAGCCGGGATGGTCTCGATCTCCTGACCTCGTGATCCGCCCGCCTCGGCCTCCCAAAGTGCTGGGATTACAGGCTAATAACAATTTTTTAAATGTTAGATGAAAAATAATGGCTATGAAGGTCTTCACAACTGGCCTGATAAAGATCCTGAAATCATTCTTACATGCCAGACAGCAAGAATCTGTAATAGAGATGTCTAATTTTTATAAATAAGATATTATTGATCCCAATGTACACAGTTAAACACTTTTTATTAAAACCAACACAAAAAAGGAAAAATATCTTCAAAACAATACATACACTATCAAAATGAAGTTGAAGAGAAGTTGAGTAAGCCATTCATTGTGTTTGCTGTTCTCCCTCTTACTCCATATTTTAAAAGATAAGATTTTTAGTTGAAGTCTCAAATACAGTGTAGACACCAGGCATAATTCAATGACCCTTGGTTTGAAAATGCATGGACAGGCTGGGCATGGTGTCTTATGCCTGTAATCCCAGCACTTTGGGAGGCCAAGGTGGGTGGATCACCTGAGGTCAGGAGTTTGAGACTAGCCTGGCCAACATGGTGAAACCCCGTCTGTACTAAAACTACAAAGAATTAGGTGGGCGTGGTGGCGTGCACCTGTAGTCCCAGCTACTCAGGAGGCTGAGGCATGAGAATTGCTTGAACCCGGGAAGCAGAGGTTGCAGTGAGCCAAGATCACTCCACTGTACTCCAGCCTGGGCAACAGAATGAGACTGTCTCAATTAAAAAAAAAAAAAAGAAAGAAAGAAAAAGAAAAGCAAAGCATGGACAAATGTGCAGCTCACCAAAAATGTATTTCATGCCTCTCAATGAATACGTGAAATCTGACACACTCATGATATCTCATTTCCTTTCACATCTCTAGCAGCTGTCCAGATTCCAAAATCCCCTCTATTTTATCATTTGTATGATGCCCAAAATCTCTTTAATAGCTTAAAATTTTTCTTGTAAATCCAGTTATTGTTGTGCACTATTTATGACACTAATTAGACCAAACAACATACTATGGCCTATTATTTTAAATTATGCATGCATGTTGTCTTCTGGGATTGGATGACTTACTTTCATGGCATTATAATTGTTACAATCTAAGTTTGAAAGGAAAGGGAATGTTCTAATGACTATTTTCATTTTTTTTGACAGACTGTCAGATCATTAGGAACCAGCATGATGACTATAAGTATACAGCAATTGAGTATCGTAAGAATGCTTTCATTTTAAACATGTAATTTGTTTGGTTATATTATGAAATTTATCTAGACAATGAAATAAAAAATAAAATCAAGAAAATTTCCTGCGTTTATAGGACTCTTTAAATTAAATGAATATCTTTATTTTGTAATATATACAATCAAAATTTAGAAATGATATATTCATGATGTAATAAGATCTTAAATTCCACTAGAGTTATGTGATAATATTATCAAAATTATGTCTTCTTCAGTGAGCATTTAAAAATCAATGAACATTTTCATTTATTTTCTATTTTTGCTTGGTTCTTAAAAGTTCATTTAGGTATTATGCTCACTTGTTTATTTATTTTCAACTTTTATTTTAGATTCAGGGTGTTATATATGCAGGTTTGTTATGTGGGTATATTGTGTGATGCTGAGGTTTGAGGTGCGGATGATTCCATCACCCACATATTGAAGCTAGAACCCAAAAGTTAGTTTTTCAACCCTTCCCTCTCCCTTCCCCCTCTATTAGTCCCCAGCGTCTATTGTTACCATCTGTATTTCCTTGAGTTTCCAATGTTTAGCTTTCACTTATAAAGAGAACATGTAGTATTTGGTTTTCTTTTCCTGCATTAATTTGCTTCAGATAATGGCCTCCAGCTGCATCCATGTTGCTGCAAAGTTCACAATTCCATTATTTTGTATGGCTGTGTAGTATTCCATGGTGTATATGTGCCACATTTTCTTTATTCAATCCACTGTTGATTGGCACCTAGGTTGATTCCATGTCTTTGCTATAAATAGTGACTCAATTAACATGCAAATGTACCTGGCTTTTTGGTAGAATAATTTATTTTCCCTTGGGTATATACCCAGTTAATGGTATTTCTGGGTCAAATAGTAGACCTGTTTTAAGCCTCCAAACTGTTTTTCACAGTAACTGAACTAGGTTACATTCCCACCAACCATTTATAAGTGTTCCCCTTTCTTTGCAGCTTGGCCAGTATTTGTAATTATTTACATTTTTTTTAAATTATACTTTCAGTTCTGGGATACATGTGCAGAATGTGCAGGTTTGTTACATAGGTCTACACGTGCCATGGTGGTTTGCTGCACCCATCACCCTGTCATCTACATTAGGTATTTCTCCTAATGCTCTCCCTCCTCTAGCCCCCCACCCCACAACAGGCCTTGGTGTGTGACGTTCCCCTCCTTGTGTCCATGTGTTCGCATTGTTCAACTCCTACTTATGAGTGAGAACATGCGGTGTTTGATTTTCTGTTCCTGTGTTAGTTTGATGACAATGATGGTTTCTAGGTTCATCCATGTCTCTGCAAAAGACATGAACTCATCCTTTTTTTTGTGGCTGCATAGTATTCCATGATATGTGCACATTTTCTTTATCCAGTCTATCATTGATGGGCATTTGGGATGGTTCCAAGTCTTTGCTATTATGAACAGTGCTGCAATAAACATACATGTGCATATGTATTTATAGTAGATTGATTTATAATCCTTTGGGTATATACCCAGTAATGGGATGGCTGGGTCAAATGGTATTTCTGGCTCTAGATCCTTGAGGAATCACCACACTGTCTTCCACAATGGTTGAACTAATTTATACTCCTACCAACAGTGTAAAAGTGTTCCTATTTCTCCACATTCTCTCCAGCATCTGTTGTTTCCTGACTTTTTAGTGATTGCCATTTTAACGGGCATGAGATGGTATCTGATTGTGGTTTTGATTTGCGTTTCTCTAATGACCAGTGATGGTGAGCTTTTTTTCATATGTTTGTTGGCCACATAAATGTCTTCTTTTGAGAAATGTCTGTTCATATACTTTGCCTACTTTTTGTTGGGGTTGTTTTTTCTTATAAACTTGTTTAAGTTCCTTGTAGATTCTGTATATTAGCCTTTTGTCAGATGGATAGATTGCAAAAATTTTCTCCTATTCTGTAGGTTGCCTGTTAACTCTGACGATAGTTTCTTTTGCTGTGCAGAAGCTCTTTAGTTTAATTAGATCACATTTTTCAATTTTGGCTTTTGTTGCCATTGCTTTTTGTGTTTTAGTCATGAAGTCCTTGTCCATGCCTATGTCCTGAATGGTAATGCCTAGGTTTTCTTCCAGGGTTTTTATGGTTTTAGGTCTTACAGTTAAGTCTTTAATCCATCTTGAATTAATTTTTGTATAAGGGGTAAGGAAAGGGTCCAGTTTCAGTTTTCTGCATATGGCTAGCCAGTTTTCCCAACACCAATTATTAAACAGGGAATCCTTTCCCCATTGCTTGTTTGTGTCAAGTTTGCCAAAGATCAGATTGTTGTAGATTTGTGGCATTATTTCGGAGGCCTCTGTTCTGTTCCATTGGTCTATATATCTGTTTTGGTACCAGTACCGTGCTGTTTTGGTTACTGTGGAATTGTATAGTTTGAAGTCAGGTAGTGTGATGCTTCCAGCTTTGTTCTTTTTGCTTAGGATTGTCTTGGCTATACGGGCTCCATATGAAATTTAAAGTATTTTTTTTCTAATTCTATGAAGACAGTCAATGGTAGCTTGATGGGGATAGCACTGAATCTATAAATTACTTTGGGCAGTATGGCCATTTTCACAATATTGATTCTTCCTATCCATGGGCATCTAAATTTCTTCCATTTGTTTGTGTCCTGTCTTATTTCCTTGAGCAGTGGTTTGTAGTTATCCTTGAAGAGGTCCTTATATCCCTTGTAAGTTGTATTCCTAGGTATTTTATTCACTTTGTAGCAATTGTGAATGGGAGTTCCCTCATGATTTAGCTCTCTTTTATTGACGTATAGGAAAGCTTGTGATTTTTGCACATTGATTTTGTATCCTGAGACTTTGCTGAAGTTGCTTATCAGCTTAAGGAGATTTTGGGCTCAGACAATGAGGTTTTCTAAATATACAATCATATCATCTGCAAATAGAGACAATTTGACTTCCTTTCTTCCTATTTGAATACACTTTATTTCTTTCTCTTGCCTGATTGCCCTGGCCAGAACTTCCAATACTATGTTGAATAGGAGTGGTGAGAGAGGGCGTCCTTGTCTTGTGCCGGTTTTCAAAGGAATGCTTCCAGCTTTTGCTTATTCAGTATGATATTGGCTGTGGGTTTGTCATAAAGAGCTCTTATTATTTTGAAATACATTCCATCAATACCTAGTTTATTGAGAGTTTTTAGCACAAAGGTGTGTTGAATTTTGTCGAAGGCCTTTTCTGCATCTATTGAGATAATCATGTGGTTTTTCTCATTGGTTCAGTTTATGTGATGGATTATGTTTATTGATTTGCATATGTTGAACCAGCCTTGCATCCCAGGGATGAAGCCAACTTGATAGTGGTGGATAAACTTTTTGATGTGCTGCTGGATTTGGTTTGCCAGTATTTTATTGAGGATTTTTGCACTGATGTTCATCAGGGATATTGGCCTGAAATTTTCTTTTTTTCTGTGTCTCTGCCGGATTTTGGCAGTATCAGGATGACGCTGGTCTCATAAAATGAGTTAGGGAGGATTCCCTCTTTTTTATTGTTTGGAATAGTTTCAGAAGGTATGGTACCGGCTCCTCTTTGTACCTCTGGTAGAATTTGGCTGTGAATCCTTCTGGTCCTGGGTTTTTTTTTGGTTGGTAGGCTATTAATTACTGCCTCAATTTCAGAACCTGTTATTGATCTATTCAGAGATTTGACTCCTTCCTGGTTTAGTGTTGGGAGGGTGTATGTGTCCAGGAATTTATCCATTTCTTCTACATTCTCTAGTTAATTTGCATAGAGGTGTTTATAGTATGCTCTTATAGCTTGGATTTCTGTGGGATCAGTGGTGATACCTCCTTTATCATTTTTTTATTGTGTCTATTTGATTCTTCTCTCTTTACTTCTTTATTAGTCTGCCTAGTGGTCTATCTATTTTGTTAATCTTTTCAAAAAACCAACTCCTAGATTCATTGATTTTTTGAAGGCTTTTTGTGTCTCTATCTCCTTCAGTTCTTCCCTCATCTTAATTATTTCTTGTCTTCTGCTAGGTTTTGAATTGTTTGCTCTCACTTCTCTAGTTATTTTATTTTATTTTATTTTATTTTTTGAGTTGCACTCAAAAAGTCTCAGCCGTCCAGGCTGGAGTGCAGTGGTGCGATCTAAGCTCACCACAACCACCATCTCCCAGGTTCAAGTGATTCTCCCATCTCAGCCTCCCAAGTAGCTGGGATTTCAGGCACCCACCATCATGCCTGGGTAATTTTTGTATTTTAGTAGAGACAGGGTTTCACCATGTTGGCCAGGGTGGTCTTGAACTCCTCACCTCAGATGATCCGCCTGCCTCGGCCTCCCAAAGTGCTAGGATTACAGACGTGAACCACCGTGCCTGGCCTCTAGTTATTTTAATTGTGATGTTAGGGTGTTGATTTTCGATTTTTGCTGCTTTCTCCTGTGGGCATTTAGTGCTCTAAATTTCCCTCTAAACACTGCTTTAGCTGTCTCCCAAAGATTCTTGTGCATTGTGTCTTTGTTCTCATTGGTTTCAAAGAGCTAATTTATTTCTGCCTTAATTTTGTTATGTACCCAGTAGTCATTCAGGGGCAGGTTGTTCAGTTTCCATGTAGTTGTGCAGTTTTGGGTGAGCTTTTTAATCCTGAGTTCTAATTTGATTGCACTGTGTTCTGAGAGATTGTTATGATTTCCATTTTTTTTTTTTGCATTTGCTGAGGAGTGCTTTACTTCCAATTGTGTGGTCAATTTTAGAATAAGTGCAATATGGTGCTGAGAAGAATGTTTTATTCTGTTGATTTGGGGTGGAGAGTTCTGTAGATGTCTATTAGGTCTGCTTTGTCCAGAGCTAAGTTCAAGTCCTGAATATCCTTGTTAATTTTCTCTCTCGTTGATCTGTCTAATATTGACAGTAGGGTGTTAAAGTCTCCCACTATTATTGTGTGGGAGTCTAAGTCTGTTTGTAGGTCTCTAAGAACTTGTTTTATGAATCTGGGTGCTCCTGTATTGGGTGCATATGTATTTAGGATAGTTAGCTCTTCTTGTGCGTTGATACCTTTTGTAATCTTTTATCAGAGACTAGGATTGCAATCCCTGCTTTTTTTTGCTTTCCATTTGCTTGGTGAATATTCCTCCATCTCTTTATTTTGAGCTTATGTGTGTCTCTGCACGTGAGATGGGTCTCCTGAATACAGCACACTGATGGGTCTTGACTCTTTATCCAATTTGCCAGTCTGTGTCCTTTAATTGGGATATTTAGCCCATTTACATTTAAGATTAATATTGTTATGTGTGAATTTGTTCCTGTCATTATGATGCTAGCTGGTTATTTTTCCCATTAGTTGATGCCGTTTCTTCATAATGTCAATGGTCTTTACAATTTGGTATGTTTTTGCAGTGGCTGGTACCGGTTTTTCCTTCCCATATTTAGTGCTTCCTTCATGAGCTCTTGTAAGACAGGCCTGGTGGTAACAAAGTCTCTCAGCATTTGTTTGTCTGTATAGGATTTTATTTCTCCTTCACTTACGAAGCTTAGTTTGGCTGGATATGAAAATCTGGGTTGAAAATTCGTTTCTTTAACAATGTTGAATATTGGCCCCCACTGTCTTCTGGCTTGTAGGGTTTCTGCAGAGAGATCTGCTATTAGTCTGATGGGCTTCCCTTTGTCGGTAATCCAACCTTTCTCTCTGGCTACCCTTAACACTTTTGCCTTCATTTCAACCTTGGTGAATCTGATGATTATGTGTCTTGGGGTTGCTCTTCTGGAGGAGTATCTTTGTGGTGTTCTCCGTATTTCCTGAATTTGAACATTGGCCTGTTTTGCTAGGCTGGGGAAGTTCTCCTGGATAATATCCTGAAGAGAGTGTTTTCCAACTTGGTTCCATTCTCCCTGTCACCTTCAGGTACACCAATCAAACGTAGGTTTGGTCTTTTCACATAGTCCCTTATTTCTTGGAGGCTTTGTTCATTCCTTTTCATTCTTTTTTCTCTAATGTTGTCATCACACTTTATTTGATTAAGTTGATCTTCAATTTCTGATATCCTTTCTAATGCTTGATCGATTCAGCTATTGATACTTGTGTATGCTTCACGAAATTCTCATGCTGTGTTTTTCAGCTCCATCAGGTCATTTATGCTCTTCTCTAAACTGGTTATTCTAGTTAGCAATTTGTTTAACCCTTTTTCAAGGTTCTTAGCTTCCTTGCATTGGGTTAGAACACGCTCCTTTAGCTTGGAGGAGTTTGTTATTAGCCACCTTCTGAAGCCTACTTCTGTCAGTTTGTCAAAATCATTCTCTGTCCAGCTTTGTTCCATTGCTGGTGAGGAGTTATGATACTTTGGAAGAGAAGAGGCAATCTGATTTTTGGGATTTTGAGCTGTTTTGCGCTGGTTTTTCCTCATCTTTGTGGATTTATCTACCTTTGGTCTTTGATGTTGGTGACCTTCGGATGGAGTTTCTGTGTGGATGTCCTTTTTGTTGATGTTGATGCTTTTCCTTTCTCTTTGTTAGTTTTTCTTCTAACAGTCAGGCCCCTCTGCTGCAGGTCTTCTGGAGTTTGCTGGAGGTCCACTCCAGACCCTGTTTGCCTGGGTATCACCAGTGGAGGCTGCAGAACGCAAAGATTGCTGCCTATTCCTTCCTCTGGAAGCTTCATCCCAGAGGGGCACCCACCAGATTCCAGCTGGAGCTCTCCTGTATGAGGCGTCTGTCGACCCCTGCTGGGAGGTGTCTCCCAGTTAGGAGGCACAGGGGTCAGGGACCCACTTGAGGAGGCAGTCTGTCCCTTAGCAGAGGTCAAGCACTGTGCTGGGAGATCTGCTGCTCTCTTCAGAGCTGGCTGCCAGGAACGTTTAAGTCTGCTGAAGCTGCACCCACAGCCGCCCCTTCCCAGAGGTGCTCTGTCTCGGGGAGATGGGAGTTTTATCTATAGGCCCCTGACTGGGGCTGCTGCCTTTCTTTCAGAGATGCCCTGTCCAGAGAGGAGGAATCTAGAGAGTTTTTTAACTTTTTAATGATAACTGTTGTGACCGTTGTAAGATGGAATCTCATTGTTGTTTTGATTTGCATTTCTGTGATGATTAGTGATGTTGATCATTTTTTCATGTTTGTTGGTCACTTGTATTCTTCTTTTTAGAAGTATCCATTCATGTCCTTTGCCTACTTTTTAATTGGTTTATTTGTTTTTTTACTTGTTGAATTAAGTAATGAACATTCAAAAACATTTAAGATGTAGAACATGTGTCTCCAAAGAAAGAAAAGTATTAACTAGATCCCATTTAATTTGAAACTAAGGAGATGCTCAGTGATATTTCTTACATAATTTTACCTTGTAAATCAGTATTTCAATTATGTTTTTAAAGTCTAAATTGTGACTTCCTATAACATTGATGAACAAAACAAGATGTTTTCAAATGGTGCATATATACATACAGTTTATTTTCATTCCATAAGGAAAGTAGGATAAGTTGGAATGAAAATACTGTAAATTACCAACTTATTTTTTCACTGGTCACTTATTACTCATACAGTTGGGCCTTTATAAGGGATAAAGCTTTCAGTCAATCAACATGCAGAGGACATTGTACTAATGAAGACTTGCATGGGAAATTAGGCATGCTTACCAAATTAGGAGACTGCATCACATAGTAGGGAAAAAATTTGTTGAAGATCAAACAACACATTACTGTTAAGAGTTAGGTGTTTAAAAAGCAGACTGTAATTTTCCATATCAAGAGCCTATGTCACTCTGCTCCTATATATCTGGAGATAGGCCTACTAGTAGGCAGTCAACAGATACTCACCCTGACCAACTTAAGCAAATAATAATAAAGTGAAAGCATTGGCGAGCTTACAGAAACAAAGTGAAGCCTGGGAATTCAGGCTCTAAAGCAGGACAAGAACCAAAGGAGTTGCAAACTCAGCCAAGATCAAGCCATTGGAAAATTGTGGTTACAATGGTTCCCATAGGATGCTTGATATTCTTGCCAATGGATGCAAGACTCCAGGGTTAGTCCTGATATTTGTAAAAATTTAGCTTTCTTGCTGTCTAATTTACATAGACTAATATACACAATTTTAATGTATAGTTTGACAAGTTTTGATAACCATGTGTACCTCCATAACTACCATCATGGTCAAGACACAAAACATTTTCATCCCCCAGAACACTCCCTTTACAATCCCTAGTCTCCCACTCCTGGCAACTACTGATCTAGTTCTATCACTTCAGATTAACTTTGCCTATTTAGAATGACTTATGAATGGAAAGATACACTAACGGAGTCTTTGTGTTTCGCTGTTTTTCACTTAGCATTACATTTTGAGATTGATCAGTGTTGTTGAGCATCTCAGTTGGTTGTTCTTTAGTGCTGAATAGTATTCTATCATATAAATATTGCATAATTTGTTTATGCATCCATCAGTTGATGGACATTTGCACTGGTTTCCACTTTCAGGCCATTAAGAATAATGCTGCTGTCAACATTCTTGTATAGGCCTTTGTATGGACATATGTATATATTTTTTCTCTTAGGTAATATACAGAAGTTGAATTGCTGTACAATGTTGTAAGTATCTGTTTAACTTTACAGGAAACTAACAAGCAGTTTTCAGGTGTTACATCATTTCATCATTTCACTTGCAGTGTATGACAGCTCCAGGTACTCCATATTCTTACCAATATTTCATATTGTCAGTTTTTAAGTTTATCCTTTCCAGTGGGTAAGTAGTATGTCATTTTATTATAATTTGTATTTTACTGGTAAATTAGGATATTGAGGATATTTTCATGTGTTTATTGATCTTTATCTTCTGTTTTGTTGCATCTATTTTAAGCCCTTTGACAATTTTGTAATTGGGTTATTTATTTCACCATTGAGTTGTAAAAATTCTCTTTATATTCTGGACATCAGCACTTTGTCAGATACATATTTACAGATATTTTCCAGTCCAGCTGGATTTTTCATTTTCTTCATAGTATTTTTAAGAGCAGAATTAATTTAAAGTCTATTTCATCATTTTAAAAGTGTTTCATGCTTTTTAAGTATTCTCTAAGAAATCTTTACCTATATCAAGGTCAAAGACGTTTTTCCTCTGTGTTTCCTTTCTAAAGCTTTCTTGTTTTGGCATTTACATTGAATTCTATGATCTATTTGAAATTAATTACTGTGTTAGTGTGAGGGAGCATGCTACCCTATTCAGGGTTCATTTTTGTTCGTAATCATACAGATGTCTAACTATTCTATCACTATTTGTTGAAAATAGACCATTTCCCCCTTATTAAATTACTTTGGTGCTTTTATAAAAAAATCAATTGCCCATATGTGTGGGCACACTTTGGACTCTGGTGTATTTAATTGATCCTATGCAACATTAAGTATTTTGTTTACTGCAGCCCTACAATAAATTTTGAAGTCAAGTAGGTTAAATCTTCCAACTTTGTAGTTACTTCTTTTTTTTCAGAATTGCTGAATTTTCTAGGTCATTTGATTTCATACAACATTTAGAAGCAATTTGCCAATTTTTAAAAAGTCAGTTGGAATTTTGATTCGAATTGCATTGAGTGTATAGATTTTTGGAGAACAGACATCACGTCAGTATTGAATCTCCTCGGTCCGTTGCCCTGCAGATAGCAGCCCCTTCAGCAGCCTCAGATTCTGATCTCCACTTCTCATCCCAATGAGACCATAGTTCTCTGCCTGGACTTCAACTCCTTGTGTTTTGGTTAGGAAATCATTCCAGGCTGAGAGTGGGGCAGCCACGCATCTCATCTCCTAGAGCCCCGTTCTCTCAGAAATCGCATAAAGCATGTGATCCTATTGTCCAATGCCAGAAAACCATTTATCCATATATGCTTTTAGAGTTTAGTTTTAGAGTTGCTTGTAGAGAGTTACTCCAGCATGGTTGGACGTGGAAATGCACTTCCTGGATCTTGGGTCATGCTTCCCTTTTTCTCAGGAGATTTTCAAAGCTTATTGCCATTACTAATACTGTATTAACTGGTCTTTCATCTTTGGACTTCAGTTTCTGCATCTTAAAAATGTGGAAAATAGAAGTCTCTATTACATAAAGTTGTGGTAAGAATTAAATGAGACCATTTAGAACATAGTCTGCAACATAATCAGAAGTACATACGTATTAGCTATCTTATATTTAAATCCCCATGTTAATATTCAAAAGTCTGAAGTAGAAACCTGCACTGCCAGAGCCTAGTTGATGTCAGTTCTGCTGATTCCCTTGATGCCAAGAAGAAGGAATATCTAGTTCTTTTAACCCCATAGAGATTCTTTGAAAACGGGAAGGGTTTGAGACAGTTACCAGAAAACATAAATGTTTTTTAGTACAATGATGAAGGGGTTTGCAAATAGAATCACGGAAAGGTGAAAGCAATTAAGCTCCCTTTGAAGACTTCTATTCAGCATTGTTTGTCACTGCATCATAAGAAAATCATAAAACATATACCCTATTTAGTAAATGTAAAATAAACAAATGCTCAAAGCCATTTTGCCACAATCAACCAACCTAATTTTTATATGCTTCTCAAATTCCTTTATGTATCACCTCTGAAAAGAATAAAAATATATAAAGTATATTTCTATATATTTTTATTCTTTTCATATATATATGTGTGTATATATATATATATATATGAAAAGTATTAAAACAATACCGAAAGAATTGTGTGGATTCAGAAATGTCATGCCATGTTATTGCTCTATTTTTTGTTTCTGCTCCAATTATGCATAGGTGTCTGAGGGCAAGGGTTGAATGAGGAGAAAAAGAAAGAAACAAGAAGATAATGAACTTAGCTTTAAAGATGTTGGACCCTTTGATTGTAAGTATTATAGATACATTTACCATTCTTTCTCAACTTAAGGTAGGCAACTTGTACTGAGTAATCTCAGCAATGGAGTTTTCCCCAGATGAGTTTACAGGGCTGGCAGCAAAACCCAGGATGAATCTCATCAAATAGCCTCTCACTGGTAGATATTTGCCAAATGGGATTGCCCAAGATCCCTTCCTCTTACATCCTGTTAATTAAGCCCCAGTTGCATGATACCCCTTGTCCATGAAACACCTGTACTTCATGGAAACTGACCGCTGCCCCAACCCTCGCCTCCACCCCTGGAAACGTAAAACAGTTTTGGCCAATGCAAATTGTAGCGACATTTTCTGTGGACTTCCCCAATAGAAGTTGGATTGTTTTTCCAAGAAGCGTACTGGAAGAAACAACCTTTCTTCCTACTGAGTGTGATTAGAAGCATGGCTCTCCTGCTAACGACTGGCCTCCGTCTTGTGACCAGAAACAGAGCTTTAGATGAAAGCTAAAGCCAGTTTTGGATTGAAGCAAAATACTGTAGAAGACAGAGATGGAAGAAATCTGTCTTCAGTAATATTGCGCCACTTGATCAAGGCTTTGCAGACATCTTCCAAGCCAGTGATATGTCTTCATTATTTAAGACAGTTTGAGTTTTATTTATCATTATATGCAACAGATTCCTGAACAATGCACTCATGTGGAATGACAGCTTCTATTCACTTGCTATCTGAAAACATTTCTTAACACATAATTCCCATTTCCTTTTTCCCATTATTTTGAAGAAAAAAGAACTATAATTTCAAATCATAGCTCATTGTCTATTCAAGTTCAAGATCAACCATTTTCTCACCAGATACTGTAATCTCAGTTCTTTCAAAGAGATCTCACATGTCTGTTACTAAATTTTAATTATTTACCTTGTTTTTCATATTTTTATATCAAAAAATTCAATAATTGAATATTTTTTGTTAACACTGGTCATTTCTTGTCTCCCCATCTCATTATTCATGGAACTCCCATCTCATACATTTAGCAATGTTTTAGTATAAAATATTGAATACCTAAGAAGGAACCAGATAGATTACTAAAGGTACCATTTATCTTAAAAGAATACAGGACTTAAGGACCAGTGAAAATAAATTTATATAATGGAGGAGATTAATATTAGGAAATGAGAATGTAAGAGCCTCTGTTAAATAGAAAATAAAAGGAATCATTTTATAGCTATTGCTGTCTACATTAGAGGTAGTATGGCTATTCATGAAATAAAATATATTCATTTACAAATCAATTCTATTTTCCCAACCCCCCTGCAATCACTTCTTATTAGTTTCTCAATATCTAAAATTTGAGTGTATTATTGGAATATAAAATTTAATTTGTGTATTTTTGTTAGAAATATTTCATGAAAAGTTTTGATGGAAGAATGGAACTGAAGATTTTGGTCAAAGACAAAGGGAAAAACTGAGAAATTCACAGGAAACAACTACTAGTAGTGACTTTCCTAATGCAGTGGTCTGTGGGTTCACTGGGGTCCATGAGAGTCTTCCAAATTCTGGGAACTGATCACTTATTAATGTCATAATAGCTTATCCATACGTCTCTATTGCGAATACATAATTTGTGATATTTGGTAAAAAAGTTTAAGTTATTATACTTCATTGAAGGTAATTTTTTTTATCAAAGCTATCTCCATTATTCACATAATTCAGATTTTTTCTTTTCTTGTTGGAATCAGGGATAGGTAGAAAATGGTCTGCAATTTGATAGCTCCAATAAAATACAACACGAGTGAAAAAAACGTGAAGGTCTTCTGCTGTAGAGGCAGCTAATGCCTGCCGAAGTAAACAGTAAGCTGGAAAGAAACCAGGGTTGAGGCTGCAGCATGCTGTGTGTCTATGTGTTTGCACATGTGGATTTTGTGTAACAGGCCAGAGAAAGAGAGCATTGTATAAATGCATAAGAAAGGTTGAAATACCTGAGGAACTAAAAGAAAATGTTTGCTTTTTATGTGTCTATATTTTATAACTTTATCTCATTATTAAAGATTCATGGGAAAATATTAAATGGTGGAATGTATTTGCAAAATTTTAAGCTATACTTTATGGCATTAGACATTTGTGTGATGATAACAAAGAGCTCTTTATTATAGTTGGAAAAAAAGCTGAAACTTAATGGAAATATGCACAGAGTACTTTTCCAATCATATGGATGGATTTGTGTTAAACAAACAGTTTCTCACTGCTTGGTCCCTAAGCACTACATTGTATGCATGTTAGAGCAGATGGTCAAAATGGAAGAAGGCTCTAGAAACAGGTGGCCCAAAGAACCAACAGAATTGCCTTGATGAGTTGAAATACATGAACTACATGGGCATCTCTTCGTCTGCAGTGCTCTTTTGGATGCAGCTTCAGAGGAATGTTTGTAAATGTAATAAGACATTCCCTAGCCAAGTTCTAGACCAGCCTGACCAACATGGTGAAACCCCGTCTCCACTAAAAATACAAAAATTAGCCAGACATGGTGGCATGCGCCTGTAATCACAGCTACTCAGGAGGCTGAGGCAGGAAAATCGCTTAAACCCAGGAGGCGGTTTGTTGTAGTGAGCTGAGATTGCACCATTGCACTCCAGCCTGGGCGACAGAGCGAGACTCTGTCTCAAAAAAAAAAAAAAAAAAAAAAAGACATTCCCTAGCCAAAAAAAATCTCTTCCAGAAAGGTGTTGTTCTTGTCCAATATGGGATAGTGGGTTCCCTCGTCGTTCTCGCTTTCTTCAGTTTCTATATTTTGCAATTAAAATAAAAAGATCAGCCACTACAGATAGGAATTTATTTTAATAATAATAACCAACATTAGTATAAAATCTCATAATGCATCATAGGCTCACAGATAATAAAAAGAACAGTACTTTTTCAATCAAGTTAAAATATTTCTTAATTAAAATATGCTTATGATAGAATGCCCTTTTCTGTCCATGTATATGCACCCAATCATAGTTGATCTTATATTTATTGCCAGTCGTAGAACTTTGTGCCTACTTGTAAGGAGTTCTTAATGCTGATGAGAGTTTGCAAAAGAATGCATCATGTTTGAAAGGGAGAGTAGAATTGACCTCAGGACACAGACTGAAAATTGTTTCACAAAACCAAGCAGGAGCCCAAAAAGTGAGTGACGTGTGGAGCCTGAGTCGTTAAAAAAATGGGAAAAAAGTGAGGTGAGGCCGGGCGCGGTGGCTCACACCTGTAATTCCAGCACTTTGGGAGGCCGAGGCAGGTGGATCACCTGAGGCCAGGAGTTTGAGACTAGCCTAGCCAAGGTGGTGAAACCCTGTCTCTACTAAAAAGTACAAAAATTAGCCGGGTGTGGCGGCACGTGCCTAAAATTGCAGCTACACGGGAGGCTGAGGCAGGAGAATTGCTGGAACCCGGGAGGCGGAAGTTGCAATGAGCCAAGATCGCACCATTGCACTCCAGCCCCGGCCAACAACAGCGAGACTCCGACTCAAAAAAAAAAAAAAAAAACAAAACAAAAATGAGGTGCACATAGGGAAGGGTTTATGACAGTGCCTATTCATAGAAACAAATTAAAATAAATCATTAGGCACCTGTGTGATTATAAAATAATGAGATAAATATCCCTGTGAGGCTTGTGGAGATATCCTCTTACTTCAGAATCACACTACACTCATAAATCTGCTAATATTTGTCATGTGCTGATCCCCATAGCAACAAATTTCCCATTGGGCAAAATCTGAAAATACAAAAGGGCGACATGATGAATTTCTCAAGGGCAAGAACAGTGTCATTCACAATTGAATACTCTGTTCTCAACACAGTGTGTGGCACATAGGGTACATTAATACATATTTAATAAATATATTAATAAAAAGAAATTTAAATATAATTGAAATTATGACATTTAAAATTAATATCCAGACATTATTTCAATCTTTTTTCTGAATTTTATCTAATTAATTCCACAATTGATTTATCTTACTTTGAAGCTACTTATTAAAGATAATAACATTAATTAGTTTTACAGAAAGCATAATTATTTTTAATAATTATGACACTCTATCGTTTCTTCTAACATTGAATATTGTAGCAGAAAGGGCTTGACTTTGCATTTAAATTTCTGGGCTTGAATTTCAGATCCACTATTTACTACGTCATGTTGGGCATGTTATTTAACTTGTCTGAGTCTTGAAACGGGTATAAAATAACCTAAAATTAATATTGTTCAATTGAATGAAATATGTGTGTGTGTGTGTGTGTATATATATATATATATATATATATATATATATATATATATATATATATGTGATATATAAATATAAATTTATTTCTTCCTTCTCTTCTGAATTTTGAGGGGATTGACTGGTAGGCAGGAATTGGCCTCATAATATTCTGAACAGGAATTTGTTCCTATTCAGTTGGAAGTTAGTGTATTTCTCTACGCCTCCTCTGAGGATATGTCAAAAATATGTTCTCCTTTACTCAACTCATCTCCATTCATCAAAATGCTATTACTGTGTTTTTTCTTTTTAGGATTCAAATGCCTATTAATTTACTGAAAATTATGTATCCAGTTAAATAGTCTTTTGAGTCTATATTCCTGTAGAAATGTATTTAAACAGTTTCCTGGAAGTAAAAAGAAAAAGTTTTTAAAACTAAATTTTATAATTTCTCCTTTTCATTCCCTATTTGCCTTTCAATGCGCAGCTCATTGTCACAGTCTTCACCTCCCCCTTCAAAACTTCATTGTTTGCTGCACTCTTCGAGTTCCTGTTCAGCTTGCATTCTACCATATGTAGTAATAATTTTGTTTAATTAACAAATATTGATGAAAGGTCAGTAATGAGTCAGAATAAAAATATACATACATTTGGCAAAGAAGACACAAATATAACTATCATACAATGAGATATTTACAATGAATATGGATTTATTCTAGCTGCATTTTTATAATTTAAACATCTTTACTACATTTACAGAACACTGGGAAAAGTCTTTGCTATATACAATCTTTCCATTATATTTGGTAATGAGAAAACCCCAGAAACTAAATTTAAATGCTTTAAACAATACTACTTAGAAGGAATCTAACATTTTAATGATTAACTTTCTTCTGAATCAGATTTGTGTGCAGTCTAGTAGTTATACAGAATTGAAATCAAAATTTTCACAGATAGTCTTAGAACCAAATCTTGCCAAGGTCAAAACTAAAATGCTCAACAGTACATCAGCTGATTATAAACCATGTGTTACTCTTTTCAGATGTCATTAATTAGTCTGTTACTCATCCTCTCTGTTCATATAGAATAAGTTTTCCAGTTGAAAATGAAACCAGTATCATTTCCCATGGATTGTATTATAGCAGAGTCTCTCTGATTAGACCTAAGAACTTTGGGAAACACTCAAAATTCTATAAATGACTTAGATGTCAACCTCCTCCCCATTTCAGTCTGGATCTCAATGAAGAGAAATGTAATATATTGAATGTACATTGTAAAGTAGGTCTTCTTTTGTATTATCACTTATTTATACCTGTGCTTTTAGTGAACATGAAATATGTCTCTCTCCTGTGCATTACTCTCAATTTCATAATGAACATATAGTAATTATTAGTGGATACTGACTGAAGAATCCAGTAGTTCCTCGGTCATACCCATCTGATATGTGTTTTGTGGAAGGATAAGCACAATACTGATTTTCAGGAGACTTTTTATTTTATTTCATTTTATCCTGTCATATTTTGTTATGTATGAATTGCTTTAATGCACTAGCAATGAGACCGGGTACAGTTTGTGAAATTTCTACTGCAGTGGTTACCCTATTACAGTTGGCTAAGACAGCAAGCAAAGCTTTGGCATTGTGAAACAGTGACAGAAGTATTTAACAAGTGGAAACTAACTACGGCATAGGGATTCTTCAACTGCCTTGCAAAGTGGTGCACGGGTGGAATCTTACCAGCATTCTCATCTGCCATAAGAAATTAAACCTGTCTCTTCCTGCGGTAACTGGAAGAGGAATGATCTAAACTTGAACACCTAATTGCATCTCTCCCAGGAAGGGTCTCAGCCAGAAACTCAGGTAAGAAAATTCCACACTAGGCTCTCATTTTGTCATCGGTGATGCATTCCATTTTCAGTGGTGAATCTGGGACAGGGGGTAGGATCCTGAGAGGAGACAGCGGGCTTCCTTCTGTGCCTCCGAAGGGCTTTTCAGATGTTTGCTTTTGCCATTTAGATTGAATGGCTAAACACCTATCATACCTACATGTTCTAAAGTAAAATACAAACTGGATTGTGCTGCTCTCGATAACTTAAATTATCTGCTTGATTGCACCCATCTATTAGTGCGGATAATAGAGAATTGACTGAACATCTTTTCCATGCAGGAACAATCGAATGAGACTCTTCCTCTACAAGAGTGACTATTGCAGTTACTGAATGTGTTCAAAACCCACCCCGAATCCTTACTGAAAGTAGGTAGAAAATAAATAATAACTCCTTGAGGTATTTAATGGCTGATGAAAGGGAAATTAAATACTATAATCATTTGAAATTAAAATTATTTTACAAAACAATCCATGGGATACCCAAACTCTAAAAGCCACAGGCTTGCATTATTAAGCAAACATATGGCAGAGTTTTCTAAACAACTGTGGTCCAGCCAACACACAAGACCTCCCCTCCTAAATATTTATGAAACATTTTTGAAGGGGGCAAGATAGATCTAGTCTAACACACACATACACACAAACACACACGTGCACACACATTCTTAAAAGATACTCTTCCCTAGAAAACACCCATAACAGCATATTCTCGAAAGGCCATCTTTTTAGATGGAGCTGTAAACCGAGCTTCCATAAACCAGTAAGGGCAGAGCAATCCCATACTTCTTAAGGGCATTTTAGCTATGTGATGAGAAAAAGACTATGCTCTATCAACACACATAGTTTTACTTGAAGACTCCCTTCCAAGAAAAAAAAAGAAAAAAGAGTAGAATAAAATAAAAAAAAAATTATAGCTTCAGTTTAGCACTCCTTCTCTTTCCCTGTGTGTGTGTGTGTGTGTGTGTGTGTGTTTCAACAATCTAAGATTGTATCTAGCAGCTATATTAAAACTACTGCAGGCCTGGCGCAGTGGCTCACACCTGTAATCCCAGCACTTTGGAAAGCCGAGGCGGGCGGATCACAAGGTCAGGAGATCGAGACCATCCTGGCTAATACGGTGAAACCCTGTCTCTACTAAAAATACAAAAAGTTAGCTGGGCGTGGTGGTATGTGCCTGTAATACCAGCTATTTGGGAGGCTGAGGCAGGAGAATCGCTTGAACCCGGGAGGCAGAGGTTGCAGTGAGCCGAGATCGCACCCCTGCACTCAAGCCTGGGTGACAGAGCAAGACTCCATCACACACACACACATAAACCAACAAAATACTACTGCAAAGACTAACACATAGAGGTGGTATAAGTATTTTTTCCACATCTCTAGATTAATATTTAAAAGACAACCTAACTATGTGTTAAAGATGTTGTGGGAAAAAAAATTCTCTAAGAGCTTTATTTCCAGAATCTGACAGCAGTAAGAGTGCTTGTAGATCACTGGCCTTAGTCTTTGTTTTACAGGTGGAAAGATTATGGCTCTTAGAGAACAATTTGAGTTGTCTAATATCACATAGCGAGATATGTCAAAGAGGGACCCAGCCTAGAACACAGGTTGCAGCTCTGAGAACAAAATGATTTGTAGGAGAATATAAAATATTGGGAAGACAAATTACTTGATCAAAAACCTACTTATTTTGTGGAATTGTTTAACATGTTTGTTGACAATGAATTGTCTTGCTGTCTTGAGTCTCGTAATCAATTTTTGCTTATATAAATTTGTTTTATATAGCTTGACGTTCTGCTGTATTGTTGGTTTGTTAAGCTCATATGTGATGAGGAATGTTACGCCCACCGATTCAATAAACCTCAAAATATACTGTGCAGAATGTTGTCAGTACAAGTGCCCTGGAATGTGATATCCCGAAGGTCAGGGCAGCATTTTCTTCGTAAGTGTATCCTAGCCGCTAGCCATATTGGCTATTTAAATTTAGATTAATTAAAATTAAGTAGTTAAAATTCATTTTCTCAGTTGCACTAGCCGCATTTAAAGTGACAAACAGCTTCAAATGTCTCAATAGCTCAAGTGTGGCTACTGCCAACTGTAGGGATAGTGCAGGTATGAAATGCCACTGACCTCATAGAAAGTTCTATGAGACAGTGCTGGTGCGGAGTAATAAAAATAGAAACTATTTTAGGAAGATAGCGGTGGAAGAGACAGAGGAAGAAAGGTGATGGATAGACGATAGATTAGATAGGTAGATAGATGATAGATATGATACGATATGATAGAAAAAGGAAGGAAGGAAAGGAGGAAGGGAGGGAGAAAGGCAGGAATGAAAGATGAGAGGAAGGGAGGAAGAAAGAGTTTTTTTAAAAAAGTAGAGGAAGGGAGAGAACTACCTGATATTCTGAGTATTTTTAGACGTGTTCTGCTGCTGGGAAACTGTAGAATTTGACTCCACTGCACTTTTCTCAGCCTTATAAACTGTGAGTCTAACCCACAGTGCAGAAGAACCATGACTTATTACAGGAACCACCTCGCCTCAATTAAAACAGCATACCCACCATGAGGCCCGTGCTTTGAAGCAGAGTAAAAAATAGTGGCTTTCAAATTCTTCAGGCCAAAAGGAGACAAAAACAACACTAATAATAATTCAGAATGTGGTGCTTCTGACATTTATATTAGTGGTATAGGTATACAAAAATGAATAAAAATGACTGTATACCTGTGGTTTAAATCCATATGTATAACTTTTCCTTGAAGATTGTATGCTGTTTTCACCGTTCTCATCTTTGTCATTTCCTACTTGTTTTATGATTGTATTATTATATTATACCTAGAATTAATGTTAATACCTTACAAGCCATTTACTAGAGCCAATATGCATCTGTTATTAGGCATTAAACAGCATCAATGAGGATTATGATCCTTGTCTAACGGCTGCATGCAGGAATTTTAAAAAATTCTTAGAAATATATAAAATGAAATGTCAAAAGTGAACCTATCAGGTTACATAGTACTTTCCTAGAGCTGAATGTTTCTCCAAAGAGTTATCTCAGTGGCTTCTCATCATCCCCATTGGAAATGCCACGTGGAATGTGAAATGGCACGGCAGCCTGCTCCCTGGGAAAGCTTCTGGATCTAGAACTGAAGCTTGGCGTCCTCACAGATTCCCATGGTGGCGGAGTGGGGCTTTCCTGCCATGAAAGATCGTGCACTACCTGGAGCCCTAACACGCAAAACGTTTCATTAAATATTCTACAAAATCTACATTGACTTTTCACTTTGATCTTATAAACTTTTGTGATTCAGAGCATAAACCATTCGAATGGGAAGGCATCTCGTCTTTTCTTCTTCCTGAAGGCATACTCACCAGAAAACATAGCCGAACGTCGCTGTTTCGATATGTCAGTATATTGCAGTATTTTTAAAAGTCAACAATATGACCCCATCATACCAATATTTGTTGAATACCTTGCAGCCTCAAGATCCATTCGCCTTCATAGCTAAGGATGCTCTTAGTCCAAGGAAAGCTTCCAACTGATCTCCTTCTGTAAATAGGCAAAATGTATTTTAGTTTCCACCACACATGTTCTTTTCTGTAGGGCTTGTATGTTGGAAATTTTATCCAATTATTCAATTAACACTATACCAACAATCTGCTAATTCTGGAGATGTGGCAGTGAATAAAAAAGTTATAGTTTCTGATTTTGTGGAGCTTGGACTTTAATGATGGACAAAACAACACATTCTTAAATATATATTTCATCAAAATTATAGTGGGTGAATTATTTATATGTGCATTTACATGTGTATGTATACATAAATGGGCGGTTACTGGCTGCACTGAGAATGTACACGTGGCGCGAACGAGGCTGGGCGGTCAGAGAAGGCCTCCCAAGGAGGTGGCTTTGAAGCTGAGTGGTGCTTCCACGTGAAAAGGCTGGAAAGGGCATTCCAAGAAAAGGCTGAGGCCAGCGGGAAAGAGGTTCCAGTGCGCTCTGGGAACGGAAAGCGCACCTGCCTGAAACGAAAATGAGTGTGCTGAAATAGGACGCTAGAAAGGGAGGCAGAGGCTGGCAAAAGCGACCGAGGAGGAGCTCAAAGGAGCGAGCGGGGAAGGCCGCTGTGGAGCCTGGAGGAAGCACTTCGGAAGCGCTTCTGAGCGGGTAAGGCCGCTGGGAGCATGAACTGCTGAGCAGGTGTGTCCAGAATTCGTGGGTTCTTGGTCTCACTGACTTCAAGAATGAAGAGGGACCGCGGACCCTCGCGGTGAGTGTTACAGCTCTTAAGGTGGCGCGTCTGGAGTTTGTTCCTTCTGATGTTCGGATGTGTTCAGAGTTTCTTCCTTCTGGTGGGTTCGTGGTCTCGCTGGCTCAGGAGTGAAGCTGCAGACCTTCGCGGTGAGTGTTACAGCTCATAAAAGCAGGGTGGACTCAAAGAGTGAGCAGCAGCAAGATTTATTGCAAAGAATGAAAGAACAAAGCTTCCACACTGTGGAAGGGGACCCCAGCGGGTTGCCACTGCTGGCTCCGCAGCCTGCTTTTATTCTCTTATCTGGCCCCACCCACATCCTGCTGATTGGTAGAGCCGAATGGTCTGTTTTGACGGCGCTGATTGGTGCGTTTACAATCCCTGCGCTAGATACAAAGGTTCTCCACGTCCCCACCAGATTAGCTAGATAGAGTCTCCACACAAAGGTTCTCCAAGGCCCCACCAGAGTAGCTAGATACAGAGTGTTGATTGGTGCATTCACAAACCCTGAGCTAGACACAGGGTGATGACTGGTGTGTTTACAAACCTTGCGGTAGATACAGAGTATCAATTGGCGTATTTACAATCACTGAGCTAGGCATAAAGGTTCTCCAGGTCCCCACCAGACTCAGGAGCCCAGCTGGCTTCACCCAGTGGATCCCGCACAGGGGCTGCAGGTGCAGCTGCCTGCCAGTCCCGCGCCGGGAGCCCGCACTCCTCAGCCCTTGGGTGGTCGATGGCACTGGGCGCCATGGAGCAGGGGGCGGCGCTCATCCGAGAGGCTCGGGCGGCACAGGAGCCCGTGAAGCGGGTGGGAGGCTCAGGCATGGCGGGCTGCAGGTCCCGAGCCCTGCCCGGCGGGAAGGCAGCTAAGGCCCGGCGAGAAATCAAGCGCAGCGCTGGCGGGCTGGCACTGCTGGGGGACCCAGTACACCCTCCGCAGCCGCTGGCCCGGGTGCTAAGCCCCTCATTGCCCGGGGCCGACAGGGCCGGCCGGCTGCTCCGAGTGCAGTGCCCGCCAAGCCCACGCCCACCCGGAACTCCAGCTGGCCCGCAAGCGCCGCGCGCAGCCCCAGTTTCCGCTCCCGCCTCTCCCTCCACACCTCCCTGCAAGCTGAGGGAGCGGGCTCCTCCTTGGCCAGCCCAGAAAGGGGCTCCCACAGTGCAGCGGTGGGCTGAAGGGCTCCTCAAGTGCCCCCAAAGTGGGAGCCCAGGCAGAGGGGGCGCCGAGAGCGAGCGAGGGCTGTGAGGACTGCCAGCACGCTGTCACCTCTCACAAGGAAGGCCGCTGTGGAGCGTGGAGGAAGCGCTCCCGGGCGGGAAGGCCGCTGTGGAGACTGGAGGAAGCGCTTCCGGGCGGGGAAGGCCGTTGCGCAGCCTGGAGGAAGCGCTTCTGGGTGGGGAAGGCCGCTGGGAGCATGAACTTCTGAGCAGGTAAGGCCGCCGTGGAGCGTGGAGGAAGCGCTTCTGGGCGGGGAAGGCCGTTGTGGAGCGTGGAGGAAGCGCTTCTGAGAGGTGCGGGAACGTGAGGACACCAAGGCGTGGTGAGGGAGAGAGGGTGCGCGGCCGGGGGCAGATGCCTCTGGGGCGGAGTGGTTGGCGGTAGTCAGCCTTATTGAAATGGGCTGGGAGGAAAGGGGAAGAGGAAGAGACAAACAGCATAAATAGTGCTTTTGAAAATTTTGGTTTTGAAAAGTAGACATTAGACAACAGTCGCAGGCATCATTTTGTTTTTATTAAGGATGGCAAAAACTAAATTAGATTTACATGCTGATGGAAAAAGCCAAGTAGAGAGAGAAAGAAATGACAGAAAAACGAAATAGGAAAGAGGATTAGCAATACAGGAAAGAGACTACAGGCAGGGTTCAGTTATTTTGAACGGTTTGTTTCTCCTGAATATTGTAACTATTAATTTGGAAAAATATTCTATTCTGTGCTATCTGAAAGAAATCCTCTTCTTAGTTCTCTCTTAATATATCATTTGGAATTAAATTGTTTACTGTGCGTTCTGAAACCATTCACAACATCTTTATTAATGATTGCTGATATTCACTTAGCATTCCCTTCCTGTTAATAAATTGCTGGGCCATATCTTTGCTTATAGAACCAAATAAATTTTGATGTAATTGGCCAGTTTTAAAAGTTAGACATCTCTTCATAGGCAGTGCTTTATCTTGGGACTAAAAGAATTTACGCAGCAGAGTGAATCTCTGGATCTGCCGAATAGGGAGGGAGGACAATGAAGAGCGAAGCGGGGAGGCTCAGGGAAGATGATGGCTCAGTCCAATTTCCAGTGGAGCTGCAGGGTCAGGAGCTGTGCGCTGTAAAGCCAAGGGATCCTCTAGGCTTCTGGGACAGTTAACAGCATGATACTCTGTGAGCCACACAAAAGTCTTAGAAATACCGTCCTAGAGCTCTGGGTGATAATTGAGAGCTTAGCAAATGGATTTCCAGAGCTGTGAAAGTAAAGATGGCATCTGACCTTTTGCATGATCCATGGAGATCTTCTAGAAACATGAGGAAGTCACAGACCTTTCTACTCTGATAGCAGAAGAGTGTTCATCTTCGAATTTGGGAGAAAAAAGAAAAAGAAGGAGAGGTAGAGGAGGAGGAAGAAAGAGATAAAAAAGAACAGAAGAAGAGAGAGGAGGAGAGGGGAAAGAGAGAAGAAAACGAATAATTCTTATGAACAATATTATAAAACGTTATTGAAAAATATTAAGACACAAATATGTAGAAAAATAAAACATATCTTGGATAGAAAACTCTGGAGAACATTCTGGAGGTAAAGGTTGAATTTGGATAGATCCTGTGACCCAGCAATTCTATTCCTGGCTGTTTAGGCCAGAGAAAGCCTGAGACTTAACATATACAAAGAGACACCATCATTGTCATCACCACTGCTATCATTACAGCTAATACTAAGTACTGACTGTATACCTCCATTCTAAATATGCTATATCAATTATCTCATTTATTAGGTTTCACCATATAAAAATGCTAATATGTGACCATTTTTGGACTATGAAAATTATAATTGCATATGCTTCAAGTTAATACTCTTCTCAATAGTCCTATGAAGTACATACTATTTTTATCTCAATTTTAAAATGGGGAAGTGACGCACAGTGGATTAACTAACTTGCCAAGGCTGCTGAGCTCCTACATGGCGCCACCACACATCAGATGCATGCAGTCTGCACTGGAGTCCCCCTTCAAAACTGCTTGCTATGCTGCCTCAATCTGAAAAAAAGGCTCACAGCCACAGACCACAGGAGAGCAAAAGGATGAAAACAACAGCAATGTCCATTAACAGAGGAATTGACTAATACCTTGATGTACATTCCCACAAGAGAATGTGGCAAAATAGCAAAGTCAAGAAACTAGACTTACTCATATTAATCCGCATTAAGTGAGAAAAGAGAGATTCCAGGAAAATATATATAGCTGTGGCCATTTGTACTGCGGTTAGGAACATATAACGCAGTGCTACATACTGTTTAGTGCCAAAGACGTATGTGACACACATGTAAAGGTATCCGTGAGAATGACAAACACCAAAGGAAGATGCTGGCTAATGTGGGTGCAGAAGGAGGCAGTTGGGGAAGAACTAGGAGGAATATCAGCTGTTTCGGTGATGGATGATTTTTAATAAGGTCATGGGTACATGGGTAATTTTTATCTCATTCTTAACACAATTCTGCAGCCAGAAAGAGAAAAAGGAAAATATACCTGTAATAAACAACTTTCAAGGAATGATATGAGGAATAAAGAAATTAATAAGGACACTTGTGGAGTGGGGAAAGCAAGAAAAGGGCAACAGTAAAAATTTAAAAGATGTAAACAGAAATGATTCCTTTTATGTAAAATTAATTTATGTTTGCATATTTTCATAACAGAAACAGATACCAAGATCTTGACAGTGGTTGCCTCAGTGTGATGAAATTTTGAAATGATTTATTTATTTTTTCTTATGTTTTTATGCAGTCTTCAGATGTTTTACGGTGTAGTTATATGTAGTCAGGAAAATACACAGCATTCTAGATAAATGAAAGAGTGAAAGGCAGCAGTCCAAAGGGAAGCTAAGTGTGGACTAGATCTTGAAGTATGGCAAATGCAGGTTTTTCTCCCTTTTAGGGATGATAAATGAGCAGTTAGTATCTCCACCAAGATCATGCGTCAGGTTCAAATTCCAGGTCTGGCTGGTCAATCTAATAAATTATTTAGCAAGAGCCCTGAGAAAGGTGGGGTTGGGAAGCCATCTTCTTCTAAGATCTGCTTCTGTCTTTGGCATGCATGGAAGTCGTTGTTTTAAACTGGACAGTTTTTAACTAGGCAAGTGTGGGAACTGGGAGAAAGGAAGAATTCTCAGTTCTAAGCTGGGAATAGACTTTAGGAGATAAATAACATGGGAGATTGATTATAGGAGGATACATGGGAGGATGGTTCTAAGTGGGGATGGAATTTAGGAGGATAATAGGAGGGTCTCTCCCTCGTGGGAAGAAATCTGTTTCATGCATGCCCTTTGGGCTGAGAGTGAGCCTTGTATTGCCCAGATCTGGCCAAAATATGGCAGTGGTGTTTTTCATGAAGAACAGAGGTGCCCACAGAAGTAGAACTGTGCCATTGTCCAGACGATGCAGTGTGGGAGATGTTGGAGAGGAGGCATTCTCCCTACCTTTACCTGGACTCCAGAGATTCTTTGTCATGACAGGGATGAGGTTTCACTGGCATCCAGGGTCAGTATCTTGGCAGGGTCTGCGACCTACTTCAGAAGGGCAGATGGACGCCAGGCTGCCCCAGATGGCTTCCCGGGAGCCCGAGCAGAAGTCCAAGTGGAGCGTAAGCCAGGCCGAGTCTCCTGCTGACAGACTAGGTTTGGAGCTATTGCTTCCAGAACTCTAAAAAATTACTGGAAGGCTTGGGGAAGCTAGTTTCTGATAACAGCGAAGATTGATGATTTGTTCATTACAAGTGAATCTCATTTGGTAACACGATGGTACAAAGTGGGAATGTGTGTTGTCCTGATTTTATTAAATATTTGTGTATTGTATTGTAAAAATATTAGCAGTGCTTTTTAATGTTGTGGAGGATGTTTTAGGAAGTTAGTAGACATTTCTAAGTTGGGTTAGTTTTTTAAACTTGTGGAGTTAGTGAGAGAGCAGTAAAGTGTGAAGGAGAATGAGAGCAAGATTGAGGAAAAGCGGCAGCCAGAAACAGAGCAAAGAAATGGGGAGGGTAATAAAGAGCTTTGGGAGACACGGATGCAGAGGGGATGGAGAAGAGGGACGGAGACTTAGCAAAGCTCTTCAATCTGGTTTTATAGGTGTAAACAATTCTTAATAGTGAAAATACAGAGCTGAAACTTTAGATCTGAAAGGAGCCTTCGCTTTCATAAATTCCAGAAAGCTCATTATACTGATTAGGAAACACTGTCTGGAGACTTCCTTAAAGGAAAAGTATCAAAGGAAACAGATTTCTGTTGAATGTCATTTGTTAAGGCTTAATATACGTATTGTTAGTATTTTCTGAATTGAGTTTTCAGCAAATTAGTAGCAAATGAATCATCCATAATCATCCACATTGGATTAAAGGAGAGTGTTTTCCTACTTAAAAGGTAGGCTGGGGTCAATTTCATGGCACTGTTATTTATGCAGATGCATAAAGACATCTGGTGGCCTGAAATTTCCATTTTCATTTCAATTATGTTTTCACAAGTTTGTACAAGTTGAACAGGAATGTTGGTTTCCTGCTAAATCCATTAGAAACTGATATAAGGGTGAGAAGAAAGGATGTAATGGAAAACATAAGGTATTAGAATGTAAAAGAATGTAGAATAACAGACCGGACTATGGAAAACATGGGTGAAAAGGTTTATTCTCATTCTCAGAATGAAAAGCTAAACCACAAAAAGTGAAATCATATATATGTGCTCTGCTATTTAAGAACGTTATCTGAGGTGGATAGGAAATGCTGTCTTATTGTAGTTTTAATTTGCATTTCTTTGATTACTAGTAAGATTGGGTATTTTTCATATCTCATGCATCAATTATGCTGCTTATTTTGAGAAATTTCTATTTATAGCTTTTGCCAATTATCACATCGCTTATCATTTTAAAATTCATTTATAAGCGTTTTTATGCTCTTCAAACCAAGCCTTTGCTGCTTCTGTGTTGTTCAGACATTCTTCCTACTTCAGACTTGTCCAATCACTTTCTAATAGTTTCTTTTGATGATCAGAAGCTCTGTATTTTAATGTAGTCGAATTATCCATCTTTTTTATGGTTAGTTCTTTTACATCTTTTTAAAGCAAAGTCCTACCCTGAGGTAATTAAGATATTTCTGATACTGTCTTTTGAAAGATTGTAGTTTTGCCTTAAATATTTAAGTCCTAAATCTACCTTAAAGCTATGCAGTTATGCATCACTTGATGACGAGGATGCATTCTGAGAAACACAATGGGGATACGTTCTGAGAAGTGCTTCATCAGGCAACTTCATCATTGTGCAAATATCACAGAGTGTACTTCCACAAATCTAGATGGCACAACCTACCACATACCTACACTATACGGAATAGCCTATTGCTCCTAGGCTACAAACCTGTACAGCAGGTTACTGTACTCAGTACTGTCAGCAACTGTAACATGATTCTATGTGTATCAAACACAGCTAAACATGGAAAAGGTAATGCATTATGTGACTATGTTATGACGGCTGCTACATCACTAGGCCATAGAAATATTTTAGCTCCCTGATTACCTTATGGGACCACCATTGTATATGCAGTCCACTGTTGATCAAAATATTATGTGGGAGTGCATGACCATACTTGTATAGGCTGTGAAGTAGGAATCCAATTTCCATTATTTGGTATCCATAAGTTAATGTGCAAGTACCATTCATAAACAGCCCTTCCTTTCACCACAGAGCTTCGATCCCTGCTTTTGCACTTAATACATTTCCGTATATGTGAGTTTATTTCTGGAGTTTCTATTTTGTTTCCTTGGCCTATTTGTCTATTTCTAGACAACACTTGCACTGTCTGAATTACTTCTGGTTTACAATAAGGTTTGATACACCCAATGATGAATCCCCACTGTGCTTGGCCCTTTACTTTTCCATATAAATTAAAAGTCAACTTGTCTAATTACATAGAAAAACTTTTGGGCTTTTTATTGGAATTGCACTGAATCTGTAAATAAATTTGGGGAGAATGGACATTTTTATGATATTGAGTTCTTAAAGTCTGGTTGTAGTCTCTGATAGGAAAGTCATTATTTTCTTAGGCCAATAAGCATGACATTTTTTAAATTTTAAAAGTAATTTATATCTGAATCAGCACGTAATAAACCAGGACAGGATTAATATTTATAAAAATCTGAAGCTCTTCTCTAATACTGGAGGCTAAGGGGTAATTTACAAAACTGAGACACTTTCATAAAGCATGTGTTACCTGAAACACTTTTTCTTTGCCAAATTTATTGAATTATGAGAACAGACAATCAGCTTTTGATATTTTAAGGAAGTTAATTCATCTGCTTTGAGTTCATCTGCTTTGATATTAAAATAAAGTAAAAGCTATCTCTGCAGGCTACTAAGACGTTTATGTCTTTTGAGATTAGTGATAATTCTTGTGTGGATTTTTTTTCTTTTTAAAAATACTCTTTTTGCACCAACAAATCCATTTTGAATGACAATCTCATCAAAATATTTTTATTTATGTATTTCTGATTTTATTTATTCTTCTCACAATAAAATTAACAAGCAAGTGAACCTAAAAGGGTTTGGAAACTGCAGAAGACTTTTTTCTTGGGATGTGAGATTACAAATTCACTTATAAAACCAGTCCAAAGTTCTTATTGCTCATATGGTGGCATAAATGAAGCCTTCTATTCCCTCCCCATGGATAGAGAGAAGGTCTCGCAGCTGGGGTGACAATGCCCGGCCACAGCATTTGTCGACTGGGCTTCTCCATTTGGTAGTGGCCAAGACCTGGGTGCAGGGATGTGAGCAGCTTGGCCACCTCAGCCGCGCGGAAGACAACCCTGCTAAGGTGAATGCAGGAGAGGAAGCAAGTTGCACCTCTTCTCACACATTGGGCAAAGGCCCTAGCTCTCTTACAGATCTGTAGGGCAGGAAATAACAAGTCACTCCACAGCACACGTGCTTAAGAGTTGAAAGAGAAAGCGTTCAGGAAGGGTTTGAGCTTATTTTGAAGGAAAAGTACCTGCACCTTTTAGTGAAATGGAGCACAATCAAAGGCTATGACCCTCAGTAAGGAGGAGAAAGGAAGTGAAGAGGGTGAAACAGGACAGAAGTTCTGTCCCTCAAAACCACCCGCTTAGACACCCACATCTTAGACCGGACTAAGCCTTCATTCCTTGTGCCCACCTGAAACTGATGGTCGTGTTCACATTAGGGGGCCTGACAGTGTTTGCTTGTATTTGTGTCCTTTCTTCTCGTGGCTACTTGTGTGGCAGACATCGCTTTCAGTTTGTGCCATCATTATTTGCTGTGTGTCTACCTTCTCTGGTAAACTGAACATTTTCTGAGGGTGTGATCCTTGCCTCATGCCTCCTTGTTTTCCCCTGCACATGCATGCAGCACTGCTGGAACTTGTGAGGAATCACAGTTGCAGGAATCACTTGAGGAATCACGGTTGGAAGTCACGCTGGGCCCAAGGGCTGTCCTGCACAGACGTCTCCATGCAAATCCGGATATCTTCTGTGACCTAATCCATCCTAAGGGAAGTGAGGTTAAGGCAAACAAAGATCGGGTTCAAAATCACACCATCATTCTCCAAAACAAAGGATAGTTTTGAGCATGTAGCCCTCAGATACATCCCCTCACTTCATGTACATAAAACTTACAGAGAGATTCTACAGACAAAAACAAATAACAATAAAACAAAGCAGACAAAATTGAGATTTATTTACACACAAAAGTACCTTTGTGGCGGAAAGAGTCTAAGACCTTGTCTGTCACATGGAATGCCAAGAGGCTTCAATGTAATTAGGACCCCAAGGGACACAGCACAGTTTAATCCAGTGCATTTGGGGCACTGTCGCTTTGCTTACAAACCGGTCATCAGGGGAACCATGGCCTGAGTTGGTAGTTTAATAGTGTTGGGGGACTCCGTGCTTGGCTTGAGTGTCAGACACATCACCACTCTCAGACGCCAACTGAACTCATGACATGCTTTGTGTTTTCTTGCACAGAAATTGCCTTGGCCATTAGAAGAACTAAGATAAATTACTCATGAGCTCAGTTGAAACATTTGTACTTACAAGTGTGGGAGATTTTGAAGAGGATTGAGATCTCAGGGTTGGAGACCCCACAATGATAAAAGGAGACACAGGGAACTCATTTACTTATGCATAGTAAATGCACAAAAAAATATTTCTTGGCTGACAGCCAATCTTCACAATTATTTCTACGGGGAACCAATTCAAAATCATTGAAATCCATGGAGATATAGAAGACATGAAGAGAAGATTACTTTTCACAGCATTATTTCTCTCTTTGATTGTCCAAATAAATTTTGGACTTGGACTGGCAGAATTGGATTTATGGAGACTCCTATTTTCCTCCTGGCTCCATGGCTGTGATTTGTCTAGCGCATATGAGCCTTGGGTTGTGCTTACATATGGGCCCACCAAATAGGCCTATACCCCCTCTCCCCTTGGCTTATTGCACTGGCTATCTGCTTCTTTTCACTTTAGAAAAAACTAGGGAAAAAATCCTAACTGTTCAAGCATGTCTCTAAACCACAGCCCTTTGTCTAATTTTGTTTTTCTCACAATCGGCAGATTGTGTTGCTGATGCCCGAGCTGCCATATCACTTACTCTAATTAAGGTCTTAGGCCTTTCCTGTGCTATACTTCAATAATCCAGATTATGAGACAACCAGCCCAGGAGATTCATAACATATTTAAACATGCTTTTTAATAGGGCTTTGCATTTTTCTCCTCTCTGGACATTGTAAAATTCAATCAAACAGAACCAGTCATAAACTTTATATTCAGTGCATTTCTTTTCTCTCAGTCTATTTCAGGACCTCACCTAATTTGCCTATTTTTCTTATTTCCTTCATTGAACAGAAAGAGTAGCCAACTTCTTTGTAGCCCAGAAAATATCAATGACACTTTTTGAAGGTTAAATGATAGCCATAGAGAATTATAAATTATAGGTAGGTGTATGTGATGTGACAAAGCAGACTATTTTGAAGAATGCTTTTGGCTTTAACAGCTTATAAATTGGTAAAGTAGAAAATATAATTTGGGGCTTGGAAGGAAAACAACTACATGTGAATCTACTATTGTTTCTTAGGAACATATTTTCTATTACAAATCAAAGGCATGAAAACAACATATGGCAGCGTTATCAGCATTTTAGAAAAATGCACTTTTTCAAAGACTAAAGTTTATGTATATATTTTTAAAAGATAATGAAGTGGCTCTTAGACCCATTAAGAAACTTTCAGATGGTCTGTAACTTCAGAAATGCTTTACAACATCCAGATTCTCTGCAGAAGTTTGGTATGTGAAAACTGCAAATTGGAAAGGCATAGCAAACATCTTGATGGTCAAATTAAGGAAAAATAAAATTTTTAGGGCAAGCATATTATAGCACAAATCCAGCAATGAATGTTTTTAATCCTTGTCCTCTTTAAACACACCTCCTTTTAAAATATGAAAGATATATTTTGATTTAAGAAATAAATTTGCAAGGCAGGTGTTTATCTTTGCCACAAGCAGGCTTCATGAAAACAGTAAACAAAAATATTCATGAGCTCAGTCTTGCACTGAGCTAAACCTGTCACTTGGGCTCAGAAATCAAGAGCTACTTAACATTACAATCTTGTTGTTATCATTGTTTGTTTTCTCCTCATTTATCTCATAGCTCTAAAAAAGGGTGAAATACTTTGAGTCCCGAAACTCTTCCCTGCTCCTATAGAGCTCCAAGGTGTATATTCCATTTCAGCAGTGTAGGACATGCAGGAGCCGTATGGGTACTTGAACCAATATTCCCGATCTTCAGTTCTAGGGCTCTTCTGGGCAGAACGGAGAGTTAGGTTATTTGTCTTTGGTACTTTAACTTCCATCCACTAAGCAGCTTTAGTCTGGACGCCTGAAAACCACACTCCCTCACCCTCTGCCTGATCTGCTATTCAGCCTTGGGGACCAGAGGTGTTGGCAGTGTGGGGTAGGCAGGGAATGGAAAAAGTTTATTGTCCCTGAATTATTAGGCTCTTTATTCCGCTACTACTCAAGATGCTCTTTGAGTGGCACCACTGTTTCTCACTATGTGCTTGCCTGTTCTGGAGCAGCCTCCACACCTGGCACGATCCTGCTTCTCAGGAGACCAAACGTTCTGCTTAGTCCAGGACTGCCCCAACATAATTATTAACAATGTCCTTCTACATTCAGAAATGTATCTGTCTGGACAATACATTACATGACTGCCTTAATTATAGAGGTACACACTTATCTTCCATTTCTACAAAAGGACAAGTAGGTTAAGGCCTGAAAAGAGAACACTGGGTTTAGTGACTGAAGTATATTCCTGGTCTTTGAGAAAGCCCATTAATTGAGGATTGGGGGGCTTGAAGAGAAATGGAACAATTTGAAGTATGAATGAGATGTGTGGAAAGGACTGTAGCTGGAGGACAAACAAGGAGCCTTCACAACCAATCAAACAATTCGGCCTCGACCTTTTCCAGGTAAACCTTACCATTCCCTCCCCATCATATCCCTCCAGTGGCTCAAAACATTTTCTTGTTGAATCTTTTATTGTCTCTGCCAATCCCCTTAATTTGTGTTAGTTCACTCTCACACTGGTATAAAGAAACAGGGCCAGGTGCAGTGCACGCCTGTAATCCCAGCACTTGGGGAGGCCGGGGCAGGCAGATCACGAGGTCAGGAGTTCGAGACAAGCCTGGCCAACATGGTGAAAGCTCATCTGTACTAAAAATACAAAAATTAGCCAGACGTGGTGGCACGCACCTGTAATCCCAGCTACTTGGGAGGCTTAGGCAGAAGAATTGCTTGAACCCTGGAGGCGGAGGTTGCAGTGAGCCAAGATGGCACCACTGCACTCCAGCCTAGGTGACAGAGCGAGACTCTGTCTCAAAAACAAAACAAAACAAAAACAAAACAAAACAAAAGAAACAGGCATATCTGTGTAATTTCTGGGAATGAGAACTGGTAATTTTTTTTTTTTTTTTTAAAGAGGTTTCATTGGCTCACGGCTCCACAGGCTGTACAGGAAGCACGGTGCTCGGCGGGTCCCACTTCTCGGGAGGCCTCAGGGGACCATGGTGGAAGGAAGGCGAAGGGGAAGCAGGCAGGTGTCACATGGCAGGAGCAGGAGGAAGAGAGGGAGGGGGCAGGGGCCACACACTCCAGATCTCACAAGAACTCATAATCACGATGGCAGCTCCAAGGCCAACGGTGTTAAACCATGAGGAACTGCCCCCATGATCCAATCACCTTTCACCAGGCCTACCTCCAACACTGGGGATTACAATTGAACATAAGATTTGGGTGGAATCATAGATCCAAACCATGTCAATCTCTATCCAGGCTTTGCTCTGGAATCTATAGTGTCCTGCTCCATTTTTCTTCCACATGCAATTAGTCTCCATTTCTGTCTGTTCCAATGCTGTCTTGAGGCCTGAATCAGAGATTCAACAATTGGCTTTGCCACTGTTTGGATTATTGTCACAACTGTCTCACCACCTAATTGCTCCCCTTTTCTAATTTATTTTCCACACTACTGACAGGCTATTTTTCCTGAAAAAGAGTCATCCTTTCCAAGCCTGCTTTGAGGCCTTGTTGGCTTTCTATTGCCAGTAAGATAGTGATCAAATTGCCTACCAGGGCACAGGAAATGCATTGCATGTTTCCAGTTGCAGCCCTTGCCCTCTCTTCACTAAACTGAAAATCTGGCCATGCCAGCATGTGGTGGTTCCTAAGACCCAGGCCTCTCCTCCTCTCTGCTCCTTTGCTAGAAGCCCTCTTCTTCCCCACTTCCACCACAGCCTCTTCTACACCACATAAATATCTGTATGGGCTCAAGGCCCAACCCAAATGTTACCTTTTCTCTTGAAGCTGTCTCCAACCCTTCTAAAGGAACATTTGTGATCTTTCACATTGCATTGCACTTTTCCTGTATTTCTATTCCACAAGTTGCAGTGTGGGACCTACGTGGTGAGTGACCGACTGTTTTACTCTCAATGGCCATTCCTTTGACGACAATGGCCAAGTTTATTTTCTCCGTGTTGATAAAACTTAACAAGTCATAATACACAATTAGTACTTAAGATGTATTTGTTGGCCAGGCATGGTGGCTCACTCCTGTGAGCCCAGTAGTTTGGGAGACCAAGGTGGGTGGATCGTGAGGTCAAGAGATCCAGACCAGCCTAGCCAACATGGTGAAACCCCGTCTCTACTAAAAATACAAAAATTAGCTGGGCGTGGTGGTGCATGCCTGTAGTCTCAGCTACTCAGCAGGCTGAGGCAGGAGAATCGCTTGAACCCAGGCAGAGGTTGCAGTGAGCCGAGATCGCACCACTGCACTCCAGCCTGGGCAACAGAGCAAGACTCCATCTCAAAAAAAGAAAAAAAAAAAAGAAAAAAAAAAGATGTGTTTGCTGATGAAGGTGAAGATGTTTTTCATAAATTCCACCCTGAGAACTCTCTGTGCTTATTTTCTCCTTTCAACTGGAATACGTATTCACTTTAATTTTTATTTTACATAAATTCTGGTTCTCTTTAGATTTTTTTATTCTTTGTGTTTCTCAAACTTAAGTATTTGCAGAGTCCCAAGATAACCCAAAGCATTCTTCTGATTCCAGTTGGGATTATATAACATAAATTAGTTTTGATATTTGTGGTGATCACTTGGAACTACAGTGATAATATACAATAATACATATTGTGGATACTGAAATTGCGTTTATTGAGAGTTCAAGTGCCAGGTAACATTCTATTTACTTTACGTATATGAAATCATTTAGACTGCAAAATAACTCTAATAAGAATTAGGTGCTATTTCTTTCTGTCTTTTTTTTTTTTTTTTTTTTTTTTTTTGAGATGGAGTGTTGCTCTGTTTCCCAGGCTGGAGTGCAGTGGTGCAATCTTGGCTCACCGCAACCTCCACGTCCAGGGTTCATGCGATTCCCGTCTCAGCCTCCCGAGTAGCTGGGACTACAGGTATTCGCCACCACACCTGGCTAATTTTTTGTAATTTTAGTAGAGACGGGGTTTCGCCTTGTTGGTCAGGCTGGTCTTGAACTCCTGACCTCAGGTGATCCACCTGCCTCAGCCTCCCAAAGTGCTGGAGTTACAGGCAGAGATGGGGAAACTGCCAAGCATCACATCTGTTGATCGTACTGTTATGTCCATTCAATCTTCTTTCCAATAAAGGCTTTGGTCACAAAAAGGACTGACAGCAAGGATAGCTTGATGCAGAAAAAACACATCTTTATGGTTAGAAGTAAATTTGGAACATATGCCCTATTAGATATGAGTCAGCATTTATTCAATGAACACTTATTAAGTTCAAACTTAAAGACACTGGGCTAGGGTCCAAGAATAGGCAGAAGTAATGTAACTAATAATTGAGAAATACATGTGGAAACATGCTATGTTTGGAAGGCAATCTATCTATAAAGAGTAGGTCTAGAAGGCCTTCAGAAGAACCGTGCAACTCCCCAGACTTCTAGTTTATTCTTTCTAGCCCCACAGAAGAATTTACCAAGGCAATAGCATTTTCACTTCAAAATAGGTCCACTATTCTTTGTGCCTGAAAACCAATACGTGATTTAATGCCCTCTTCTTCCTAGGACTGACCAGAGGAGACTGCATTGTGTCTAAATAGAACTGTCATTTGTCCACTAGAAAAATTTTGTTGGGCACCTACTATCTACCAGACACTGCCAGGTGCCATTTAGACAGTGGCGAATGACACAAAAATGGTTCTAATTCCCATTCTCCTGGAGTATGCTGCCTAGTATGTGCTTTGGTGGGCTACAACTAAGTGGAAAAACATCTGCTATAAATCATCAAAGCTGTTTATTCAAATTTCCAGCCGTAAGGTGGCACACCTCCAGTGATTTATCGTGCAGGATTCTCCCTTGCTGTGCGTGTTCCTACAAAGTCTCATTAGGACCTTTAAACTAAAAATATCTGATCCAGCTAAATTTTGGAAGAGGAAACTATTATTTGAGGAATTGATTTTCAACAGCTGAGTGCCTCAGGAAGTTAGGAATGCCCTGTGGAGCTTTATGCCTCTGGTCTTCTCATTTAAAACCAGCAGAGGTTGGAACAGTTCTTAGTTATTAACATCTAATGGCTGTTTTGTGACTTCTCAAGTGCGTTGGACTCCTCCTCCCAAGTCCCGGGGAATGGAAAGATACTTATTTGAATTTAATTAACTCAGAGGAGATTCGGCCCAAAGGATAATGATTGCATATACCGGGACTGAATGTTCCTACATCTCCCCTAAAACTTTATGATGGATTTGTTGGACTAATAATTGCCAGGAGTATGTGAAAAAGAAGTCTCCCCCAGAAGTAAAGCCAAGGACAGAAAGTATCTGTCACCACGGCTCTCCCTCTGTGCCTCAGTTATGTTCTCATCTCTGTCTGTACGTGCCTTTACTGCAATACTCCCCTTGCAGAAAACCACTTCATGGTCCAGGTAAAAGATCCACCAAAAACAGAGAAGAGAATAGCAACAAATGAAACTTCCAATATTTGCTTTCCCTTTGAGGTAGATTGTCAGTCTATCTTTTCTTCCTAAATATGTGCATACAGATTGTCACTTTGTTAACTTGAATTTTTTTTTTTCGTTTTTTGAGACAGAGTATTGCCCTGTCACCCAGGTTGGAGTGCAGTGGTGGGATCTTGGCTCACTGCTAGCCCCGCCTCCCAGGTTCTTGCCATTCTCCTGCCTCAGCCTCCCGAGTAGCTGGGACTACAGGTGCCCGCCACCACGCCTGGCTAATTTTTTTTTTTTTTTCTCAGTGGAGACGGGGTTTCACCATGTTAGCCAGGATGGTCTTGATCTCCTGACCTCGTGATCCACCCGCCTCGGCTTCCCAAAGTGCTGGGATTACAGGCCTGAGCCACCGTACCCAGCCAACTTGAAATATCTTTCACCTTGCTAAGAGTCTTCTATAACCTCCTTTGTGCCACCCAAATTCCTGTGTAGACTAAGGAGATGCTGCGTGTAGAAAACGTTTTTGTAGATGGTATGAAATTGTGCACAAAGCCATTTGTTTACACATTCATTCTCACATATGTGTTGTGGACCTGCTGTGTGTCCAGCATTGTGTTAGGCCCTGCAGGCATAATTCTGAGCAAGATAGGTGTAACTGGGGCCCTCATGCAGCTTACAAGCATTTTTCTTCTCATTTGCTTAACTAGTACAGGGCATGTGCTAGGCACTATATGAGGGATCACAGAAGATTCCAAAATAAATAAGCATTTCTTTCTTTTTTTTTTTTTTTTGAGATGGAGTCTCACTCTCTCCTAGGCTGGAGTGCAGTGGCATGATCTCAGCTCACTGCAACCTCCGCCTCCCGGTTCAAGTGATTCTCCTGCCTCAGCCTCTTGGGTAGCTGAGACTACAGACATGCGCCACCACACCCAGCTAATTTTTGTTTTGGCCAGGCTGGTCTCGATCTCTTGACCTTGTCATCCTCCTGCCTCGGCTTCCCAAAGTGCTGGGATTACAGGTGTGAGCCACCTTGCCCGGCCTTTAGTGTGTTTTCATGCTGCTAATAAAGACATTCCCGAGACTGGGTAATTTACAAAAGAAAGAGGTTTAATGCACTTACAGTTCCACATGGCTGGAGAAGCCTCACAATCATGGCAGAAGGCAAGGAGGAGCAAGTCCTGTCTTACATGGATGGCAGCAGGCAAAGAAAGAGCTTGTGAAGGAAGACTCCCATTTTTAAAGCTATCAGATTTCATGAGACTTACCATCAGGAGAACAGCATGGGAAAGACCCGCCCCCATGATTCAATCACCTCCCACTGGGTTCCTCCCACCACACATGGGAATTGTGGAAGTTACAATTCAAGATGAAATTTGGGAGGGGACGCAGCCAAACCATAGTATTCCACCCCTTACCCCTCCCAAATCTCATGTCCTCACATTTCAAAACCAATCATGCCTTCCCAATAGTCCCTCAAAGTCTTAACTCATTTCAGCATTAACTCAAAAGTCCACAATCCAAAGTCTCATCTGAGACAAGGCAAGTCCCTTCCACCTATGAGCCTGTAAAATCAAAAGCAAGTTAGTTACTTCCTAGATACAATGGGGGTACTGGTATTGGGTAAATACAGCCATTCCAAAGGGGAGAAATTGGCCCAAACAAAGGAGCTTCAGGCCTCTGCAAGTCAGAAATCCAGTGGGGCAGTCAAATCTTAAAGCTCTGTAATGATCTCCTTTGACTCCATGTCTCATATCCAGGTCACAATGATATAAGAGGTGGGTTCCCATGATCTTGGGCAGCTCCGCCCCTGTGGCTCTGCAGGTACAGCCCTCCTCCTGGCTGCTTTCACCATCTGGTGTTGAGCGTCTGTGACTTTTCCAGGTGCATGGTGCAAACTGTCAGTGGATCTACCATTCTGGGGTCTGGAGGATGCTGGCCCTCTTCTCACAGCTTCACTAGGCAGTGCCCCAGTAGGGACTCTGTGTGGGGGCTCTGGCCCCACATTTCCCTTCTGCACTGCCCTAGCAGAGGTTTTCCATGAGAGCCCCACCCCTGAAGCAAACTTCTGCCTGGACATCCAGGCATTTCTGTACATCTTCTGGAATCTAGGTGAAGGTTCCCAAACCTCAATTCCTGACTTCTGTGAACCCGCAGGCTCAACACCATGTGGAAGCTGCCAAGGCTTGCAGCTTCCACCCTCTGAAGCAACAGCCTGAGCTGTACCTTGGCCCCTTTTAGTCATGGCTGGAGCAGCCGGGACACAGGGCACCAAGTACCTAGACTGCACACAGCACAGGGACCCAGGGCCTGGACCACAAAACCATTTTCTCCTTGGTCCTCGGGCCTGTGATGGGAGGGGCTGCTGTGAAGACCTCTTACATGCCCTGGAAACGTTTTCCCCATTGTTTTGGGGATTAACATTCGGCTCCTTGTTACTTATGCAAATTTCTGCAGCCAGCTTAAATTTCTCCTCAGAAAATGGGTTTTTCTTTTCTATCACATTGTCAGGCTGCAAATTTTCTAAACTTTATGCTGTGCTTCCCTTATAAAACTAAAAGCCTTTTTAACAGCACCCAAGTCACCTCTTGAATGCTTTGCTGCTTAGAAATTTCTTCCACCGGATACCCCAAATTATCTCTCTCAAGTTCAAAGTTCCACACATCTCTAGGGCAGGGGCAAAATGCTGCCAGTCTCTTTGCTAAAACATAACAAGAGTTACCTTTGCTCCAGTTTCCAACAAGTTCCTAATTTCCATCTGAGACCATCTCAGCCTGGACCTTATTGTTCATATCACTAACAGGCTTTTAGTCAAAGCCATTCAACAAGTCTCCAGGAAGTTCCAAAGTTTCCCACATTTTCTGTCTTCTTCTGAGCCCTCCAAACTGTTCCAACCTGTGCCTGTTACCCAGTTCCAAAGTTGCTTCCACATTTTCAGGTATCTTTTCAGCAGCACCCAACTCTTCAGGTACCAGTTTACTGTATTAGTCTGTTTTCACCCTGCTGATTAAGGCATACTTGAGACTGGGCAATTTACAAAAGAAAGAGGTTTAATTGGACTTACAGTTCCATGCGGCTGGGGAAGCCTCCCAATCATGGTGGAAGGGAAGAAGGAGCAAGTCACATCTTACATGGAAGGCAGCAGGCAAAGAGAGAGCTTGTGCTGGAAAACTCCCGTTTTTAAAGCTATCAGATCTTGTGAGACTTATTCACTATCATGAGAACAGCACAGGAAAGACCAGCCCCCATGATTCAATCACCTCCCACCGGGTTCCTCCCATGATACATGGGAATTATGGGAGTTACAACTCAAGATGAGATTTGGTCGGGGACACAGCCAAACCATATCATACACATTCCTAGGCTAGAGATTGGTAACATGGTAGAAAATTCACAGGATTTTGGAATATATTGACTAATTCTCAAAGGTTTGATAAAAAGAGACAAGCTTCACTTTAGTTAAAACTGGATCATGTTAAAACATAAAGCCAAAAAAAAAAAAAAAAGCAAAAATAGGTTTCATTTTGTCTTTTTAAAAATTATTATTTGAGTTGGAGTCTCACTCTGTCACCCAGGCTGGAATGCAGTGGTGCGATCTTGGCTCACTGCAACCTCCACCTCCCAGCTTCAAGAGATTCTCCTGCCTCAGCCTCCTGAGTAGCTGGGACTACAGGTGTGTGCCACCATGCCTGGCTAATTTTTGTATTTTTAGTAGAGATGGGGTTTTGCCATGTTAGCCAGGCTGGTCTTGAACTCCTGACCTCCGGTGATCTGCCTGCCTCAGCCTCCCAAAGTGCTGGGATTACAGACATGAGCCACCGCACTCGGCCTCGTTTCATTTTGTCTTTAAGGGTTCCTTTTCTGGCCTGGGGCAGGAAACTTGTGAGCACTGAGAGACTGGAGTATTGGAGGATGCAAAGCTGGGTTCTCTGCGCTGGGCTCAGTCACTGGGCTGAGTTCAGCAAAGCAGTAAGGAAGGGAATATGGGGGAAGCCAAGAGGAGACCTCAGGAGGGGCGGATACTTCAGCTCACCATGAACACCTCCTGGGAAAGGTCTTTATTGTAAAAAGCCAAGACTAAGATGCACCCTAAAAATAAGGGATGGGTAACTTTGGTCTCCTCATCTGAAGCTTTAATTGAAAATTCTAGTTCTAGTGGGGGCCTGGATAGAGCCTGATACCAGCTAATGTGGGCAACCCAGATAGGGAGGCCTCTCCAATGTCATCTCAGATGTGACATGGGAGGTCAATAAATAAAGAAGATCCTCACAGAGAGAGGAGTCAGGAAAGATGGGCTGGCTAACCAAGGAGCTCACTCTGCCAGAGGGCTGCAGTGCTAACTTGCCATGAACACTTAACCATACAATTCTGCTGTTTTCCTTGCCTCCTTTTCAACAAAAAAGAATTTTACCTTGTTTAGTTTTATAATTAGTCCTTTTGATTTCCACTACTGAATCTTATATGTATTGGGAGGTGATTAAATATGTTACTTAAATATATTTAAATACCCCATTCAACCATAGGTATCTCCACCAGTAGAAGCTAATCTGGACTTGACCTAGATAAATTCCCATCACCAAAAGATCCTGAACTTAGATCTTAGGCAGTAATTGGACAGTAAGTGAACAGACTTTTATAATTTTCTTATTTGAGGAGGAAGTGAGTGGATTTTAGATTGTAATTAATGTATAAATTAAATGCAGTTGGGGTGTTTTTGAAATCCTTATATTGGCAAAGAAGAATTGGTTTTCATGTTGGAATGAGATGAGTGGAATAATATGAACAACTGTTGTTTCTGCCTATTTTATCAGTCAGGTTAGGCTAAGAATTACTTTAATAACAAGCAAGTCCTGGAAGCAGTGGCTTACAGCAGCAGAGGCTTATTTCTTACCCACAAGATGTATCCATATGTGTTGGACCCAGGCTGAAGAAGCTGCCCTTACCTGGGACATTGCAATGGGCTAGGGGAGCACAGAGAAGCACATTCGGGTTTTTAAACTTCCTCTAGAAGTGACACACATCTTCTGCTCACATACCATCTGTCAGAGCAACTCACAGGTCAATGCTGACAGCAGTGGGCTGGGCATGGATAACGGTCCTGCAAGAAAAGGCATCCTGGGAACAACTCTGAACACTCTTCCTTTTTCTGGGAATAGCTACCCAGTTTTCTCTAGGAGAATAATCCCTTGCCAACTCTGAGCCAATATACATCTGACAGAGTTGACCCAGGTCCAGGGGGCATGGGAGCCAAGATTACTAACCTGAGCTTTCCATTTCTCTGGCCAAAGCAAGTCTAATAAAATCCAATTCCTGGAAGGGGAAATTTGTTATCTGTTGGAGTTGCTAAGAAGATGGCCTGTAATCCAGGAGCTACAAGGAACAATCTAGGTGGAGAAAGAAGCTGCTAAAAGTGAATTCATCATAGAAGCAAACAAAACTAGAGATTGGGCAGATAAGCTGAAGCCTGAAGCCTGATGTCACCATTGAGGTCCCTATATCCACCTGTGCCAACAGGAGACGGTCTAAACCTGCAATTCCTAAATACTTAAGTCTACATTTTTTTTTCTTCAGCTAGTGAATATAGATTTCTATTACTTGCAACTAAAGATTTCTCACTTATAAAAGAGGGAAAGGTTTTATAAATTTTAAAACTTAAACTATGCCCCAGGTAAATGGTTCCGTACACTTCGCTTTAGGTGGGTCACTCCTTTGGTTACAAGCTCCATAGCTATCAACTCAAAGAGAAACATTGAATTAGCATACTATGCTATTGTCATGCTATATCTACAGTATGAGAAATTGCCCAATATATGTCAAACATGATCAAAAATTGGTGATTTCATATGGCCCAACTCAATGCAATTCATGAGAAATTGCCCAATATATGTCAAATATGATCAAAAATTGGTGATTTCATATGGCCCAACTCAATGCAATTCACAGTACTGCATAATAAAAACAAACCACTTGTTCAACATTCAGAGCTTTTCCGAGAGTAAGTTTCTACGATGGGATATCTATAAAGCCAGGTACAAAGTGTAGCACAGGACAGCAATATCAGCGTCACTGAGAATTTGCTATCAATGCAGAATCTTGGGCCCCATCCAGACCAACTAAATCAGAATGTACACTTTAATTGGATTCCTAGGTGATTTTTTTTTCTTTTGCAAATTAAAATTTAAGAGGTACCCACAAACAAGACTCTAAGTAATATGGTAAATATCATCCAGAACACCCCTGTAATAAATGTGTTAAAACGATTAAAGGATTGCATAACAGTGCTCATTATGACTTAATGGCATAATGTCAAGTAATTCTATCAGGGGTGAAAAATTCCTAAGGTGAATCTATGGAAGCAGTTGATTATATGCTCCAGCAATAGAATATTATTGCTATTTTCCCAAAGACTAAAGCAACTGTTAATATAAAACAACTAGTAGCCCCCCTGCTCTCCCTTATACATTATGCAATAAGGAGATCCAAAAACTTCATTTGAATAAAATATGGAGTCACCTGATAGCATGGTCCACTCTCCCGTCCAACCTGGGCAACAGGTGACTCCCCCTGGTTATGGTTGTCCACTTGCATTTAAAAACTTCTGCACACTCTGGGTCTTGTGCTCACTGTGACTCCCACGGCAGCAGTGGAGATGCTGGTTGTCAGTCCCAGTCCATCATCGTGACAACCCAACCTGGAGAGCGTGGGTCTGGAGAAGACTAGGAAGTGGGGACTGACTCAGCCTTCATGCTTCCTCTGCCCTGGCTGCCCCCATTTCGCCACCCAGTTTTTGCCCTTCCCCCTGCTTCGTTTTTCCTCCACAACCCAAGATAAGAATTTTCACCTGTCAGGTTGAAGAATAGGGTCTGGGCATTGGACAGAGCCAGTCTCCCATTATATTCAAACTCATTTCTCAGTGGGATATATTCTGCTCATATTCCAATGTAGGGAAGACTATTTCACTAAGGAGAAAACTAATAAGGGGGCAGTAGATTTTTTTAAGACTGAGTTCCCAATGCTTGGGTGTACAGTAGTCATTGATGTACCAGCATATCTGGTTACACATTGCGAACATTCTGCCTCTCCGTTAATCAGAGGGTGGATTAGGTGGCTAGTCCATGGAGAAGGGTGTATGTGAACAAAGCTGACCTGACTTCATATGGAGTTCTCAGGAACCAGCCACCAAATAGAGGTATAAAGCATTTGGTGAAAATAATTATAAAAATAATTAGATTTTTAAAATCTCCCTGCTTCAGCTCCTCAGATGAATTTGCAGCTGGGGTGATCTTTAAACACAGAATTAAGCTCCTGATTAGTGAAGGTAACATTTGGGTATATTTTATCCAGCATAAGTAAACATTCTGAGTTCTTTAATTTGAAACGAGCAAAAAAAAAAAAATGATATTTCATTTTTTCTGCTGCTGCTGCTTCTGTCTTTTGTTAGAGAATTAACTTCAATAGCTCCGTCATTGGAAGAGAAGATGGCACTAGAAAACCTTATTTTTCTGCATTAGAATGTATTTCTCTATATTACTGAGATGAAATAACAGAATGAAAATTGATCGTGCTGATTCATTTCTTTACTATTAATATGAATAAGTATTCTGGGCATTTGTTTAGACCTTTCTACCAACACAACTCACAATCAGAAGGACCAAAGGCCAGGAGCTAGATAAGAGTGTGCCTAGCCAATGTGTTCTCTTTCCTATTGCCTCTGCATTCCTGGATGCTAAGTCAGGTTACCTGGACATGCTGGTTTTAAAGCATCCCAAAGCAAATGCAGATGAGCAAGGTAGCTCAAGATGGACAAGATTTGGAGTAATACTGATTTAAGATCCTTAAAACTAATAACAAACCACGTTGTCTTTGCTTATATAATGAAGTAAAATTTTTCTGTATGATTAGTTGTAGCCAACATTTCTTCCAAACAACTGTAAATTCCAGAATGGAGGGATATATCTAAGACATCTTTATGCATATTCTTAATTAATATAGCCATTTTTATAAAGTCATTTGAAGAATCAAGGTACTCATGGCAGTAAAAGAAGAAAAAACAGCATTGAAAGAGAAATATGTGAGAAGCATTTTAGAATTCATTGAAATATAAATACAATAAGGTTAGAAATCAAATATACACTGACTTTGGTATTATTTATCCTTTCTTTTTTTAATTCTCTTTGAGTTTTGTTCTTCCTTTTTTCTTCTTCTAGAGAATACTGATAAAGTAGTCCAAAAAATAACTTGAAACCTACAAAAATTAATGTTCTGGTACATATCCTAGCATATAAAGTAATAATTATTTTGATGGGACTAACATGTGAAAAGAAATAAACATACATTGTTATGTATTCAGAAAAATGCCCATGTTCATCTTCTATTAAAAATGCTATCTTTAAAAAAGAAAATAAAAGATGCCTCATTAGTCTTTATTTTTTTGAGTACTTACTCTGGCCCACATCTCTATTATTTGCATGTTTTTCATTGCCTCAGTTAAGTTTTATGCCATCCTTTAGGCATATTAAAAGTAAAACGGAGGCCCGGCATGGTGGCTCACGCCACGCCTGTAATCTCGGCACTTTTGGAGGCCGAGGAGGGTGGAACAACTGAGATCAGGAGTTCAAGACCAGTTTGGCTGACATGGTGAAATCCTGTCTCTACTAAAAATACAAAAAAATTAGCTGAGCATGGTGGCGGGTGCCTGTAATCCCAGCTACTTGGGAGGCCGAGGCAGGAGAATCGCTTGAACTCAGGAAGTGGAGGTTGCAATGAGCCGTGACTTCACCACTGCACTCCAGCCTGGGCAACAAGAGTGAAACTCCGTCTCAAAAAAAAAAAAAAAAAAAAAAAAAAAGAAAAGAAAAAAAAAAAAGTAAACAGCACACAAGAACATTTTGGAGAATTTATTTGAGCAAACAGCAATTAATGAATCAGGAAGCTCCAAACCACAACTGGGTTAGGATGAGCACAGAATAAAGGAAAAAAAATTGATTGTTTGCAGTTATACAGTTTTCCTTATGTGGTCTATTTTATTGGAAAGTCCCTGCTTCTATAATTATAAGTTAGTTGGCTGCTTCATATTGATTGGGCTTGAATTCCGTTTTTATTTAATATAGGCGTTTACAAGAAATAGCTCAAGTTAACTTTCACTTCTGTTTGCCGATCAAGCAGGGTTAGGGTCACTGATGAGGCCTCACTGGCTATGTCTGCTCAAGGGTTGTTCAGGCCTAGCCTCCATATTAATTTGCCTTAATAGGCAGGACTTTTCTTTTGAGGGAAGAGGCTTTTGGAGGAAAGGGTCCACTGAAGACGTAACCATGACAGGGGCATGTGATTTTCCAGACAGAGAAAGTGAGGAAAGAGTCTCAATGCAGCAGATTAAGGAAACTGAAACAAAGATTTTCCAAATGGAAAAGCAGAGATTTGAACGGAGCACTCTCTGGTGCCGAAGCCTTGTTGTCTCCACCAAGAACATCTTCATTGCTTGAGGAAGTGTTGTGCATATTCACCTTTACTTGTTCAATGCTAGTATAGCACCTGGTAGTTTCTCAATGCGTCCTGTGAATTTTACCTTTCAATTTTTTAATTAAAAAAATTTTTTTTTATGTATTTTTTGAGACGGAGTCTCGCTCTGTCGCCCAGGCTGGAGTGCGGTGGCGCGATCTCGGCTCTCTGCAAGCTCTGCCTCCCGGGTTCACGCCATTCTCCTGCCTCAGCCTCCCGAGTAGCTGAGACTACAGGCGCCGACCACGACGCCCGGCTAATTTTTTGTATTTTTAGTAGAGACGAGGTTTCACCGTGTTAGCCAGGATGGTCTTAGCCAGGATGGTCTCGATTTCCTGACCTCGTGATCCACCCACCTTGGCCTCCCAATTTTACCTTTTAAACATATATCCTTTACTCTCTCTGCTCCTTTTAAAACCCACTTCCGATGCATTAGGTCATTACCTCATGTGGACAGTTGAAATAATCTGCAGAGTAGTTTTCCTGCCTCGTATTGTTACTTTCAGTCTATCCACTGTATGATTCATTCCCTGCTTCCTTCTCGACAATATTTCCGCAGATTACCACCCAAGCTTCACAACTGACCCATGAGGCTACTTAGTGTTGCCTGAACAGCCAATGCAAATTCTATGCTAATACTTCTCCATGACAATATCACTTTCTCTCTTTGCTGAAATGACCTTGTGTACACGAAAAAATACCTGACTTATCTTTTGAGACTCATTTCAAGGTTTCCTCCATGGCATTGTTTTGAATCTACCCAGAATCTGCAGCTCTGTTCTTTTTGCTAGTGTTCGGTCTTGTGTAAACACTGTTACAGCGGATGTTACAGTGTGTCCTAAAGGTCTGGACTTAGGTCTGTTTTCCCTACTAAGCTGGAAATTGCTGGAGGCAGGGACATCTTGGCATTGTATCCTTAGAACACATGCACTTGAGCTCAATAAATGTTATTAAGTGAATCATTTGTTGAACAAATGAATGGGTAATCTACTCTTGAGCAACAAGGTACTCACAAGTGCCAAAAAGACACTATTCTCTTATTAGAGGTTATAATCTGTGACAAAGAAGCTTTAGACAGTGCATGAATTCACAGAACCCGTCTCTTGGCATGCTGAGGATAGCAATGTGACACCAAGTGTCTTGGGAAATTTTGAGCAGGGTGACATACTAGCCTCTAGTACCACCTAGAAATGCATGCAGTTTACAACCACATTGTCTAAAATCAGCATCAAAACCCCAAGCATGAATATTGCTCAGTGGAATGGTATGGTTAGGTCAAAAATAAACGAAGTTTGCAAGGAAAAAAATCTAAAAATAATGGCCTGAAAAGTGATAACTCTTCTCTGTAAGATGTAATTGTTTCTGAAGGAATTGCTTACCTGAGTAATGTTATAATTAGCTCATCACAGTTAGGGAGAGCATTAGGGCCCCTTAATTCTAGCATCCCACCTAAGGCAGGACTTCCGGAGAGATGCCAGTCCAGATTCTACCTGAACACTTCCAGAAATGGGAGTCTCATCACTGGAGAGGGAAGCATCTCCTTATTCTGGAGGCAGCTCATTTAATTTTGGATTATTCAGGCTGAGATGAAATCTGCCTTCAATCCGTTGGCCCTGGTCGTTTTTCCAGAGCTACGCAGAACACATCAACTTGTTTTTCCGTGTGAAAACTTTTCATGTATTTGAAGACAGCTATCATTTCTGCCAAAAGCTTCTTTTCCATTAGATTAGAAACACTTCATTTCATGCAATAATTTCTTATGTGATATTCGTTTAAAGCCTTCAGCTCTCTCTGGCCATATTCCAAAGCACACACTTCAATATGTAACCAAATGTGGACACAATACTGCAAGTGTACCTAAGCATTGCAGACATGTCTCATCTTATGTGTATAATATACTTCTTTATCAAAATAAGATGTTTTTACTATATTCAATGAATAAATGGATCGAAATATTCTTAGCTAGGAATTGTTCTTGGATACAAAGGTAAGACAGTCTTTACTTCAAGAAGCCTACAACCTAACAAAATAAAAATACTCTCTCAATAAATTGTGATATTGTCTCAGCACTGTAATTGAGGTAGAGCAAGATATGATCACCAAGTAACTGACATATTAGGTTTTTACACAATGGAAGATCTCTGCTTATTTCAGACAACTTGATATTCATTAAGGATTCATTCCAGACCTGTGCCATTCGAAAATCTAAATGCTGCACCCTCTCCATATCTTTCCTAATTTCATGATGTTGATTTTGTTATAATTCCAGCATAGCAAGGTCTTTTAAACCTTTGTTCTGTCATCAGATATGTTCGTTTTCGATTCTTAGCTTTGTGTCTCCTCTGAGAGCCACAGGGAAGCTGGCTGCACTGTACATGAGCAAAATAGTTTGCGTTCAGCTTTCCCAGCAGAAATATGTGTTGGGGAATTTGGCTAATGGGAAGTGGTAAGGCATATATTTAGAAAAGACAGTTTATTTTACCCAAGACAAATATAGACCCTTGGAATTCTATCCACCATGACTCACAGACAGTGCAGAGTTTCAGCCCCGAAGGGCTGTGTGCTGTTGGCTGTTGGCACACAGTGAAGCCGGGGCCTGAGAAACAGAGAAAAGCACAGAAATGGCTGATGTTTTCAGGCCAGCTTTTGACACCAGACGCCAGATTGCAAGTTGAAACGTTCCCTTATCTCCAGCCCTGCAAGGTAGCTTATAATGTTCTTAAAATAATTAAGCTTCCTTTACGTCGTCTCTGCTTGAATTGCATTTAGCACCTTGCTGGAGAGGCCTTTCCTGACCACCCTGTATAAACAGTCCCAGCCCTGCCTCTGTGCTTGCTCTATCCTTGCCCTGCCCTGTTTCCCATGGCTCTTACCGCTGTGAGACTTACTACGTATTTCCTACTCGTAGACTGTTAGACTCCCTCCATCCCCATGTCCACATGCAGCAGAACATAAGCTCCGCAAAAGCATGGGCTTGGGTTTCCTGACTGTGAACAGGGCCTGGCACTAGCACGTGCTCCATTGGCACGTGCTCAATAAATATTTGTTGAATAAATGAATGAATCTGAAGTAAAATGACGGTAAATTATTGACGTACTTAGCTGGTAGAAGATTTAAAAAAATGACTATGGAAACAACCGAGAATGTCATGTTTATTTGATCGTTCCTAGAAAGATACGATTAATTATACAAAGAATTTTGAGCTTCTCTAAATAAAAGAGCGGTCTGTGTACTTTCAGTGTGTGCTGGTGTTATTTAGCATGTGAAGAAAAGAGCTTATGAAATAGTAATCATAGCTTCCCATTACCAGATACCGAGTAATGGAGTGGTGGCTTAGCATACCTTTTCCCATTGAGCATAGATTTTATTGTATATCTTATTTAGACAAAAGGGAGCTCAGAGGGCATCAGCCATTTACCAGTGGCCCACAGCTCAAAAGGGCCAGAGTCTAACTCCTCTCACCTTGCAACACTTACTAACAAGCAATAAGCAAAGAAACACATGTATCTTCCTTTTATGAAATGTCCCCGGGACACTCACCACCCTTGCTGGGGAATTTTATATCCAGGTGAGGCTTTCGTGCTACCTGCAGCTGATCAGAGTCCTGTACTTGGTATCACCACATAATCACGATGGCTCTGCCTACAAAAGTGACTACCAAAGTGACACCTGCATATTTTCTACTCCTTGCTTTGCTTTCAAATCGCATTTGCCAAGAAAATCAGGTAAAGCAATGTTTTTGAAGCAGTCAGCATTCTTTACATCTGAAAGAAGTTATGTTTCTTTCTCCCCCATTCATCACTCCCTCAACATAAGATTTTACAATCCAAATGAGAGAGCTGTATCAAGAAAAGGTTGCACTTCTCTCTTGCTGACAATTTTGTTAGGTAAGATAAACGACAGAGCTTGCTCTTCAGACCCTATCTGAATTCTAAAACTCTCGCAGAAGTAATTTTTGCCCAGGAGTTAACAGGAGGAAGTAAGGGGATTGCCCGTAAAGCAGATACATACTGGGAAGGAACAGCAAGCAGAAAAGTGCAGCCACAAAGGCCTTGTGCAGAGATGCTCTTACAGTTTCACCCACACAAAGTCGCCTATTGTAAGCCACGACTTTGGAGAGCTGAGCTTTGGGGAACAATTTGAGATCCTCTGGGTCTTGCACCTCTAGTGCATGCCATGGTTATTGATCCCACTGTCATACACTTGGCTGAAATGTACACGGTCTGCACCTGAATTTAGGCCATATGCCTCCTATTTGGGAAACTCCCCTTCCCTGTTCAAGCATCATGTTTTGCCTTTCAGCAGCACTTACACACAGAGATAAAATGGGTGAGAAGAAAGTAGGAAAAATTCAACACTCAGCAAAGACCACTCGAAGGTGCAATTCCTAACACACTTTCTGCAGCTTTGACCTTGGAGGTCTCTTTCCTATCAACGGTTCTGTGAAGGATGAGTCGGCTCTCAGGGCAGTTCCTGTGCCTCTTTCATCTCTTTCAGCAGACTTAAAAGTATCTGATTTAGGAAGTCTTAGGATTCCTCCCAAAAGGCATCTCAGGTTCTGATCTTAGTTATGACAAAGAAGAGATATAGGTTACTCTCCAACAAGAGTCCTAGTCAGGGTTAATGCACTTGAAGCGTTTATAACAAGAGATGTTGAACTTACATATAGATAAGAGAATAAAAAACAGCAACAAAGGACTTTACAGGACTTCACCCTCACGTCTCAGACCAGTTTGGAGGCATCACACTTAGGAACAGGGTGGTTACCACTGCAAACTCATCAGTTTCTCCTTGTGTAAAAGCAGAAGGCATAGGAAAAGGTGTGCAGAAATCCTGCCTCCTAAAGGGCATTGCCATCTCAAAGGCTGTGTAATGGGCCACAGTCTTGCCTCAGGACCCCACAGCCTGGATCAATGAGCAGAATTGTGCCAGAGCACCCAGTTTCTCCCATGCAAGGTCAGTGGGAGAACATGTAGTCATAGGCACCTTTCTCCAAATACTATTCTCCTCCCTTTGCTGCAAGATTAATAATGATAATAACACATTTAGTGAAGAGACCACTTAAACATAGTAACTTTCAACCTCTTTATTCATAAAATAAAAACATTATTAAGTACCTATTGTATGTGGGAGGTTGCATGAACTTCTAGGAGAGGAACAAATGTAAAATTAACAGTTCCTTCTCACTTAAAAGCCCTAATTTGTGTGTGTGGTGGTGGCAGGGAGATGGGGGGAAGGCAGACGTAGAAACCAGAGTTGCCAGAATGATCTCTTATCCAATCATGTCATAGCCCATCTATACCTCTGAAAGTCCTCCCTGCACCCTCAATTTCCCCTGTGACAAGTCAAGCTCTTTGTCCTGGCAAGTGAGATCATCTATAGTCCATCTGGTCCTGCTGCCTCCCCACTTCACCTCCCCTTTCTCCTGCCTGGCATCCAGCACTCCCACACCAGCAGGCTGCCCAAACTTTCTGCAGCATTTCACAGTGTTTTTCATCTCTGTTACCCCTTTCATCTAGAATGCCCTCCTCATTTATCTTGACTACCTATGTGGTTTTTTTTTGTTTTTTTTTTGATGGAGTCTCGCTCTGTCACCCAGGCTGTAGTGCAATGGTGCGATCTTGGCTCACTGCAACTTCCACCTCCTGGGTTCAAGCAATTCTCCTGCCTCAGCCTACTGAGTAGCTGGGATTACAGGCGCCTGCCACCACGCCTGGCTAATTTTTGTATATTTAGTAGAGACGGGGTTTCATTATGTTGGCCGGGATGGTCTTGATCTCCTGACCTCGTGATCCGCCCACCTCGGCCTCCCAAAGTGCTGGGATTACAGGCATGAGCCACCGGGCCCGGCCTTCTATGTGTTTTTTAAAGACTCAACTATAGCCTCCTTCTAGAAGCCGTCTCTGAGTTTCCTACATAGTCTTGAGCACTTATTCTTCAAAACTCCCACTGAACTGTTACTTCTATGAGGGTTTAAAAGAAACCTATTGCAAGTGACTGTCTTTATGTTAGAGTGTGTGCCTCTTGAGGATGGACAGAGTCTATTGCCTCTGTTTTCTTAGCATGGGTCCCAGTGTCTCTTATCCCATATGCCTTAAAAATGTTAAGCAGATTACTAAATGAAAAAAAAAAAAAGAGAAGATGATAGAGAATATTTAACAAAGCACAGAAAAGGAATGCTAAACAGGAATGCAGGGGCAGGTGTTCAATGCCATTGGAAGAAGGGTGAGTGTATAATGTGTTGGTTGAAGCCTGAGTTGGAGAAGTGGACCTCAGCAGAGCCTTGAAGAATGGGTTGGATTCAGGAGGAGAGGAAAAGGTTTTCAGAATGAAGATGTAACTTGAAGGAAAGCAGAGTTGTCTGAAACATGCAACTGAATAAAGGCCTGCAAAATAGAAAGAGCTGTGTGAGATTATTTATGGAGAGCTAAGACTACGGTGAAAGGACCGTGGTCTTTACTTAGAAAGCTACAGGGAGCCATTGACAGTTTCTGAGGGAGAAAACTTCATAGTATAATGCTTGTTTTAGGAAGACCATTATTGCAGCATTGTGAAGGATGGTTTAAAAGTCAGTGTTTTAGAAAGCCAGGGAAGAAAGTATTTCAAAAAGAATGTTGCCACTGTGAAGTTGGATGAGAACTGAGAACAGGTCTCTTGTTGGCATAGGTAAGGTAGGAGGATGGAGGAACGGGTTGAAAATAATTACCAGGGGTAAGTAGAAGAGAACAAAGGGATTGATATTACAAGTGAAGTGGGAGGATTAGCCTTGAAAATTAGTGTCAGCTTTTCTTCTAAGAGAAGAAAGAGAAAAAAGAGGAGGAGATTATAGTGAAAGATTTGAGGCTCTCAAACTTGTATTCACCATTCATTTAGGATATTTTTGATACTTGTTTTTAATGCAAGACGAGGTCTTGTGATGATTGTAAGAAAAGCGAAGGATGTGGTTTGGGTTTGAATTGAGTGGGAAAGGTCCGGAAGAACAGGGCCGTAGGAAATGAGAGACGGAGACAGCCGACAGCCAGGGTGCAGTGAAGAACTGACAGGGCCACTGCGGTCGTGCCTGAAATAATGTAGTTTGGGTTTTTGTTTTGTTTTTGTGGAGACAACCACCAAGCTTCCAGTTATCTGCTGCTGACTAGCAAACCACACCACATTTAATGGCTTCAACCAATAACCACTTTATTTTGTTTGTGATCTGTCGGTCAGACTCTAGGGCAGGGCATGCCTGGGTGATCTTCTGCTCCATGTAATGACTGTAGGGGTCTCCAGCTCGTGGCTGGGGTATCTGGAGGGCCCAGCACCTTGGCAGGGATGGCTGGGGCCTTGCAGGCCTGGGTCCCTCTTCCCCTGCTTCTGTCTCAGGACCTTCCCATGGACTCTCCATTCAAACACCCAGACTTCCAACAGCATGGCTCAGGGACAGGGAACAGCCAGGCCTGCAGTCCTGGGACCAAAAACCAGCACAGAGCCACTTCCACCACCAAATGTGGGTCAAAGTGGATAGAGAGCCCACCACACTGTGGATGGAGGGAGTGTTTTTGCTAACTCTCACTTTTTTTCACAGTGTTAATCACTTTCTAATATGATTATTTTCTGTTTTCTATCATCCCCCACTGGAATGTAAGTTCTGTAGATCGAGGAGTTTTCTGTTTTGATTTTTCTCAAATGTTTGATCTGTGGTAGACACAATAAATATTTGTTACATGAAGGATGGGAGAAGGTAGAAAGAGGAATGGATAATGTGGGCCTAAATTGCCTGGGGTTGTGGTCATCCAGGAAGACAGAGAAGCACAACTGAGACTGCAGGGTAGTGGTTCCCTCTGGTATATAAGGGTTCCAGCATTTACCCGTCAGCAACAATGGCTCAGCGAGGCTGTGGCTCAGGCTATCGCTTTCACCTCCACAGAGCAAACAAGTCATCCTCCTCAGGACACGTGCTCCCAGTTCTGGGAAATAATTTATGTTTATTCCAATTGCAAGCCCTCCTTCAATAAAAATCTTTACATCTGACAAATTACTAATTAATCATACAGTCTGGAAGTGTCTCCTGTTCCATTTCATAGAGTGGCTTTGGGGTTATGAACCCCCCTGAAATTGTACTGGGAAATGTGTCATCTTACCGGAGTCTCTGTGAGTTCTACCAGTATCTACAAAGAAGATTTGACCCAAACATGTTAAGAAATACTCTCAGAATGAACTGTATGTTGACTTTGCCTTTTAAATAGGAAAGTTAATTTTTTCAAATACAATGAAGGAAAAAAATCATCTGAAATGGGAAAAAAAGCACTTACAACATTAACTAAGGCCACATATGTAGCAAGCAAATTGATGAAATAATCTTTAAAGATTTCCCAGGAGCTGTTAAGTTTGATTTGGCTAGTGGCATGTGAGCCTACAGGATTCACAGGTAAAGTGATTCTAGACAAAGAGAAACCACAGCATCATGTCAAAGTCACACAAAAAATGTATTTTTGGAGACTTAGTATATTTCTCAATTAGCCAGTGCTTAAAAGGCTCTGGTGATTACAATGTGATGTTTCTTTAAAAATATCTTAAGTGTATGTTAACTATTGAACTTGAACTAAAATTATCACTCCATTATTTGAAGGTACTTTCATATACTTTTCTTTCCTCCTCCTCTATTAAATTAGTTACAAAAAGTAAGATTTGGCCGGGCGTGGTGGCTCACGCCTGTAATCCCAGCACTTTGGGAGGCTGAGGCAGGTGGATCATGAAGTCAGGGGATTGAGACCATCCTGGCTAACACGTTGAAACCCCGTCTCTCCTAAAAATACATAAAATTAGCCGGGCCTGGTGGCGGGCGCCTGTAGTCCCAGCTACTCGGGAGGCTGAGGCAGGAGAATGGAGTGAACTTGGGAGGCAGAGCTTGCAGTGAGCCGAGATCGTGCCACTGCACTCCAGCCTGGGTGACAGAGCGAGACTCCGTCTGAAAAAAAAAAAAAAAAAAAAAAAAAAAAAAAAAAAAAAGTACGATTATGGTTGACACACATACCAACATAATATGGATATATATGGTCAATTATTTTTAAAATCGAATAGTTTGTAAATTGAGGAGACTATAAAGATATCAGAGAGATTATTTTTCGGATATCTTTATAGTCTTTATATAGAGAGAAACAAAATCTATAGATAAGATAAAATAGATTAAAACACTGCTAGAATATTAAAATGCAGACTTTTAAAAGTTTTGTTTGCCTGTTTCCTTATTTATTTTACTTTTAAATTTTTTTAATTTGACAGATAACATTGTAGCTATTTATTGTTTACCATATATTTTGAACGGTTAAATCTAGCTAATTAACAACTGCGTTATCTCACATAGTTATTTTGTGGCGAGAGCATTTAACCCTACTCTCTTTGCATTTTTCAAGAATACAATAAATTGTCATTAATTATCATAACCTTGCTATACACTAGGTCTTTTGAGTTCATTCTTCCTAACCGTAATGATGTATCCTTTGACCAACCTCTCCCATGTCCCCATTTTCTTATTTTTAAGCATAACTACCTAAAATATATCCCTACTAAAATGTTTTTGCCATGATCTAAATTTTAGGCAGTTGAAAAAGCTAAATCTCAGCACTAGCCAAAAGCCCCACTTGATACTTGCATTTATGTCAGATGAGCTGCCACGACAAAGAGTTACCTTTGACTTCCTCCCAGTCATATAGACTTGGTGCCCTCCCTCAGCTTGAATGTCACTTCTGGCACCTCTGGGTCCTGTTCCCCAGGTGAAAAATGGACAAACACTGGGCAAATAGAAATCTGAAATAAAGACAGTTGCACACTCTCTGTTCCAATCCATTCTGTGTTTCCAATCTGTAGCTCAAATCCCATTTATTTTCACCCTCACTTGAAAGTCTACCACCTCAATCTAGGTCTTTATGGTCTTTCTCCAAGATAATAGACACAGCAATCCTTTATCTCATCTGCCTAGTGAGATGACTACATTATTTTTTATTTCAAATGCTGCCGAGGAACAGAACTTCGTAAAACAGTTCCTTTCTGCTTCAAGTATCCATAGTGGCTTCTCATTACTCAATGAATTAACACCAGGTCTCTCCCATTTGTGATACCAATGCATAAGTGACAGGAACAGTTATAGGCAAGAGATAGAAAGAGTTGGGTTGGGATTTATGACTGATTAGTTCACAACTGAAGGTGCAACAAAGGCATTCAGGTAGGTTTTTGTTTGTTTGTTTTGCTTATTTTGGCCAGCTCTGGATCCAGGAGTTGGCTAAGTCCGGATACAGTATTAGCAACACTGAGTGACACTGAGTCGGATACATGGCATGGATACTGAGGAGTGTATTGTACTTTCTGCTCACAGGAACCTGGGTCCAGTACAGCAAGTTGCTCTGATTCAACTTGTGTGCACTGTGTGTGCAAGTGGTAGAGACACTTATGGTGAAGCAGCCTCCTGGTCCTAGCTGTGTATTTGTGTTAGAGTAAGAATTGCAGGAAACAGGTTTACGAAGTCTTCGGGCAACCTTATTTTTATCAGTCACTAGCATATGCTTTCTCACCTAACTGGGAGAGGCTCCTTCCTCGGCCCCAACTTGTCAAGCTTACTGTCTGAGTCTAATTTGGTATTCTAAGGGAATCCCTGAGGTGGGTAATTTATAAAGAAGGGTTTATTTGGCCTATGGTTCTGCAGGCTGGACAAGAAGCACAGTGCTGACAATGCCTGGCTTCTGGTGAGGCCTCAGGGAACGTCCACCATGGTGCCAGGAGAAGGTGAGGGGGAGCTGGTACGTAGAGATCACATGGCGAGAGGACATGGCAGGTGGGTGGACACAGGTGCCAGCCTCTTTTGAACAACCAGTTCTTGTGGGAACTCTGAGGTGAGAACTCACCCCCAATGGGGGCCATTAATCTATTCATGCGGGATCTGCCCTCATGACCCGGACTCCTCTCATCAGGCCCCACCTCCAACACTGGGGTGAGATTTCAATGCAGGGGTTGGAGAGACAAACATCCACATCATAGCACCTGCGTTCTCATCTGTGTTTCTGTTGGTGCATCTCCCTTTGTTTGAGATGTTCCTTCATATTTTATCCACCTAACCATATCTTTTCATTCTACCTTGTATTTAATTTTCAAATGTTAGTGAGATGGCATTGAGTTCCAGTTCCATTCATCTGTGAAGCCATCTTTAAATTCCTCATGTCATTCTGACTTATCTCTTCTTGGAACCTTGGCACCAACAGTGAGTCATGGCCACACTGAAGGTGCTTAGTGTCATACACGGAGAGCGGCGGGCATGTCTTTAACTGGTTTTGTGTCTCACATGCAGCCTGGCACAGTGCTGAGAACAATACATAACCTCTGCAAGACTGTCTTAACCAAAGTTCAATAGTTCCAGAAAATTATTAAGTTTTTGAAAATATGAAACTGTTTTTTAAAAGAATAGGGAGAAATATAACAATCATGAAACCACCAAATTTAAGATCTGAAATTGGTAGCCTCTCATCTGACCTCCACATTTAATGGGAGAGGAAAATTATATGCAGAATAATTAGGTAATTTGCACAAAGCTAAGCAGTAAACTAGAGACAGACACAGGCTGTCCAGATTCTAGCCCCAGTCTAACACTCCTTGCTAAACTGGACTAGAGTATATAGTGAAGCTTCATGGAATGCAAAATTGAATGAAAGTATTTTAACTATGCTTGTCATATGAGTTTATATTCAAGCATGCCCTCTTATAAGCTGCAAAACGAATTGTCTAAATATAACCGTGGCTAACATTGCTGGTTAGCTATCCAATATACCTTCTCCTTTCTTCTTTTGTTCTCTCTCTCTTTCTTTCTCTCTCTCTCTCTGTGTGTGTCTCTCTTTACACAACACACACACATGCACACACACAGAAAGAGAGAGGTAGAGACAGAGACAGATAACAGATACAGAGAAAGGAATAGCTATGTTTCCAGTTAAGACCTAAAACCTCCTACCCCTCTTTGTGTTAAATGGCAATTTGGTATATTTCTTCTCACTAATAGAATATAATTAAAAGTTAGCTAGAAAGTGGTTATTTTTCCAAATTAAAAAGAAAAAACCTCCTATGTGAAGAAGATATTTGGCTTTTTATCCTTTTTCCTTCTTTGTGGTTGGAATGCAGACATGGCATTGGATGTGCAGCAGCTGTCTTGGAATCATGAGGATGAAAGTCACGACCAAGGGTTAGGACTGGAGAGATGAGGAGCCTAGGTCCTTGAAAACATTCTTGAAGAGCTCTGTCCTGAGCCAACTCCATATTTGTAGGGGGAGAACTACAAATCTCTTACTCATGTAATCCAATTGTTCTTAAGTTTTGTGTTACTTGCCTTTGACTAGTCACTTTTGCAGTGACTTTGGTGCAACCGAACTTTTCAATACATAAAAGCAAAACTATTTTTAGATGGTTTAAATATGCTAGGCACCTTTCTATACCCTTTAAATATATTATCTCATTTTATCATTATATCTGTATAAGGAATTCATTGACATTCTTATTTATAAAGATAAAAAAGAAAATTTAAAGAGGTTAATTATCTTGCTTATGGCCACATAGTTTTAAGTAGCAGATGTTCTTGTCATGCCAGTGGCCACTTTCTGTTCATCTCACACTATGCATGTGAAGCGGAGCTCTGTGAGTCCATGCACTATTTCATAGTTTAAGATATTTGACTGACAACCTTGTTTCTTCTCCAGAAATGAAATACCAAAGCTACAGTAAAAACACATAACCTGTACAATCTGCATATAATTCAGACAAAGAATATAGTTAAAGTGGTACAATTCTGCAACTGTGAATTTAGTAGTTTCAAAGAGAATCAATTATAGAACTGATTCTATTTTTCACTCGGGCTCTTGAACTTGGCCTTAAGTTGTCATGGTAATTATTCCAGGTATAGCTGCCTTAAACTTAAAAATAAGCAACATTTTGCAGCTTTTCAACACTTTAGTACAAGCTCCATTTAAGTAGAATGGTCTTCTAGAATTGTTTTTCTCCTGCAAACACATCATTTAAGTTCAGGCTCCAAATGATATAAACCTTAAGTCTTTCAGATAATTCATGGTTTCTTATCTTTTATTCTCTAGAGATTATTTTCTTCATTGTTACCCCAGAAAACAAAGCTAAGCATAAAAGAAAACCTGCATGTTCCTGGATGTAAGTGTTAAATATGTAGGATAATAAAACCAAGTAATTGGATACTCACATTATTTAAACTGTTAGTATTAGAACAACTTTTTAAAAGATAATTATAAATCTAATTATATCTGTTCAACTGAGTACAGTGGTATGTTGAGGTCAACTCTAAATATACCTCAAGGTAAAAAGATATCTCTCGGCCAGGCGCGGTGGCTCATGCCTGTAATCTCAGCACTTTGGGACGCCGAGGCGAGCGAATCACCTGAGGTCAGGAGTTCGAGACCAGCCTGACCAACATGGGGAAACCCCATCTCTACTAAAAATACAAAATTAGCCGGGCATGGTGGTGCATGCCTGTAATCCCAGCTACTCAGGAGGCTGAGGCAGGAGAATGGCTTGAACCCAGGAGGTGGAGGTTGCAGTGAGCCGAGATTGTGCCATTGCACTCCAGCCTGGGCAACAACAGCAAAAACTCCATCCAAAAAAAAAAAAAAAAGTATCTCTCAATTTCTCACCAATATTAGATAGTTAAGAAAAAAATGTTTTTTTCTGGTTTCAACTTTATGTAAACTTTTGACAATAAAGTGAAGAAACTTTGCCATAGATATATAGATAATAGGCTTAGATTCTTTTATTCAGTGTTCGGTGTTTTAAATGAAAGCCTAAATAAAAATCCCCAAAATGTGTAGTTTCAGATGAAATCTTCTGTAACATTATTTGAAGATTGTGAAGCAAATCTCACACCAATAAGATGAACTGATGATGAGCTTGTTTTTAATGGTGGTAAGAATCTCCACTGGGTTCTCTTCAGAAGGCACTCCGTCACCTTTGCTGAATTTTCATATATTTCCCATAATAAAAATCAATGTGGCTGAACACAGGCTATGTTTTATAGAGGCTCTCTGACTTCCAGCTGGGATTAATTTAGAGGTAATTTCTGCAGGGCGAACATCCTGAGTCTCTAAGAACCCTCATTGCTATAGCAATCCATTCTTCTCTGCTAGGAAAATGTGAGCTGTAAGATCTAGGTGAGTGTGAGCATTAATTTTATGCATCACCTTGACTGGGTTAAGAGATGCCCATATAGCTGGTAAAACATTCTTTCTGGGTGTGTGTGTGAGGCTGTTTCCAGAAGGGGTAGCATGTGAATCAGTGGACTCAGTAAAGGAGATCACCCTCACCAATGTGGGCAAGCACCCCCCAGTACACGGAGGGCTCTAAGAGAACAAAACGGCAGAGCAAGGGCGAACACACTCTTTCTCTGGAGCTGGGACACCCACTGTCACAGACTGAGCTTCTTGGGCTGTCAGCCCTGGACTGATTTGTACCACACCTTCCCTGGTTCTCCGGTTTTCAGGCAGCACAATATCTCAGCCTCTAGAATCAGGCAAACCATTTCTCATAATATTGAACCCCTCCTATCTATCTATCAATCAATCTATCTGTCTATCTATCTATCTATCTATCTATCTATCTATCTATATATCTATCTATCATCTATCTATCTCTTGTTGGTTCTGTTTCTCTGGAGAATTCTAACTAATATAATGAATTAATTAATGGCCCAGTGGAGAGACAAAATTCACAAACAAAAAAAATGAGTAAATAAACAAAGGGAAAATAAGAATCAGGCTGTACCCACAGGTTAGCGTGGCACAAATGATAAGTGTCCTCTGACATCACTGGGAGAGAAAGGTCATTGACATGGGGTTTGGATGCCTGACCCCTCCAAATCTCATGTGGAAATGTCATCCTCAATGCTGGGGTGTGGCCTGGGGGAGGTGTGTGGGCCAGAGGGGTGGATCCCTCATGGCTTGGTGCTGTCCTCCAGATCATGAACGGGTTCTCGAGAGATCCGGTTGTTTAAAAGTGGCTCCGTCCATATCTTCCTCTTGCTTCTGCTGTTGCCATGTGAAATGACTGCTCCTCCTTCACCTTCCACCATGACTGTAAGCCTCCTGAGGCCTCCACAGAAGCAGATGGTAGCATCACACTCCTTGTACTGTCTGCAGAACCATGAACCAATTAACCCTCTTTTCTTTATACATTACCTAGTGACAGGTATTTCTTTATAGCAATACAAAAACAGCCTAATGCAGTCATAACACATACCTTGGAGACTGTATGTGCTGCCCTTTGAGTTTAGTCACTCATTCAATACTCACCAGGTGTCTGCTCTGTGCCAGTCACAATGTTAGATTCAGAATATAAAGATGAGTGCAACACAAGCTGTAACCTCAAGGAGTTTGTGATGTCTGGGGTATCTGAGGAGAAACAACGCCAATGATTAGCTGCCAGGTAATGTGATAAAGGCAATATGTAGAGCTTCTATGGGTTACAGAGGAGGGAGTTTCTAATGCCCTGGCAATTTGGTAAAGAGAGTGCTGAGAATAAAATATACATGATTAATTAATTAAAGAGATATTTATTATCTACTCTGTGTGAATTATTGTATCATTTCAATGAAATATGGTAAATACTAGAACAAAGTTTTCTGGAGTTAAAAAAAAGAGAAAAATTTGTTTTAAGATAGAAGTCTTCAGATGAAGCTTCCATAGAGAGAAAACTACCAAGTAGAATGCATTTTTTGAAAATAGAGAAATAAAAGGACATTAGAATAGTAAGCACAGCAATGTGAAGGAACATCGGTTTGGGGATCAGAGGAACTCCACTGTGCCTAGACAAAGAGGGGCAGGGGTGAAGCGGGAGGGAAGGAAGGGAGGCGAGAGACAAAGCTGGAAAGCTAAACGAGTCAGATGATTTACACGTGCAGACCATGCTAATGAAAGGGCTGGAAGTCAGCCACAAAGAGGTTGATAAGAAATCCATGAAAACGAACGATGTCTTCAAAGAAGAAAGTATATACTCAAATAGACGAGCTAAGAGTAGAGAAAGACGAATCCACTTCTTTTCACGAATTTGTTTAGGAAAGCCAGGAAGAATTGTCTTAAGTGCTAATTTTACTGGTCTTCACCTATGACACAAAGATTATTGATGCTCCATTGGCAGACTCCAGGTTTTGTGGTTTTCCCAGCAGTAAGGATGAATGTGCACAAAATGTCAAAGCTGTCTTGTTGTCACCTTTTCAAGGAGGCTTGGAGTTATTAAAAGTTGTATTCTGGGGCTTAGACACAGACAGAATTCTAAAGTAGGCAAAGTTGTGTTTTAGCTACCACTGAATTTCCTAATTGGACAAGACAGAAAGACAGAGAGAGATATTGAGAAGAGAGATGGTACAAAACGAGTGCTTTTCCTTTGGATTTGAGCTCTGTATATAAATATCTCAAGGAAAATGTCACCTATTTCTAATTACAGTAATTATACCTCCAGAAAGTTTGATTTGGCAAGAAATATTAGCATTCCAATTCCTTACAACTTCTCTTCTAAGCCTCCTTAAATCTCTTTCCTTTGCAGTAAGAGTTCCTGGCTTGCCAGCTCTCCATGAATCTTGAATCTTGAGAGACTTGAGTTTTGTTCTTGGCATTGGAATGGCAAAATACATTCTACTACTTCTAATTGTAAGAGCAAGAAGAATCTTGTCAGGGCACTCTAAATACAAGGCAATTATGTATGAACAGTAATTTCTGAGGACACAAATGCACAAGTGTAAGCCAATATCTCTCTTCTGAGAAGTGTGTCAGAGGGAAACAGGAGCATGGAAAGGGTTTGCTGAAATCATAATGAGCAAAGCCCTGTAAAATAGCTACTTTGATTCTTTTAGACTGGCTGGCTGCCTAGGGGGTGACCTGGGGCAGTTTCAGAAGCAAAGAAAAAGGGATCTGAGTCAAAAGTTGGTGAAGGGAACAAGAGGGAAAATGGTTTTGTATTTCTCAGGCTAAGTTGTGAAGACTTTCAGAAACCAAGGGCTGGTTGCCTATGCTTATGTTTAATTTTAATATGCAGGAGTGGCACAATTGCTTATAATACCATATGTGACATTTCAATTTAACTTTTATTTTTCATTGATTTTTGAAATATAATATTATTTTCACCCACACTAACAAATGTGACAATCTGTCAGTTCTAAGAATGGGTATAAAAATATTTTGACCCATATTCAGTCTTAAATAAATTTATTAAAAAGCTCTTGATATTCCTCAGTTGTCAGGGACAACTGATTTTAATTTGTCTTTTTGAAGTCTTCTTAGAACATTCATTAAATAAGATGGGCTGCAAAAATTCATACACCAAGGATTTTCTGCGTGACAAGTTTCTTGAAGACTAAGTATTGCATGATTCTTAAAAACATTCACTCCCAGATGATCGCAATTTGCTTACATTTGGAAAGAAAAGTATATGCATTTGATTCAAATATAGAATAATGTTGAAATCTTCCAGTTGCCAATACATAAAGTCAGAAATGTACAGTCAGTAGAAAAAAGAAAAAAAAAGTCACTTTAAAATGCAATGCTGGTCATTTTTAAAAAAGAAAAAGCATATCCAATTTAATATAAATGAAAATATTTGTGCTGTGTAGATAGTGCTGATTATTTTCATTATCTGGTCAGTAGTAGAAAGAGAATCATGATGAGAAATGTATGGGAGAGTTTACAGTTTTCAGCACATTTTTAGTTCTGTTTCATCTTAGCAAAAAGCAATAAACGAGAAGTTGTACTGCTTATGCTGAAGTTTTCAGAAGCAGATTCATGATAAATAGTGCTGTGGTGTGGATGCTCGATATGGCACGCAGGACCTCCTCCCATCCTGCTGCCATTGCCCTCATTTGGGCTCCCGTTATTTCCTAAGGACACTGCAAGTTCCTCACTTCTGCCCAGGCACGTCTTCCAAAACCACTGAAAATTAACTAGATTTCCCACTTCCTCCATCCTCCACTTCCAGTGGGTTACGGGTTGAATTATATCTCCCCAAAGAGATGTTGAAGCACTAACTGCTAGAACCTATGAATTTGACCTTATCTGCAAATAGGGTCTGTCTTAGTCCATTCATGCAAAATAGCAAAATAAACAAAACTGGGTAATTTTATGAACAGAAATTGATTGCTCACAGTTCTGGAGACTGGGAAGTCCAAAATCAAGATTCCCTTTCTGGTAGGGACCCATTCCTCATAGATGGTGCCTTCTATGTGTGCCCACATGGCACAAGGAGTGAAAAAGTGCTGTCAGGCCTCTTTTATGGGCCACTGATTCAATTCATGAGGGGGGAAGTCCTCCTGACCCATCACCTCCCAAAGGTCCCACCTCTTAATACCATCACCTTGGGGGTTAGGTTTCACATAGGTATTGGGGGGAACATAAACATTCAGACCACAGCAGGGTCTTTGCAGATGGTCAGTTAAGAGGAAATCGTTAGGGTGGGCACAGTCATCCAATATGACTTAATAAAACATGACCTTCTAAAAAGGGAAAATTTGGACACAGCCACAGAGACACACACACACAGAGAACAGCATGTGAGGACTGCAGTTACGCTGCCACTGGAACTGCAGGCAGCCAGGAGAGAGGCCCAGCACAGATCATTCCCTGGCACCTTCAGGGGGAGCATGACTCTGCTCGCACCTTGACGTTGGACTTCTGGCCTCCAGGACTATGACAATAAACTCCTGTGTTTAAGCCCCTTCGTTGGTAGCACTTTGCTACAGCAGTCCTAGCAAACTAATACAGAGCCCCCCATTTATTCGAATTTGCTGCCAGAATTGACTTTCTAAAGCTCTGCATGATTTTACCACTGCCCCGGTGAAAAGCCTTTGATGGCTCTCCATCACCTCTACACCCAGGGTGAGGTTAGACACTGGTAGGTGCTCATAATTATTTGTTGAAAAAATTATAAACAACCAAATTAACTACCAACCATGTTAAGACAAATTACCTCATTCAAAGCATAAGAGAAAATACCATCTGGCCTCAGTCTGCTTTTCCAGACTTCTTCATTCCCATTCTGTCACATGTATTATACCTTACTCTCACATTTGGCTCCTAGGAACACGTGTGAAACACCAATTTCCTGCGTTTAACTGAGATATTTTCGGGCATTCATTTTGCACTGTTGTCTCAGCCCTGGCTGCTTCTCCAAATTTTAACAGGTCAGAACACTACCCATTGTTTGACCCCTGGCGTGCACCCTCAAGCACTTTTTTTTTTTTTTTTTTTTGAGACGAAGTCTCACCCTGTCGCCCAGGCTGGAGTGCAATGGCATGATCTCAGCTCACTGCAACCTCTGCCTCCTGAGTTCACGCCATTCTCCTGCTTCAGCCTCCTGTGTAGCCGCCACCACACCCAGCTAATTTTTGTATTTTTAGTAGAGACGGGGTTTCACCATGTTAGCCCGCCTGGTCTCGAACTCCTGACCTCGTGATCCGCCCGCCTCAGCCTCCCAAAGTGCTGGGATTACAGGCGTGAGCCGCCGCGCCCAGCCCCTGAAGCACTTTTGTGAGTTGTTTTTAGGCCATTTATATTCTTCTTTGAAGTTTAAATACCTGGGAACTAATTTTACATCTACAATTAAATAATTCATTATTTAAGGGCTAGATTGCATTTCATTGGGATGAACACCTCACATCGCATGAGTGAAAGTCATCCCCGGAGTGGATACTCAACATGCTTTTGAAATTACATGAGATTACTTTAAAATGAATGAGACCTGTTCAAACGTGATTCTTGGAGCATCTTTGACGATTTTACAGGAAAAAGGAGATCTTATGACAGAATTGCAAGTTGGAGCGCCAGGGCCAAAGAGTGCACGGGCAGCCCTGAGGAGCTGGAAACGGCAAGACCAGGGCGTCTCTGCTCCGCAGAGCCTCGAGAAGGAACGCGGCCTTGCGGACACTGCAATCTTAGTTGTGTAAAACTCACCTCAGAATTGGGACCTCCAGAGCTACAGCGAAATTAATTTGTGTGGTTGCAAGTATCTAAGTTGTGGTAATTTTTTTGCAGCAGCAATTGGAAACTAATACAGAACTAAAAGTATTACTATTGAAGACACCAGCACTTTCCAAAATGTTTTCTGGGAATTCAAAATCCTGTGAAATGCTATGGGAAAATGGGTACTGTAGTCACATACTTTGTGGCAAATGTCGCACATCCTTCTTAAAGATTAAAGATTCAAATAATCATATTAGGCTCCCAGTAGGTTGAAAGAATCTGTTTAGCCCAGCACTTAGCAAAAGTATTCAACCACGTAATCACCTTCACTACCATCAACGCATGCACACACACACACACACACACACACACACACACACACCCCCTCATACATCACCTATTAACATCCCACAGAAACACATTTGGGAAATTCTAATGTGAGCTAGTTAGATCATTGTAAACTGTTGTCCACAGCTGCTGTGTCAGAGATCTTTCCTTAGTATACCTTCAAATAACAAAGTCCAAAATTGAAATGTCTAGTTTTCACATTTGAGCTCACGTCGATTCATGTCTCATTCACTGTGAACATACCTACCAACAGCTAATAAAAAGCATGTGACATTCTAAATAATAAATGTATTTTAATTCAAAATCCCAGTGCTTTAGATATTTAAGAATTTTATGTAGTCAAGTGTTAAATTGTTGTATTCTAGTGACAGCGTCAAGAATTCCAACTTTACTGTAGTGACTTATGTAAGGAGCTTCACAGACGCTCATGACATCATTTCCTCCACGCTCTCCTTTTGATTCTGTAGTACATAGTACCCATGGATGAATGGAGATTAGCTGGGAGGAGATATGTCCCAAGCAAAAGAAATTGAATGCTCTAGCATTTGTATGTAGCTTCATAAGGCTCTCCAGCCACTTGTAATAAATCCCCCAGTTTTTCCATAGTTGAATGTTCTGATTCTAAGTCATCACAAACAAGAAGACAAAAGGTTAGCAGGAGCACCTAATGAGGTGGTTATCCTGTTTTCCTTTAGCCGGAGATGTGTTATCTGATATCCATGGTTCCCATATGATATGGTTGTTGATTAATTCATTTGTTGTATTAATCAGTATGTATTGCTAGAGTGGTGAGGTCAACAACATCAACAACAAAAACCGCTATCCTTGCCCTCATAAATCTTCGACTCTAGCAGGGTCAAGGGGCAGAGAAGCCACAGAATAAAATGTTGCTGGTCATTTATTTACCAGCTGTCATTCAAGGATGAGCTGATCTCTAGGGGTCAGGTCACAAACAAAGGATCCAAACACAGCAGTTTCCGGGAAAGAAAGTTTATCAGGATACATAACCTTGCTTGTTTCAGAAAACAGGGATGCTCTCCAGACTTCATATTATAAAATACATCAGGTGTGCACACAGTTTTTCAGAACTTGGGTTTTAAAAGAGTTATTCACAATGTATTAATGAAAGAAACACACATAATGAAACACACAGTAAAATTATGGGTAATCATCAGAAAGCAAAATGCAGTATATTGACTCCAATTACCTGGGCTGAGATTCGAGTTTGGGGAGTGAGATATTCATCTTGAGCGCAAAATTTAAGGGGTTACCAAAAAAACTGAGTAATCAGGATAAATAATATTGTAATGCCACATCTTAAAAATAAGATCAATGGCAAAAAACTATGATAAACAACAATATCAAAATTTTAAGCAAGACAGCATCATCATTACAGATATTTCCTTTAGTCTTGGGTCCAGCATGGCTTAGCACAGCCCTGGTGACCATCCTCCAGCAGGCCTGGTGTGCTGGTTGAGATCTGTTTGTTCAACCAAATTCTGTCTTCACCCTTTTCCAACTTGTTTTGTGCCCTGGGAGGCTGACCTTTAATGACTTGCATTAATGGTCTCCCTTTCTCAGACTTCTCTATTAGGCGTAACCAATGGGAAATTTAGGCAGATTGTCAGAGGACACAAGAATAATGAGATTGGACTATTTATTCCCAGACTCCTTTCCTACTGAATAATGGACCAGTAGTGGGGCTCTGCCAAAAGCCACAGATTCTCTTCAGCATCCGTCTCCCACAGCTGTGATCCTTTGAGTCTAGGAGTGGTGATGGCTTTCTGCTGCTACCAGGAGGCTTCAGTATCCCCCTGGGTTCCCACAGCTCTGCCCATACCTCTGTAAATACGCTTTCCATTCAAATCTCCTTCAAAATCCTGTTTGCACAGGCCAAATATTCCCTGATGGAACCCAACAGCCCTGGGGCAAGCCAGGTCTCATGCGATGCCCAAGCACAAACCATGACTAGGGCAATGTCTTCTGCACGTCATAGTTATGAGCTTAGCTTGATGAGGCTCTGTCCTGAAGGCAGTGCTTCCAGATGATCCCCCGAGTTTTGCCCTGGCCACTTTGCCCTCATAGGACTTGCTGCTGTCCAAATCTGGCAAACTGTTTCACGTATGGTGAGCAAGTTTTAATGTTTGTTAAGACTAGACAAAATATTTGCATAATTAATTACACCGAAAAATTTTGGCAAGTATATAATGAATCCACACAATACATTTATTTATTTCATGGTTTAGCCACCCTATCAATATTTCCCTTAATTGATAGGATGGCTGAACCACGAAATAAATTAAATAAATAAATAAATGTATCTTGTGGATTCATTATATTAGTTTCCAATATTTCTAGGCTAATTTGAAAAAAATTGTTAAAAAAAAATCCTGGGGGATCGTGTTGGCTCACATCTGTAATCCCCGCACTTTCAGAGGCTGCACTGAGAGAGGACTGCTTGAGCCCAGGCATTTGAGATCAGTCTGGGCAACTTAGTGAGACCCCCATCACTACGAAAAAATACAAAACTTAGCTGGGTGTGGTGGCATGCACTTTTAATCGTAGCGACTCAGGAAGTGAGGTGGGAGGATGGACCGCTTGAGCCCGAAGGTCGAGACTGCAGTGAGCCATTATTGTGCCACTGCACTCGGTCTGGACGACAGAGCAAGACCCTGTTTCAAAAAAACAAAAAAAAACCAAAATCCCTGACTGGTTGGGTAATTAGATGTATGATGGGACTCTAACATGGACTCTGGGCTGAGTTGACATCAGAGGAATGATTCATATGGCTGCAAAGGTTTGCATCTTGGAAACTATGTATTTTTCACATTAATAGCAACAAAAATAATACGCAAAACAGTTTGTGTGCTCTGACCTAAAATGTTTGCCTAATATTCCAATTTTCTTCGCATGTGGATCATAAAATTTGGTTAGTGTGATTTCTTCATATACCAGTAATAATTCAGGCATGATTATATTAATTTTTCTTATTTTCTAAATTTTAGTGAATGCTGCTTATTTCAATTTTTTATTTTTAAATATGCGTTTATAATTACAATTCTTAATCATCAGGAAATAGACTATATTTTGTTCTAATAGACTGGAGATATGAAAGACAGCAATAAAAGGCAGATATTTGGATATATTTATAAAAAGTATTAATTTTCACCAAAGTATTAGAGAAAATTGATAGGAGTAATAATCTACACTTATTCTTTATGATAAAAGTTAATTGACATATACAAATTTGCTTGTTTCAAGGCAGAGCATATTATAACAACAATGTAATTTCTACTTTTAATATGTTGATTTGTCTTATGAATTGATATAAAATTATTTGAGATCCTCAGAAGGACAATGCTGTATAAATGGAAATTAGAGAATTTATGATATTTTGATTATAAAATATATCATGTTCCACTTATTTGTGTTCAATCACATTTCTAATCTCATCTCACTCAGGTCATAATATATTTGGGTTTACATTGGGTAGTGGGGATATGAGGGAAATGTTACTTATTAAAATCTTCTCTATATTCTTTATCTCTTTTAACTATTGGAAGTTTCAGAGCTTCATGAAAGACGCTAATATTGACACTAATTTTTAGATACTATGCAAATGTCTTTTATGAAATCAAATGTTTTGGATCAACATTTTGTTTACTCACATTCATATTATTGCTAGAATTTTGCAAATTTACAATATAAATTCACACTAAATTGGAGCTCTGAGCCTTCAAAAGCGTTCAGACAACTCAAATTCTAAATCCCTCTAAAATAAAATAAGAGAAGGCACAGGCAAAAATGGAATCAATTAAATTTTTCCTGTTGAGATAGATCAGTCAGGATGCGATGAAATCCATCCAATTCTGGAAGCCACAGAAGCACTGCACTAAAAGCAAACACTTTTTTATGTGTTCCTGAGCTTTCATTTGAAAGAGCAAGGGAGTTTAATTAAATGTGGATTGAGACTCCCATCCACAAAATCAAACCCATGTGATGATAGATACAAGTAGCTATCCAGCTCTAAGACCACACATTTAATCCATCTCTACTTTTTGGCTGCCAGAAAATGCATAAATAAATACATCTCTGCCTTTAACATCTACTTAATGCTTTGCTTTTTGACTGCAATAGCAGATCAGATGATGGAAAACATAACCAAATATGTCATGGTTGAGAGGCCTCCATCTCTTCTGGGCTCCCTTTTGCCCTCCGCCGAAAGATTAGTAAACACAATGTACACATGTTCGTACTCACCAAGATCCATGTGAGTGTAGATCTCTCCAGGCTGTTTCTTCACTGGCCATATATTTTCAATGTAAATTAGGATGCCTACTGAAACAGATTGAAAAGAAAATTCGTAAGATCAATTTCACAGGCCAAAGGAGAGCAAACTAATAATATGGATCTTCAAACAATAGTGAACATAAAACAGCAAGGATGTCAGGCAGTTGACCACAAAAGTGCATATTCGGGGTGACCTCGGGTCTATTTGCATAGGCTGCCTTGTTACTGTAGTCACGTTTTCTTTTGTTCCTAGTGGTTTTTGGGTTCCGCTAAAATTCTAAACTGTGCAGATTATGGAAAACTCTCTACTATGTGCCTTTATTTAAAAATTGCCTTAGTGTAACAAGTGTGACAGTTAATCACCTCAATGTCACACACTCACTGCAATCGTCACACTCTGAGGCTCGCTGCTCCATGGCAGACGTTCTGACTTGCCACCGGCCCCAATGGCAAGACGCCTGAGGAGAGTGGCCAGGGCACATATACCTTGCTTTGTTTTGTAATCCCCTCTGATCACGTTCCCGGAAACAGACGTTGGCCATAAGGCATAGAACAGTGATCATATGAATTTACTTTGGAGTCATATGCCTCCGGATTTGAAAACAGACTGTACTATTTTCTCCCTTCATAGCTGGGCAAGTCACTGAGCACCATGCAGCTTTATTTTTCTCACCTGTAAATGGAAACTAGTGGAAATGGTCCCTCCCCACAGGACTATTGCAAGGATTACATTAAATAGTATATGCAGGTAGCCTAGCAAATTGTCTAGTGCTATATAAATGGTAGCTGTTTTCAATAAGCAGCTGTAAAGTTTGTTTTTCTGCATTTCCTCTTTGCTTCCAGTCAATACTCCACACCGTTCACTGACTCTCCTGCTTTCCCATCTGCATCCTGCAGTGTAAGAATAGAGGTGCACAAAGCCCACTGTGTCCTTTTCCTGCTTCAGCTCCCATCAGCCCCTCATACACTCTGTCATCCAGGCCCACTGATCTTTTCCCAGTCCACACCATTGACCTCTTCTGAATCCACATCTTTGCGTTTGCCACTCTGTCCACTATATGAGAACCCTAGTTCAATGTCTAGGGTGATATTTATGTATCACCTCTTCTTCACACTAGGGTTCTTCATTCTCTGTATTCCAGTCGGCCCCTGTAGCATTGATCTTGCATTGTAATTATGGCCTAGTTACTTCATTCACCAGATGACACTGAATGGAGATCAACAAACATCTCTGGATCTTTGATCTTTTAACTTTCTTGTTCTTATCCTGACACTCTGAAAATCATATTACAGGAGTTCAATAAATGTTTGTTGAATAAAAGTCTGGGCACCCATAAAACTGAAATGGGAAATGGCCATATTATGCAATTAAATGCAACAGGTGTTCATGCATTATACACGCACAGGCAGTCCCTTCCCTCTAGATGCTTCATGTCTTAGTGGAGGCATGAACATGTCGACAAACATTGCAATATAACATGCAGTAAAAAGGCTGCATGAGAATCCAGGGGAGGAGCCTCCATGACAGGATCATTTATTTCAATATAAAAAGGTTTTTAAAGGCATTCTGAAAGAGTCAAAACTTGTGCTTCAAAAGAACATCTCTAGAGCATTATCATTATTATTTATTTTCAAATGTCAAGTATAGCAAATTTCAAACATATGATCAGCAAGGATATCTATGAACTTCTAACATTAATAAGCAACGTATAGAGATTATTAGTCTAATGTAACAATTTCAAATAGTTCATATTAATAACATATTCTTAGCACTAAAACTAAATTGACCATAACTGTAACTCTGATAATTCAGAACACTTTGGAATGCTGCAGTGATTCAAGGTCACTGTGAAATTATCTGCTAATACATAAAGAAAATGGTTATTGGAATATTCCATTGTTTGAATTATCTACAAGTGAGCATTTACTGAAACAGCTAGAATTTTGTCTCCCTGTGCATAAAAGGACTATATATTTGGTACTCAAAAGACCATTTGTTGTTATAAATAACACAATAAAAAAAACTTACTCTTATTCCCTCTCTTTCTCTTCTCCAGATTTCAGACTACAATTTTATAGAACTACAGGCATAGACATGAGGAATTTCTGGAAAATTAGAGAGATGACCATTTCATTAAATTTTATCAGATTATTTTAAAATTTTAATCAGGTTAACACTGAATTAATAGATGAAAAAATTTCAAGTTAGGCACTAAGGTGGTGGATAAACTGAAGTGGAGTATTGTAATTCAGTCTTTGCTTGTATAACTCTTACTTAATTAGCAATTCCGTGAGGACTGTTTTATACTGAAATGTCATTCATCTATGGAGAAAACCTAATTCTTAAACTTTTTTTTTTTTTTTTTTAGCAATTTTTTGTGTCTACTGGTTCCATTCAACAAATTTTCACAATTCATCTTCTCTTGGAACTCATTTTTTCCTAAAAGTTTTGGAGCCGATTACATAGAGAGTAGTTTATTCCAAATAAAATTCTTATTCTACGATCTCTTTGCTAATATCTGTAGCAATATTTAGGGTCAACAAATCATGAAGCATTAAGTTGAAACCTCACTTATAATGTCCTTTATAGTTTTGATGTTTGTGTTATGCATTATGCAGATCTTATTTTTGTATACATATATTAGTCAAATATAGATAAATTGGTCACCAAGATGAAAGTGAGGTACATGAAAAATAAACTAAGGACACTCCAGATCACTATGCATAAACTTGCTTCTTTCAACTTGGCTTTTATAGAACTGGCATTGCTGTCTTCCTGCTCTACAATAAATGTGGTCATCCTTATAAGCATATTTCAGGATTCATCAGGAATGGAGATTTTATATATATGATTACACAGCCGATAAAAATATTTAATGTCACACAAAATGGATTTATTTCACTGCACTTAATGTCAATTCTTTCAAGAAAAGCAACATCCAGAACCAAGCATGAACACAAACAAGCAGAGGGCACCAGCTTCTGCGGCTTTGTTCCGGGGACTCCTGGCAGACGCCTGGGTATCTGCAGCCCTCCGATTATAGGCACATGCTTCCAAAAGCAGCTGGGGACAAAAATAAGTCCTCATTCTGAGTGAATACAAAAAGGGCTCTTCTAAAAACATTCAGTTTACAATACATAGTACTCTGGCTAAAATAGCATCACTCTTTTTATACTCTTATTCTCATAAAAATGAAGACAATAGTTGGAAAATACACAGGAACAAGCTTTGATTCTCATTTCTTATGTTAATTTGCTTCAGGAGAAGTGAGGTGAAAGCAAGCCCTCTTTTTCTTGTCTATATGTTTTGTTTATATCTGATAAGGTAAAATAATAAGTTTTGTATTTTTTATATAGGTAATGTATTGACATGGTTTGAAAATCAAAACAGCATATAAAATATATATATGGAAAATAACCACATTTGTGAGTTTCTTTGTATGCTTTAGTGTTTATATATACAGATATAAATATCATTTTTCTAGTTTCTTGGCAAAAGGTTGCATACTGCAAAGCTTGTTCTACACCTTTGTGCATTATACCTGTTTATTCATTAATTATTTGGAGTGTTAGGAAGATATGAGCTATAAGCTTCATGCCTTTCTTTAAAAACCAAAAGTTCTTAAATGGAATTATAATATTTTAGGCCAAAGGTGAAAAAAGAAGTTAAATCGCCTGCTCTAAGATCTTCAGTGAATGTTATAGCCACAAATCAAAAGATGATAGTTTCAAGCTCATATTACAAAATATTATTCATTCTTTGCATAAAAGGTAAGCACACACTGATAGTTGTGTATCAGTATAGTAACTGTCATCTCTAAATACAAAGATCATTCAAATATTGGCCACAAAGTTATCTAGAGATTTATTGTTATTATACTCTGCCTAACAATATTATATTATTTGTAGTGATGTTAACAGCTCCTCCTCCCTTTTAAGTTAATAAGCTGCTTCCCTTCTATGTCTATTGTCTACAAACGGGGCAGAATTGAAGGTGCTGGGATTTGCAGAGTGTTAGCCTTTAGTATTTATAGCAATAAATACTCCCTTTTGGTATTTCTAAGGCTATTATATGTTACTTTCTTGGTATTCTTTTGGATTGTCTGAACTACAAGTTCTCTCTGTCAAGTAAATAAATTAAAACCAAGGATATCTACATAATTCTGGGAGACACCTGACAGTTTCCATTCATAGTGAGAGAAGAGTATAAAGGAGAAAAGGACCTTTTGGAATCATGCTCATTTTACAGGATGTAGTTTAACATAGATGATTAGACATAAGGTGCAGATGAGGATGTAGTTTAACATAGATGATTAGAGAAGGTGTTTGGGCTTGAATTGTTTCTCCTCAAAATTTATACGTTGAAATCGCAACTCACAGCACCTCGGATGGAGAAAAGATCTTGACAGAGGTAATGAAATTAAAATGAGGACCTTAGGATGGGCCTTAATCCAGTGTGACTGATGTCCTTATAAATAGGGGAAATTTGGACACAAAAGGGAAGACAATGTGAAGATACAGGACAAACCCCAAGAGAGCATGAAGACAGCCATCCACATGACAAGGAGAGGGGCCTGGAACAGGCCTCACAGGGAGCCAACCTCGATGACACCTTGACTTCGGACTTCTAGCCTCCAGAACAATGAGACCAGATATTTCTGTAGCTTAAGCCACCTGCTTCATGGTACTTTGTGATGGCAGCAGCCCTAGCCGACTCACACGGAGAGCTTCATCATGAAGGCAGCATCTGGTGAGGACATGAGAGCAGCGGGAGTGCGGGTTATAGAGCTATTTGGAGTAGAGAGCAGTGTCAGCATGAAGAACTCAGGCCAGGCATGTGCTCTGCACATGTCTTCTGCAGGGCGGGTGCGGCTGCAGGGGAGTGAGATAAGGACAGAAGATGAGATTGGAGAGATAAGGGATGTTGGGAGCCACAGATCCAATGAGGCCTTGCGTGCCTGGGTTAGGGCCTTAGCTTTTACTCTGAGCGAGGCAGAAAGATCCTGGAGGGTTTGGGCAGGAGATAGATATAATTTTTACTCAGCAAGATCAATTTGTTTCTGTGTTGAAAAACAACTCTATGGGGAACGGGGCAAATAGAATCAGGGAATCCATTTGGCAACCCATTGTGACACTCCAGTTTGTAGATGGTGATAGCTTGCATCGGGTTAATGAATGTCCCATAAAAGGGCCATATATGCAAAAAGACCACCAAACACAGAAGGAACAGAGAAGCCAAAGAACGAGGCAGATAAACTCGGTTTGTTGGTAGAGGGCAATTTATTGGAAAACTTATGAACAGCAGCATGGTCTTGGGCAGTAGCAGGTCAGGTAGATTTCCACACTGTTAAACCCCAGACCCAGGGCTTGTATACCATAGAGAGAGGGTGTATGTCCTCTGTATGGACAACTAAGTGCAGCCCTGCAGAACAGGCAAGAATGCCAGGTGTGTCACAGCCTGTAATTTGTGCAATAACATCATCAAGGTTGGCATGTTCTTACACAAGGGAGAGTAAGTAAAGTAGGAATCAGGAGGCATTCACAGGACTGTGGCAGACTAGCATCCAAGGTGGGGTCACTTTCGTCTCCACGGAGAATCCGAGAAATGGGAGTATGGTAGAAATATTTTAAAGGTACAAAAGGTAAGATCGTATAATGGTTTGGATGTGAGCTATGAGAAGAAGAGTGATGTCAGGAATAACTCTAATATGTTTTGGCCTGAGAAATTAGAAGGCTGGAATTATTATCCACAGAATTGAGGATCATTGAGGGCAAAACAGGTGCAGGAGGAAAATTAGGAGTTGTGGTGCATTTACAATTGCCATAATAATGCCACGTAACACAGCATTCCGGCATCCCAAAAACTGATTCCAAAACTGAGTGACTGCAGAGAAAAGCCATGATTCGCTCTTGACTGAGCTGCTTGGTTTCGGCTGAGTGCGGCTGAGCTCACAGTTCATAACTCTAAGCTGCTGGTTAGGTCCTAGTTACTCCAATGTCTCTTTTACCATCTTTGGACAAGCAGGATAACTGGAGAATGTCTTCATGGAATGTAAAACCACTATGGGAATTTGGAAGACAGGAGCGTCAATTTTTCTTAAGGCCTAGGCTTAGAACTGGCACCCTGCGACTTCCCATCACATCTCATCAGCTAACGAAAGTCATGTGATCAAACCCCAAATCAAGGGGCTGTCACCAGACGAAGGAACTGCAAAGTCCCACAACTAAGGGCAAGGGCGTATGAGTCTGGAGTTCATGGGAGCAGCTTGGGCTGAAGATATAAATTGAGGTTTCATCAGCATGTAAGTGACATTAAATGCTAAGGGACTAGATAAGATTATCAAATGAGTGAGTGTGATAGACAAGAGGTTCAAGGTCTGATTATCTTGGAACTCAAAATTTATGTGGTCAAGACAGTGAGGAAGATCTCATTTTATCATTATGTCAAGGGGGAGAAAGTGATCGACTGTCAAATATTGCACATAAGACAAGTGAGAGAAGAACTATTGGATTTAGCAACGTGAGGGTCATTGGTGACATTGATGAGAGCTGCTTTGTTGGAGTAGCAAGGGAAAACTCTGAAGTGAATTTGAGAAAGAACAACATAATTGGTAATAAGTACAAACATTTGCAAGGAATTTTACTACAAACAGAACAAAAGAAATTACGGGATAGATAAAAAGTAAAGTGGGCTATGAGATATTTTGGGGAAAGAACAAAGCATATTTGTATATAGTGGGAATGATCCAACAAAGAGGGGAAAACTGATGAAATTGGGGATAGCATGAAGTGAGAAGAGAATTGCTGGAGCAACAACCTGAGAGAAGGTGGAATCTCATGCTCAACTTGAGGGCCTGACTCTAGGAGCACAGAGAGTTTATTTAAAACTGGGGGAAGTTTGTTAGAACATTTGGCAATGTCTGGAGACATATTTTAGTTGTCACAAGTGGGGGTGCTACTGAAATCTAGTGGATAGAGGCCAGACAGGCTACTAAACTTCCTGCAAGGCAGAGTACAGCTTCCCCACAATGAGAAGGATCCTCCCAACACAGATAGTGCTGAGGCTGAGAAGCCTGACGCACAGCAACATAAGGAAAGAGAGAGGATTTGGGCACTGTCGTCCGTGGGAGTAGAAGTGATGGTGGGAACTTGAGAAATCCTTCTTCTCATTGTATGATGGTTAATTTTGCACATCAGCTTGGCTAGGCTACACTGCCTGGCTGTTTGGTAAAACACTAGGGGTTGCTGTGATTTTTTTAGATGTGATTAACATTTAAATCAATAGACTGAGTAAGGCAGATTCCTCTTTGTAATGTGGGTGAGCCTCATCCAATTAGTTGAAGGCCCTAAGAGCAAAAATGAGGTTTCCCAAAGGAGAAGCAATAGTGCTCTAAGACGGCAACACAGAAACCTTGCCTGAGTTCCAACCTGCACATTTTGGATTTGAGACTGCAGTATCAACTCTTGCCTTAATTCTGTCTGTTTCTATTATCTATCTATCTATCTATCTATCCATCCTTCCACATACACATATATTTGATTCTGATTCTCTGGAGAACCCTGATTAATGCACCTTGTTTCCATATTTTTCAGAGAAATAGAATGCAAAGTCATCAGATAACAGTGAACAGAATGAGGATGTATTGTAGGTTTGAGGGGAGAAGAATAAAAGGGCAAGGGAAGCTCAGCTGATTGCCTGGCTGCATTCAGGGCCAACTTGAGGTTAATGGTCATGCACTTTAAATGACTCCTCAGGAAAATGTATTTTTGCTTGTTTTGTTTTGTTTTGTTTTGTTTTTGAGACAGTGTCTCCCTCTGTCGCCCAGGCCGGAGTGCAGTGGTAAGATCTCGGCTCACTGCAGCTTCCACCTACTGGGTTCAATTGATTCTCCTGCCTCAGCCTCTCGAGTAGCTGGGATTACAGGCATGTGCCACCATGCCCAGCTAATTTTTGTATTGCTAGTAGAGAAAGGGTTTCACCATGTTGTTCAGGCTGGTGTCAAACTCCCGACCTCAGATGATCCGGCCTCCAAAAATGCTGGGATTACAGGCATGAGCCACCGCGCCCGGCCAAAGGAAGGTGTGTTTTAATGTGGACCCATTTGGTCTTGGGGGGTCCAATGGGTCCAGATTGTTTACCTGTACCTATGCTAGGGTGGGGCGAGCAGAAAGATAGATAAGATCTGTTTGGGTTTTGCTAGCGCAGTAGCATGAAAAAGAAGAAAGGAGTTGAAAGTGTGGTTGAGAGACTGATTATAAAATATCGATCACGTAATTTCAGCTGGGTAATGAGAACAGTTAGAAGAGGGGATTAGATCGTGAAAAGGTGAGTTCTTTGTTTTGAGGAGGTGGGAGGATTGTGTTTTAGAGTGAGCATTTTAGAACAATAAATGGTAGGATGCAATGCTTGAAATTTCCATCATGAAGGGTTTGTTCTTATAAGTAATGACAGTCTAGGCTATAAGGATGGAAGGGAGATGCTAAATTGGGGAGAACAAGTGTACTTGAGAGGAAGTCAGAGAACCAAGTGGTCTGTTTTAGGAAGATTATCTATGTGGATATTGAAATCACCAAGAACAATGAATGTATAGTGTTAGAAAGCAAGTCATTAAGCCAAGAACTAAAATCTGGAAAGGAGAAGAGTGAGCCAATGGCCAGTAGATGCCTACAACTCAAAGTGGTAGCAGGTGGTCTGACAATATGTGATTCCAAACCAGATGGTTTTATGGAGGAGAATGGGAAAACCATCCAGAAATGGAGAGGAGGAGCCAGAGGGTCCTCACTGTCGTAACTATGACATTTGAAGGAGAGACACAGCTAGAGTCATGCTTCAGTAGAATCATAGTCCAAACAAACTGTTCTGCCAGCTCCATTTAGAAAAGTCTCAAAAGTAAAAAGGGACTTTAAATGGGTCTAGTTTGGGCCCATTTCTGGCCAGTTATTGTGCCCAGGAAGGTAACGGCCTGAAATTGACAGTATTCACTAGCACCATGTTTCTTTTGAGAGAGTTAAACACTAAAGTCATTAAAAATAAAGGAAAAGAAGTAAAACTAAAGCAGGCCGAAGTAACAGGGCACAAAGAAATATTTTACATAATATAGCCTGTAGTACTCTAACGATTGTAAAAATATCACCAAATTGGTTAACAATACATCATTATGTTGCTTGGGAGTTTAGAAACAAGAAAGAGAAAGACATGAGCTAATGTACCAAGAATATGAAAAATACTGAATCTAAAGACCGTAAGTCCTAAAGATTTCTTGAATTTCATCTATTATTCTTCTTTTGGCATTCACACATTCTGCTAGACTTTCTTACTTTTAAATTGGCAGAACTCATTACTGAAGACATATTCTGAAAGGTGCTCTTTTTGTAATTTGGAAGTAGTAAGTTAAGAAGAAGTGTTTTTGTAAAGTAGGCAGTTTTGACTGGTTCCAAATCTACATTACTTAAATGAAGTACAGTTGAATAGTATTGGCTCAGTGGATTTTTTTAAAAGTTGGTTGGTCAGGTTAGACTATTATCACCTTCCCAAAAGAACTGGGGCTCGGATTCCACTGTACAATTATTTAGCTTCCTAGTTCATTTGAATAGGCACATTTAGCTCTTAATAATCAGCTTCTGGATAGAAAGGGGGAAAATTGTAAAAGATGGAAAAATTACAGTGAATATTTATAATGGAATTTACAATTCAAACTCCTAAAGTGAAACAGGACCAAGAAGAGAAAAAAAAAAAGTTAACAAAAGATGTCAGCTCCTTGACCTAGAACAGAAATCTCAGTATTCATCAAAGGTAAGGAATTATATCACAGGAATCCCTTGATACATTTCTAAGTACTTTTTCACCAAAAGTCTGACACTGGAGTCTAGTCTTGGTTCTAATTGAACTAGCTAGTTAACTCGTAGCAAGCCACTGACCATCTCTGAGCCTTGCTGAATAAACTTTGTAAACTGGCATGAAACATTAATTAATGCTCTTATTTTGAAACTCTACTACTGGTTAAATATGTGTACATATATGCACCCCTATGTATATATTTATTTATAATTTTTGTATGGGCTTATGTTCTCATGTCTTTAGGGTGTGTATCTGGGATTGAAATGCTGGGTCACATGCCGATTCTATGTCTAACATTTTGAGGAACTGCCAACATGTTTCCAAAGTGGAGGCACCATTTTATATTCTCAACAAGGAATGAGAATTCCAATTTCTACCCATTCTTGTCAACATTTGTTACTGTGTTTGACATAAGCGGGTGATATTTTTTGAATTTTTATTTACAGTCTATATATGCTTATTAATTGTGTAGCCGTAGACTACATGCTTTGCCTCTCTGAGTTTATGTCTTTTCATTTGTATCTGTACAGGCTTTTCTTGAGGATTATATGCAATTATACAGAGTTTGTGCCACCCATAGCTACTTAAAACTAGAAATTATCAACAGATTTATTCTCTATCTAGTTTCATATTCTTTGGGGCTTTAAATGTTATCACACATTGTGAAGATTCTTAATTATCTGAATTTTCCATTCTTCACTGTCAGGCCTATAGCCACAGGAGGAGAGACACCATATACATTTTTACTATTGAGCTCTGTATCATTATCCCTATACTGTGGGCACTAAATAATTGAGAGTGTGAACTTATAGGGAAAAATTTTGACTCACATATAGAAATGAGTCTTATCAAGGACTTCTCAAAAAAGTGTGCTATGAAAACGGTAGGTTACCCTTCTCTAGCAATGAATTACTACTTTTGAAGGGACATGCTCTTGTAATATCAGTGAGAGATTTTTCCAGGTAGATCAGGATTTCCTGTCAACTGTATAAGAGACCATCTTTAACTAGGTTCACCATGATTTCTGGTAGAAAAATGTGGAAGGCCCTCATGACCTTTTATTACATTGCCTTCCAAATTCAATGATGTTGGTCAAAGCACAGAAATTGGGTTGGTAACCAACTGCCAGGCTCATGATTGTATATTTAAATAAGTGGTGATAACTTTAAAATAAACATAAGTATTACTACATAAAATTTAAGTATTATAATCTGATATAATTTAAATAAATTTAAATCATTGTATTTTCAAACTTCAAGGTAATTTTTATTGCATTTTCTGAGTACCGTTTTTAGCAGTTTTATAAGCGCATAATTGACATACCATAAAATCGACACTTGAAGTTTACAATCCAATGGTTTTTAGTATATTCATAGAGTTGTATGGCATGACCACAATCCAAGTTTGGAAAACTTTCATTAACTCAAAAATAAATCCTATCATCATTAACATTCACCTCATAATCCTTCTTCCCTACAGTCTTCAGCCCTAGATATTAGGGTTAATATGCTTTCTGTCTTTATAAACTTGCCTATTCTGAATACTTTACATAAATATGTGGCTTTTGTGACTGGCTTCTTTCACTTAGTGTAATGTTTTCAAGGTCCATCCCTGTTGTAACATGTATCAGTATTTTTATTCCTTTTATTTTCATTTATTTGATTCGAATAATAATCCATCATATGAGCAGACCATATTTATTTATCCACTCATCAGTTTAAGGACATTTGTGCTGTTTCCACTTTTTGCTATTTTGGATAACACTGCTATGAACATTCATGTACAAACTTCTGTATGGACATATGTATTCATTTCTCTTGGGTATATACCTGGGATTGAAATGCTAGGTCATATGGTAACTCTGGGTTTAACATTTTGAGGAACTGCCAAAATGTTTCCAAAGCAGGTGGACTATTTTATATTCTCAGCAAGGAATGGGAAGTCGAGTTTCTCCACGTCCTTGTTAACACACGTTGTTGTCTGTTTCTTTGATTATAATCTCTCTAGTGAGGGTGGATTGGTATTTCATTGTGTTTCTGAGTTGCGTTTTTCTAATGACTAATGATGCTGAACATCTTTTTATGTGTTTATTGGCCATTTGTGTATCTACTTTGTCGAAATGTCTGTTCAGGTTCTACACTCATTTTTTAATTGGATTATTTGTCTTTTTATTATAGAGCTGTAAGAGTTCTTTACATAGTGTGGGTAAATACAAGTTCATTGTCAGATATATGAGTTTTCGAATACTTTTTTTCCCATTCTCTGGATTGTCTTTTCATTTTCTTGATGGTATCAAGAAATTTTTAAATTTTTTAAATTTTTAAATTTTAATGTAGTCCAATTTATATATGTTGCTGTTGTTGCCTGTGCTTTTGGGGTGCTCTCATATTTAGGGCTATGGTATATTTTGAGTTAATCTTTACAAACAGTATGAGCAAGGGGGTCCAAATTTATTCTTTTGCATGTGTCTATTCAGTTTTTCCAGAACCATTTGGTGAACACTATTTTTTCCCCATTGATTGATTTTGGGCACTGTTGTCAAAGTCAATGAACTGTAATTCTATTCAACTGATCTACAGGTTTATCTTTTTGCCAGTGCCACACAATCTTGATTATTGCCTCGGTTCCCTTGCAAATCAGCTTATCCACTCTTCAAAAATGTTTGAATCCCTTTGCTAAATTGCTGCAGTCCTTCCTCCCAGAGTGGCCACCTAGTCCTGCCTGAGCTGCCTCTACCGCTTGGGTTGTATCTGGGAATGATGACTGCCCCAAAGCAATATGTGACCAGTGAACCACAGCTCTCAACTCAAGGGCAAATGACTCAGCTTTGTGAACTGATTGACTGGAGTAGAGAATTCCTTGCAAAGAACTTATATCATCTGGGTATTGTGCTTGGGGCTCCTGATGTACAGGAACACCTTTTGAGGCTTCTTGCTGTTTTGTTTGTGAGGTCTTCTATGCCTACTGTTCCTGACGTGGAAACACTATTCTCACAGGTTTCACTTTTCATCAGTACTTGTGATGGGCTTTGCCATCAGTTAACTAATGCATTTGTGGAAAGAAAACAGCCCCTGAGAGGAATTGGCATCCTTAAAGGAGCTATAACAAGCTGCGGATGAATACAAACCAGCTGACCTGAATACATGCTGATTTCTGCCAGCTTTGTTTGCAGGCAACATGCTTTAAGCCTGCCCTTCCAGCTCTTGACATGGCTATGATGGATATCTCTAAAGAGAATGGAGCTGTATTAATAATATTTTCTACTTTCTGTATTTTATGATGCTTTGACATATTTGGAGACTTATGAACCTGGGGGTGGGGGACTGCTAATTAGCTAATTTCCTAGAGATGGCTAACAAGTTTCCTATGAGCACAACTTTAATATGCAAGCCAACCAGTTCTAAATACATACCCACATCCACTTTCCTTCATCAGTCTCCTGCAGTACAGGGCATTCTCCTCCTGCCCTAAATCGCCCCAGGGCAGGGTACCAGAAAACTAGGGATGACCCTCATGTCCCAGAGTCTGCTGAAATTATTCAAACTACCCAATCCTACTCCCACTCAGCTTTTCTACCCTACCTTGATCATTTACTGCCTCAACAAGGACAGTATTGGCTCTGGTCCATACTTTCCCCTCCCCTTTTCCCTCCTGACTGCCCCTGTATCTTCTCTTGTGGCCCTCAGTGTGTCATGCCCCTCTCTTGGGAATCATGAGTGACAAACTCTTTGCGCGATCTTGGTTCACTGCAACGTCTGCCTCCTGGACTCAAGCGATTCTCCTGCCTCAGCCTCCTGAGTAGCTGGAATGACAGGCACATGCCACCACACCCGACTAATTTTTGTATTTTTTAGTAGAGACGCGTTTCACCATGTTGGCCAGGCTGGTCTTGAACTCCTGACCTCAAGTGATCTGCCTGCCTCAGCCTCTCAAAGTGCTGGGATTACAGGCATGAGCCACCATGCCCGGCCCCAACTATCTTTTCAATGGTAGTTGACTCCTGATCTATTGGCATTACCATACCTGAATTAAAGACAAAATCCTAGGCACATTGTAAAATAGAAAACGACAATGCAAAGCAATGTTTATGTTACTCCTCTCATGGAGGGATGACCTGCACCGGCTGAAGAGCACTTTACCTTCTGAACAAGCTGAACCCACTCTTGCCATGTCAGGTCGTCATATCATGTTGGATTGAAATCATAAGTTTTGCCCCATGAGTGTGGCAAGTCAATACATAGATATACCCAGTTGCAGCAGAGAAAGAAGTTTAATTGTAGGGCTGCCAAATGAGGAGATGGGAGGAAACCTCAAAATTTGTCTCCCTGAGTAGTTTGGTGCTGGGAATTTTAAGGGTTTTGGCATGGGCTGCAGTGTGGAGATCACTGACTGGCTGAATTGCCCAGGGCAAAGTCATGGGGCTGGGAGATGAAGAAACCATCTTCTCATGCTCATTCAGGTCTTCGGTGGGGCCTTGAAGCTGGTTAACCTCTATTGTCCTGCTGGAAGTCAGGATCTGCTTAAGCAACTCTTAAGCAAAAGCTTTATGATTCCAATATCAGAGATCCTGTCTTAAGCAAAAGCCCTATGATTCTAAGGTCAGAAATCCTACCTGTAGGAACAGTGGGGATGCAAGTGGTCCGTACCCAGTGCAACGGGAGTTTCGGTTTCAAGGAAATGGGTCAAAGGGCAGCCTGATAAATGCTTAATTATAACTACATTTCTGTCGATAATTCTTGATAACTCTGTGAGGGTGACTTCAGAATCATGTAAAAAGTTGATGATAGTTTTTTTGCTATTACTTGTCAGAGTACAATAGCTACCAAATATAGATCTCAAATTACTGGTATATTCATTAAGCTCCTTAGCAATGCATATTATGAGTTAGCCCAAGTCTATTCAACCAGTAATCTCTCAGAACTCCAAAATCTGAACCTGGTAAACAAGCACAGTGAAATTATTACTTATGATAACAAAAAAAGGCTGGTGAAGCAACGCTTGTTATCTCTTTATAAGAACAACACTCAGTGGCTTACAAAGACTTTTTAGCTCTATTCTTACAAGGTATGGCAAAACCTGTGCAGACAGCTAGACCTTAAAAGGCAGAAAAATATGTCAAAGCAAGATAGAAGATGGCAAAATTTTTGCAAGTATTAAGCAAAAGAATGGTATGGTTAGTTTTTATAATGGCCCTGAAAATTATAATATATAACCCAGCCATGCGTCATAACACTGATCGGGAGATGCTGAAACAGAAAGCACTTGATAAGCAGCTGAAAGCCGTGGACCAAGAGACTGCAGTGAATACCCAAGGTGTAACAAGGGTATGAGGTCACAAGAAGAGGATTCTGTAAAAGTCTCATTACAACTGAAGCTAACAGACATCCTGAGATGTCACAATTGAAACAAATACATACAAGATGTGATTATCTATTGAAAAATTGAGTCTTTTACTAAAAAACATTCTCACCAAGAAAACTCCAGATATAAATGGATCAACTGTGAATTTTTCCGAATATTTAGGAAAGAAATAACCTCAGCCTTATAGAAACTCTCCCAAAGAATAGAAAAAGAAAAAAATTCTTCCAAACTACTGTTATGAGGCAAACACCAGTTGATACCCAACCTTAAGAAAAACATGATAAGTAAAGAAAATTATAGCCCAGTATCTCTCTTAAACATAGATAAAAAATTCTTAAGCAAAACATAAATGAATAATTTAATAGTGATATATAAAAAGATAATTACATTACAACCTAGTGAAATTTATATTGAAAATACGAAAGTGGTTTAACATTTAAATATCAATAAATACGACATGTCACACTAACAGAAATAAGAACATCATATAATCATATTATAGATGCTAAAACAGTATTTAATCAAATTCAGCACTCACTTGTGATTTAAAAAAAAACACAAAATTCTTAACTATAAATCAAAGTAAATTTCTTGATGTCTCACTTTCATTTATTTCCCACCGTCAATCCATCACAAAGTCTTGCTAATTTTATCTTCACAATATGTTTCAAATATCTCTACCTCCCTCCATCTCCACTGCCACTCCCCATCATAATTCAGGCCCCATTACTGCGTCCATCTGCTATAGCCATAGCTCCTCAACTGGTCTCCTAGATTCAATCCACTGTCCTTTAAACAATCACAATGATCTCTGTAGAATGTAAATCGGATCTTGTCATTTTTCTTTACAAACTTTTTGGAAATCTTTCCATTTCCCTGAGGAGGAACATGGGCAAGTTTGATCTGTTCCTTGTCTATATATTCAGTTCATCTGCGGATATTCCATCTGTTTTTGTTTAAGCTGTAGTCATACTGATTTCTTCAGACACACAGATCTCTGCACATGACCAGGAGTTCCACAGATTACCTCCCCTCTGCCTTTGACTGGGTTAGACAAAGAATCTTTAATGGGCCCCCTTACATCTGAGAGCTCTTAAAACCATACTTTGCTATCTTGAGTTCACATGATATAACCTCTTGGGCTACAAAGTAATTCAGAGCATAATCTCCAAAAGGATTCCTGCAATGAACTCAGTAATTTATTTTTCTTAAACTATAAGACAAATATATAGTAGTTAAAAGATATTAAATACATAAAATTAGAAAAGAGAAAAAAATCCATAATTCAATTTTCAAAGAAAGTATTATTAACATTGTTGAATAGAGTTTTATACTGTATTTTTTATGTAATTTAATTTTAAATATTTTTCCAGATTATTGTAGGCATTTTAATGCGTCCACATTATTCAATCATGCGGCTGTATCACAAGTAATTATTTCCTTTCTGATGGAGAATTAGGCTTTGATTCTTTTCTATATAAATAATATTTTCATGAACACTTTTCTTTAAAGCATTTTCTGAATTTAGAGTTACTTCCTTAAATTTTTCTACTTATGTAATTATTAGGTCAAAAAATATGCACAATTTTGGAATGATTACTACATTAATGCCCAATTACTATCTAAAGGATTATGCTACTGCCCACTGCTCGAGAAGAATATGACCATGCCCATTTTCTTTGCTCTTCCTACGAATGGATTTTCTTAATTTTTAAAATATTTTCTAATTGGACAACAGAAAATTATGTCTCAATTTAAAGAAAAACTTCTGTTGACTTTATTACGAGTATTTTCTATAAAGGTTTGTGCTTGAGTTGCATTTCTTACATGTGTTTTATTTATTTTGCCATTACAAGAAAATTGTCTTTAGTTGAAAAATTTTCAGTTTGCTTAAAGTTATCAGCAGCTAAGTCACACAGTCCAAATGCATAGACTAATAAACAATGAATACAATCCTTTACGATGAAAAGAACAAGGTTTTAGTTTTCCATGAAAAGTACTTGAAATGACATTTGAAATATTCATGGAGTAGCTCATGGAAATTAATAATTTCTTAATGTTTATCCTTTGCTACCCCCTGCAAAGCACTATGTTAGACATAGTTAAAAGCACAAAGTTACTAAAGCACGATATCTGCTCTGTTTTGGGGAAAGTTTGCTGATAAAATTGTTAATTAGCAGTTTATCAAGATATCCATGTCATTGTGTATTGTAAAATGCCCATGGGCCAAATGTAAATTATTCATAAATTAATACAGGAAAAGCAAAAGCTAGATCAGCAAGTTGAAGGTCACATTTATCCAATCGACTAAAATGCTAATTCAACCCATACTATTAAAGATGAATATAAATAAGCATTTCTAAACAAAAATACACATTAAAACTTACCTTTATTAGCTTAATCAGACTTGCATATTAAGTGTATGAAACTATTAAATGTTAGTCTTGATTTCTCTTTTATAAATCTAAAATTTTTCTGGTAAAACCTTCATGATACAGTATAAATGAACAGGATTCCAGTTCATCGTAAATAATACAAAAGGAAAATGAAGAAAACAAGTGTCATTGTTCTGCACCTCGCATATGAACTCTCTAAATGCTGTTCCATTTGTATCATTTCTTTTAAAAAAAATCCCAACTTTTATTTTAGATTCAGAGGTACCCGTGCAGGTTTGTTACATGCTATATTGCATGATGTTGAGGTTTGGGATATGAATGATCTCATCACCCAGAGAGTGAGGATAGTACCAAATCATTAGTGTTTCAACCCTTGTCCCCTCCTTCTTCCCTTTATTAGTCCCCAGTGTCCATGAATACCCAATGTTTAGTTCCCACTTGTAAGTGAGAACATGGGGTATTTGGTTTTCTTATCATTTCTAAATATAATTTCAACATTTTAAAAATTCATGTTAGCACACACAGTTCCATGGATGGCATTGGGGAATCCTCACAGAATTTCTGTTCCATCTATAATAAACAGAACAAAGACACTGTTCTTATTCTCAAAGGTTAACTTACAGTTTCTTGGCAAACAACTGAATATGTCTGGATAACAATGCAGATGATCTGTTGCTCTTGGTTAGTTATTTTTCATTTCCATTCAGAATTAATTTTATTCCTATGTGATTAAAAAAAACGTTTGTGTGCAACAGTTAAACTTTAGATTTTCTACTACTAAAAAAATTTACTACCAAGTATGTCAGAACATTTCAAGTTAGTAGATCTCAATTGGGCCCTATGCTGTTTCTAGCATTATACCGGGTGCTAGTGAAACCCTGGCTTTGCAAAGATTATGACGGTGAGAAAAATCTAATATGGTTGACTCCATCTTGCTTCTAGCCTAATAGGCTGGTTGTCTTTGCTCATTCCTAGGTGTAGGCCAAGCTAACCATGGGAGGAATTCAGTTATTAGTAACTTAAAAGCAAGGATGACGACAGGTCCTCCCTAAAACCAACCCCATCCTTGCTCAAGGACCAGAAACTAATGAAAGGCCATAAGTTTAAGATCATGAGAGGGGCCTGAATTCTAAAATGTAGCAGAATTATAGTTTCTGTAATCCCTTACTGCCCAGGAATCATGTGGCCAGAGGTCCGAAGATTTGTGTCTTCCCCAATTGCTCCGACAGATAACATCTCTATTGTAGAACTTAAGACTGGTTTTTTGAGATATTTTTCAGATTTTTGCATTCTGGCAACTGACAGACCCAAGCTGGAGCTGTGACTCATGACGACTGGTTCTGTGGTCCCACCCAGAGGCGTACTCACTGCACAAGGACCATTTTCCACACCCTGTGATTTCATCCCCAACCAATCAGCAGCACCCATTCCCTAGCCTCCTACACACCAAAGAATCCACAGAAACCCTAGCCTCTGAGTTCTTGGAGGGACTGATTTGAGTGATAACTCTAGTTCTCTTGCATGGCCAGTCTTGTGTTAATTAAACCTTTTTTTTTTTTTTTTTTTTTTTTTTTTTTTTTTTTTTACTGCAGTGTCACCATCTCAGTGAATTTGTTTTGTCTGTGCAACAAGCAGAAAGAATTCATTGAATTATTGCACCAGCATTGTCACAGTGATGACAACCCAGGGCCTTCCCTCAGTAACATTGCAGGAATGGATATGTTGACTCATGGAATAGGGGATATTAGTTCATCAAACATTCTATTCCTTAGCAGTTCACTACCACCAAAACTGTCAACTCAGCTCTGCTCCATGGAGCTGACCAAGGTATCTACAAGGGTACAGAAAAGACTCAGATGGCTCTAAATCAAGAATTAACAAACAATAATGTTTTATTTATTGAGTACTTTTCATGTGATTTATCCAATGAGAAATTATTTACATTATATGTATATTCATGCTTTCAACGCTTACAATACAAGAAGTGATTTTTATGAAATCCACGTTACAGATGAGGAAACTGGGGCTCAGAGGAATTGGTGATTTCACCAAGATCCCATGACTGGTGGGCAGTGAGGCTGAGCCAGCTCTCAGATCCCACAGCCTTCGGCTCTCACTGCCACATCATTTATATGGTGTTCAACAGCATGGTCTTCTTCAGGGCAAAGCCATTGTCTCCAGGACCGCCTTCCTCCTAGGGCAAGACTCAACATTTTTTGTAAATTGTTTCTTTACAAAGAGAGTAAAGAAATAACATGGCCTCCTGCAGGAAACTTCCTGACATCCATTTCTAATCTGCAAAGCAGTGGGGATCTTTCCACTGCTTTGCACTCTGATTAATATTTCCTTTCTATTGCACATCAACTTTGGTCTGGTGCCCATCACAGAGGAAGGGAAAGCCTTTGTGTTAATTTTTTAAAATAATAATTTTAATGGAATGTGGAGTAAAAATTATCAAAACAGCGAGAAAATGAGATCCACAGTAACAATGTCAATATAACACTTCTACACATAGCAGTTACTTAATGTTCAAAGATTTCAATGACCTGTTGATCGTATTTCTAAGGGAACAAGTCTATGCTCTTGAGTATTTTTCAGAGTCTTAATGAGCAATCACAACGTTAAAGCAATTTGCTTATTCCTCTTTAATTTATTTGTATTGAATAGAGCTTATTCAGCGAACAGGAAATGTGCTCAGTCTTGTGATCACTAAGACACAGAGAAGGTTGTGAGCACTTTTGAGAAAAGGAAGGTTCCATAGGGAAAAAAGCAGAGGAAGTCATGGGCTCTGAGGATAGTACAAAGTAAGCAAGTCTGGTAACCAAGAAACACAGACAGAAAGGGGGCGTTGAGAGAAACCAGCCTTCCCTGAGAGACGCTTGGCCTGGAACCATCCGGAGGGTCAGATGGGGAGAATACACTGCTTCTGAGGCCTGTGAAAGGGTACAAAAGTGCTCTTTTCCAATAGCACTGACCCATGCATTCATAATTGCTTTAAATAGACCAACTCTAACAGAACAATTTACAGGCACGTCAACAGAGCCTTATGTTCAATTGTCCTTCTTCAGGTATGCACTGCCAAGCTGGTAACTGCTTCTTGGCAAGGCTTAGGCAGGCCCAGAGCCCCTACCTGAATCCCGGTGAATCCCTCACCCCCATGACTGTCATCAGACCAAAGGGGAGGTTAGAAAGGTGAAAAGGGAGACCTGGGTTTTGTTTAATGTTTTATCAAAGTGTAACAATGATTCTATTTCAACATGTTATATAGTCTATTCTTTTTAAAGTTTTACAAATTTGTAAATAATTATTCTAAAATGCTGCTTCTCGTGGCTGTAAGACAAAAAAAATGCCATACCCCACCCCCACCCACCAAATGAGCTGCTTTGCTATATGCAATAAGTGTGTCTGAAAAACCACTCTTTTTGCTTTTTGGTTAAAAAAATAATATTTCCCATTTCTTAAAATGTTTGATGTTTCAGTAAGTTCTATAGTTAATTTTTGTTGAAACCCACAAATGGATCCATGAAAAAGATAGTTCACTGATTATCTTTGGTGGTGAGGGGCCTCTGAGAATTTCAAATGAGATAGTGGAAATTGCTTTGAAAACTGTAAAGAATTATACAAAACTAAGGTACTATTTTGATTTGGTGACAGTACAAAGAACAGCAACGAAAATATTTGCATTTTGGTCTTGTCTAAAGAAGTGCACAGATGTTTTGTTGGGATGTATTGAAAAGGAGGAGTAAAGAAACACCCACCTCTTAACCCCACGAATGAGAAAATATTTGAAGTCCAGTCGTATTTTCTTTCAGTACTAAGAAGATGTCATGCTCTTTCTTGCTTCGATGCATTTCCACATGTAGTTTCTCTGCTTGGACACTCCAAACCTCCATCTCTTCACTTGGTTACCATCTTCTTTAGTCTCAGCTTAGGCGTCAGTTGAAGGCATGGGTTGATGAGGCTCCTGTGGAACTGGAGGCTAAGCCAGTGCTTTATGTCTGTTTTGTTGTGAGTGTAACATAAAGACAGGACATTTGGGAAACTCTTAACAGAATAAACTAATTCCAATAAAGCACTAGCTCAAGAGACAAGTGACCATGAGAATGTAATCGTTGTCTCCTTGCTCAGATTCTCCTTCCCACCCTGGAATTTGCTACGTGTTTCTGGAGAACTTGGTCATCTCCAGCATCTGGGATAGGGGTTTGAGCCGAACTTCTGTAGATTTTAGGGAGCTTGGGAAACCTCAGCTGATATCTGGAATACATGAGCACAACAAGAAGAGGTGAAGCTTCTGTCAGGAGGTTACTTTACAGAGAGGTGGGGGAAGAGAAGAGAAGATGATTACTTTCATTTATGGCACAGTTTAGCACACACAGAGATGCCTGGATGCTATTTAGGTGATTCATTGGTTTGTCCTATCCATCTACCTCTCTGGATCACAGATTCACAATGTTTTATAGTTGTAAGGTCTGCTGGACTCCTCACACAAACAATCACCTTTTTTATAGATGAAAGACAAATTTATAGACAAAAGGACAAATAGCATGGTTGGATGTATCTTCTTATAGCCCTAGTAATCTTCCTGGAAAATTCAAATCTATAAAAACCCCTTCCCAATGTACCAACAATACAGAATCAACACTATTATATCCAATTTGCTACAGGGCTCACTCACATAGTATACTTGTGGCATATATAATCCAGTAAAGGCATTTGGACATGCCATTGTCCTCATTAGCTTTTATTTTAGAAGAAATTGAGCTGATGTCTGTAGAAATAAAATGCCAGTAAATGAGTGCATTTGGTAATTCTGTTCCCTCCTTGCTAATTTTTAAAGACGTCCTGTGCTTCACACGTGACTTATTTCTCCATCAAAGCCTTGTTTTTAAAAATAATGTTAAGGAATATGATTCATTTAAACTATGATATTAACATAAAAGCTTGAACAAGCAAACTTTATAGAGAAAGTTATGTTTCGAAGCTTCTACTGAATAATTCTGAAAAATGTGCTTTGTTTTATATGTTTCAGAACATATAAAGATATGTTTAGAAGCTTCTACTGAATAGTTCAGAAAAATGTGCTTTGCAAAATCTATTGAACTACCTGGTGGTTGTTGCACCTGGTAGGATATTTCTTCCTCTGCTTGAGGGCAGTTAGAAAGGGGTGTGGGGGAAGGACTGGGTATCAAACTTGAAGATAGCACCCCAGGACATTCAGTCACTAGTGAGATTCTTCAGTTGGCAAAATGGACAGGCACTATCAATTTAACTCAAAAGAGTTGCCATACTTTAAGAAATTGCAACAGTAAAAGAAAAATTAGCTAAGATTCCTAATGTCAACAGATGGGGAGTGCTCATGATAGAGAATGTAACATTTGTTCCTTAAACCCCACAACTAGAGAGTTTCTGTAATTGGAGTAAAATTAACTCATACATACTTAAAATAACAGCATTCAACCTGAGTCCTGAGAAACACTCTTTATAGCAAACAGTAGGACTGGCCTTTGCAAATCATCCTCACAATAATCATTTGTTCATGGGCTCGCAAGTCGGAAGAACGGGGTTTCGGTTCTAGCTCCACTCTTCAGTAACTGTGTGACTCTAGACGCCAGCTAACTTCTCTAAGCCGTCACTTCTCCGTCTATCATATGGGGATAATTATAGTATCTACTTCATCTATAAGTGTGTGGTTAATAATAGTGCCTACTTCATAGAGTTGTTTTGAGATTTCAGACAATAAATGTAAAGCATTCAGAACAGTATATATTTAGCAAGGTCTCAATAATATTAGCTATTGTAATCTTTTCAATATCCTAAATTTACAAATCAGCAAACTGAAGCTCAGAGAGCCTGAGGGCTACAAATTATGAAAGTAACAGAGCAGGGAATAAAACCCGGAGATACCTGATGCCAAAGTACATGTTCTTTTCCACGTCACCATATTGTTGCCATGTATACGGGTCAAAATAAAATTAGAAAAACAATCAGATCATTGTGCTGGTTAGGCGCATGAAGGAGAAGAACAAGAGGGCTGGTTCTGGTGAGGTCATTTCAGCTGATGATTTAGGATATGTTTGTGGGAATGAGTTAAGACAGTGAAATAAAAGTGATCACATTTTGAAAATTATTTAAAATTTCATCCTATCTGGGGGTACACAATATAGAATTGCAAAAAAAAGTCTGTTAATATTCTGCTTCTTAATTTTCTAATTTTTAAAATGAATAGACCAAATCATCTTTTAGCATCCTTTCACATTGAAATATTTGACTCAGTTATATAGTTAGCATTAGATTTTGTCTGATCTAAGCTTCTGTCTTTTGTATTCTAAATGAATCCTTGCTACCTTATCCATGAATATTGATTTTCTTTCTAAACATATAAACTATGACAACTATTAAAAGAGTTAAAGAGATAAAGCAGTATCAGTCCTGCTCTCAGGAATACCACATCCCAGTAAAAAGAGCAAGGTATGCACATAAAACTTCTAATCCCAGGTAGAAAGTGATCGTGTATCCTCTGAAGATACAAGTAAAATGCTGCTGGAATCCAAACATTACTTCTGGTTGGGGAATTAGGAAAGAACTTGGAAGATGTGGGGTTTGGATAGGGTCTAGAATTTGGATGCGCGGAAATGGAGGAGAAAAGAGAGATCTCGATCAAGTTGGGGGAACATAAAATACTTAGGTGAGCCACAACAGCTTTGCTGGAGTGTAGGGATACAGAAGAAGAGGTGGGAGGTGGGGAGCAACTTCCCAGTAGCCAAGTGCTCCTGCTGGAGTGTAGGGATACAGAAGAAGAGGTGGGAGGTGGGGAGCAGCTTCGCAGTAGGTAAATGCTCCTGCTGGAGTGTAGGGATAACAGAAGAGGTGGGAAGTGGGGAGCAGCTTCGCAGTAGGTAAGTGCTCCCTGATGCGGGCTGTGGGGCCAGGCTGAGCACTGGACTGTAGCTTGGAGCAATGGGCAGCCGTTGAGAGTTTTAAGCAGAGGATGACCACCCCAGAGCCCTGTTTTTAGAAGGAAAATCTGACAGCAGATTATTTGGCAGGGAAAAAGAAAAAGGGAGGTCAACTAGTAAGGAATTGCCGTCATTCCTGTCTAAATCACTGAAGGGACAAATCTCCATCTTTGCTTGGTAGACTTGGTGGCATCCTTGTTCACCTATTAGTGTGCTTATTGAATTAATAAATAATAGTTTAGGCTGGGTGCAGTGGCTCATAGCTATAATCCCAGCACTCTGAGAGGCTGAGGCAGGCGGATCACAAGGTTAAGAGACCGAGACCATCCTGGCCAACATGGTGAAACCCCATCTCTACTAAAAATGCAAAAATTAGCTGGGCGTGGTGGCAGGCACCTATAATCCCAGCTACTCGGGAGGCTGAGGCAGGAGAATCACTTGAACCTGGGAGGTGGAAGTTGCAGTGAGCAGAGGTCGCGCAACTGCACTCCAGCCTGGTGACAAGAGAACTCCATCTCAAAAAAACACTAATAAATAAATAAAATATAAAATAAGATAAATAAATAATAGTTTGTTTGGAAAAATATGGAAAAATGCTCTGCTGACCCATAATAGAATCTAATATACTTGAGTTGACAAGAATTAGAGTAATCCTGACAAAAATATAATACTATTATAGAACACAGATTAAGTAACAGGAATGTTTTTGTCCACATGACCAAAACTATAATCCAGTACATTAAAATATCCATGTTATTGGCAGAGTGGCCCTGTTTTATGTTTTATTTTCACTTATTTCCACATATTCAATCAAAACTCCAATATATTTTACATCCAAGCTTATGCTAGGAAGTATGATACTCTGGTCAAACAATACCGTAATTACATAGCCTCAAAAAACTTACACAAAGTCTTTCAAAGAAAGTTTCTTCCACAATCCATTGTAAAATGATTTGGCGAGTCTTTTTGCAAAATGTCTTCCCTGCTTCAGTTCAGTTTTGGGTGTGTGTGTAGTCGGACTAAATTAAATAAAACTAGACTGAGTTAATCATGTAAGCATTAATTAGCACAAGTCTTCATTGATGACTATAAAGCATCCTTGTAAACGTGACTACATTTAACAGGTCTCTTCTCCTTACATGGCTTTTCTGATATTATTAACATGACTAAAACATATCGTTTTCTACTTACCCCGGGAGTCTTGGCACATGGTAATTTGCAAGCTTGTATTAGAGCTTTACAAAATTATCTACTCTTTATGTAATGGATTGTGATTGCATTTTTTTCCCCTTCGCTTAGGTTTCTACCAAGAAACTACTAAGTTTTCATATCTTTTGTTATAAGACTGACAATCTTGGAAAGAGGGAGAGATCTGTACCCCCATACCTCCCTTAGAGCTGAAGAGACATTTCCTCTCTTAGAGAAATGCCTCACTCATCCCATTTTTACCTGCCCTTTCATCGTGAGCCACAGGCCTTGAGCAAAAGAAAGGGACGACTATGAAAGTGGTTACTAGGGAATGCCTTCAACAGTGAAGGCCTAGGAGTAGATGCTTCTGAAGCTGAACAGCTTGTCAATCTTGCTTCTCCATGGCCACTGACACTCACGTGGAGGCCTGGAAGGGCCACAATACAAGTAGATAAAAAGTTATGTCCTCTTACCTGATTCAATCAAGTCTACTTGCTGACTGATTATTAGAGACGAGAAATTGGAAAGTCATAAAAAAGTGATGCTTACATACCTTTATATTTTATTATTCACCCAGCTATTTAATTGTTAATTTTTTATAGGAGACCAGATCCATTTTTGAATGTGGGTTCCCAGATTGAGGATCCACTTTTTTTTCATAAGCCACACTCATAATACATCTACAATTTTAGAACTATTATTTCTTCAGGCTGAATGACAACTTAACACCGCCCCAGCAATATAGATGTAGAATCCTACGGAACATTCCTCCCCATGCCAGTTGGGGTTTGTTGTCGTTGTCTTACCCACATGTAATCAACAGTGATACAGTTTATATTGAAAAGACTTCAAAATAATTTTTATTAGTTTTTGTGGAAGCAACTCTCCTTTTTTGTACTCATATTTCATCACTTTATTAAACAGCTAATTAGCATATATAATTATAGTAATAAGTGAAATTGGAATAAACAATCTTAGGAAAAAATACACGTAGCACTTAATATGCATAGGCCCCAACTTATGAGGGTAAAATTGCACAGTGGCATGGAGTAGAGTTGACCAGCTACAGGGTCTCAGCATGACAGGGCAGTCCTGTTGAACAGAGGAAGTGGAGATTATCAGATAATTGTTGGGTCAATTAACTAGAGGTTGATTAAGTAAGCTTATTCTTTGCAATTTTGTCAGCAGTGTGTTCTTAGTGAACCTCTAAGACAGTAACTAATTTCAAGTTCATGTAATATATATGAGGTATTTTGATCCTGTGCAGTTTCCAAAAATAAAGTTTCTTTTGCCTTTAAATAATTGAGACATTTCAATTATTGTAGCTGAGAACTAATAATTATCATTATTGGGCACTCACAACAGATACTGTGTTAAGTGTTTTTAATAATTGTTGTATTTCATCCTTTTAATAACACTTTGAGTTTGGTGCTGTTACTATCAGCATGAGCAGGTGTGGAAGCTGAGCCTCAGAGCTGTAAGGTAACTTATCACGGGGTCTCACAGGTAACAGGCAAGTATCATGAATCAAAATTTAGGTCTCTCTCACTCTAAAGTCTTAGCTGTTCATCAGTATGCTATTTCTCACTATTGTTTCATTGTTTGTTTATTTTTTAAAATAATCTGAAGCTTTTGGTCCATTTAAGGGATTTTTAGCCTGCTCAACATTGTCTGCTTTGTCATCGCTCCTGCCCTGAAGAATCTTGAACTTCTTTCTAGAGCCAGCACTGATTTCTAAGTTTAAATCATCAGTGCTTCATAACTGAATAGTTTAACGTCACACTTGTTTTTTAACAGTCTGAGGTTTCTTAAATGGCAAGAGCCAAATCAGAGAAAATCTCTGATTGTCTCCCCTGCCTTCCAGTTTGATATGGCTTTGATATGTGTCCCCTCCAAATATTGAAATGGGATCCCCAAAGTTTGAGGTAGGGCCTGGTGGAAGGAGTGTGGGTCGTGGGGGCAGATCCCTCATGAACGGCTTGGTGCCCCCACGATAATGAGTTCACCTGAGATCTGGTTGTTCGAAAGAGTCTGGGACCTCCCTCCTCTCACTCTTGCTCCCTCTCACCATGTGACACACCTGCTCCCCATTTGCCTTCTACCATGATTCTAAGCCTCCTGAGCCCCTCACCAGAAGCGGATGCTGGCGCCATACTGGTACAGCCTGCAGAACCGTGAATCAGTTAAACCTCTTTTCTTTATAAATTATCCAGCCTGAGGTTCTCCTTGATAGCAATACAAAATGGACTAACACACAGCCTTTACAAAAATAATGCATACTGTCATGCCTTTTAGAGTCCTAACGAGTCTCACCTACTCTCAGCCTTATCCCAGAACAGCCTGTTGACAACACAGTTGTCAAGAGTAATTCTACTCAAGTTTAAGTTAAACCATACTGTTTTCCAAAGAGGTTGCACTAATTTACATTCCTGTCGACAGTGTATGAGTTCCCTTTTCTCTGCATCCACTCCAAAATCTGTTATTTTATGTCTTTTTGGTAATAGCCATTCTAGCTGGCATGAGATGCTATCTCATTGTGGTTTCAATTTGCATTTCTCTGATGATTAGTGATGTTGAACAGTTTTACATATGCCTGTTGGCTATTTGTATGTCTTCTTTTGAAAAGTAGCTGCTCATGTCCTTGGTCCATTTTTAGGCCGCATGACATCTCTCCTTAGGTTGTCTAGTGGCTTCCAGCCTCACATGCTCCTGCCTCAGGACTTCTGCATTTGCTGGTGCCTTACTTGAAATCCACTTTTCCCACTACTCCCTCACTACATTCATTTTTTTGGGTTCTAATGTTATCCTTTCACTGATATCTTCAGCTGGCCACCCTATTTAATACTGCAACCTCCCCAGATTTTCTGTCCCCCTTCCCACTTACTATACTATATGTTTCTCCATAGTACTTATCACCTTCTGATAGTATATATCGTTTACTCATTTCTATTTACTCATTTACGGTGTGTTAGGATACTTATCGCGGAGTGAAATGTGTGCTCTGTGCCTCTGATGAACCCTCAGAGCCCAAGCCTGTGCCCAGCACAGAGTGGTCCTCTACCTTTTGTTGGATGAATGATTAAAAGAAGGAATGAGGACTTCAATTAAAATATATTACATAATCATGATATATGTGAGTGGAAACGTGAACATATTTAAAAGCATTTGTGAAAGTAGGTGGTTTGAGGATCAGTCATTTAGACCTAAAATTTAAGATAGAAGAATAAATTTATAAGACAAAATAGTATTTTGCTTTGACAATTCAAAGTTGTTATTTAATCATGGGAAGCCTTTTTTTTTTTTTTTTTTTTTTTTGGAGATGGAGTCTTACTCTGTCATCAGGCTGGAGTGCAGTGGCGCAATCTTGGCTCACTGCAACATTCGCCTCCCAAGTTCAAGTGATTCTCCTGCCTCAGCCTCCTGAGTAGCTGGGACTACAGGTGCCCGCCACCATGCCAGGCTAATTTTTGTATTTTTATTAGAGACAGGGTTTCACCATATTGGCCAGGTTGGTCTCGATCTCTTGACCTCGTGATCCACCTGCTTTGGCCCCCAAAAGTGCTGGGATTACAGGCGTGAGCCGCCATGCCCGGCAGGAAAGCTTTAAAAATGTTTTTTCATGTAGTGATAGAATAAAGACAAGTGTCTCTGAATGTGTGTGTGTATGTATACATATATATATATGTGTATACATACACACACACACAAATTATTTATAATTTTACACATACATATATACACACACACGTACACAGATATACATCTCTACAGTAGAATCTTAGGAAGTAGATTCTCAGGTTTTATTCAACAAAAACCACCACAGTACTCTGTCCCTGTAGTAGTTTTATAACCTGCCAAGCCAACTCCATCTAAGTCTGTTACAATTAAGGGACAAAGAACAGCTCCAAATGAACCGTATCAAGTAGTTCTTCAACTGAAATCTTGTCTAGGAAGGAATTACATCAACCTGTTCTTTGTTTTTTTTTTTGCGATGGAGTCTCTGTTGCACAGGCTGGAGTGCAGTGGCACGATCTCGGCTCACTGCAACCTCTGCCTCACAGGTTCAAGCAATTACCTGCCTCAGCCTCCTGAGTAGCTGAGATTACAGGTGCCTACCACCACGCCTAGCTAAATTTTTTTTTGTATTTTTAGTAGAGACAGGGTTTCACCGTGTTGGCCAGGCTGGTCTTGAACTCCTGACCTCATAATCTACTACCTCGGCCTCCCAAAGTGCTAGGACCACAAGTGTGAGCCACCGCACCCGGCCAGCCTGTTCTTAAAGTCTTGAGAGGCTTAGGAGGTCAGGTTGATTAAATTACACAGCTGAAAGAAACTTTTTCAATCATGATCTCTGTATGAGTTTCTATGAGAAGTACAGAGACAAAAAATACATCAGCAAAGCCTTCACTTGGCCCAGAACAGTGTCACATGTCAGCTAGATTAGTAGACATGGAAATGTTTTACCCATTGTGGCTATTTAGAAGAAATATTCTGCTTTTCTGTTATATTTTTTTGTCATAATAGCTCTTACTCATTTGGCAGGATGGATACATCAAGTATAATTTTAAGGTCACAATTAAGGGGGGGATTTTCACTCAGAGCAATCCAACTGTTTCCACATCTGTAATATTAATAAAAGGATTTGAACTAGAGAATCTGCAGTTCCTTTCAGAGTATGATGCTAACAAATCTCAGAATTCATAATTTGTCTAATATCATAGATTTTTGGGGGCTTAAATTATGACCTCTAATGCTAGACACATGATAGTCCTGCTCATAATTCATCATAAACTTTAATTGGTTTGTAAGGTGATCTTTGGAAAATTAGGAAGCTAACAGATAGTCTCAGCTGTTTCATCTTGCTAGTTTGCTAACTACATTGGGCAACCTGGCCAGAGAGACTTCTTATAAATCATTTTTTTCCAAGCAAGCAGGTGAACAAATGAAGCTAGAGAATAAATATCTAGAAGGTTTTATACAAAAGAAAACTGCATTCTGTTGAAAATGTAAATTTTTGTAGCTTATGTTCAGTTTTGCCTCTGGAGAGTCAGAGAAAATAACAATGTCTATTTAATCCAGTATAAAAAAGAGAGTGTAGCTCATTCAGGTTTTCAGTTAGTGGTAGTAAGGAATAGGGTATACTGAGTTGTGCATATTTCTATTAGTTTGTGTCAGCTTCTAAAATTTTATGAGCAATCATTAAAGAAAGAGTCTTGAAAATGGGTCAACAAATTTAGTGTTTTCTTGAAAGATGTTACGGATTTTTAAAATTTTTTAAATGATCGTGACTGCTTCACTGGATTTGTGTTCCTGGAGTTAGTCTCATGTAGGACTGCTAGGATGCTCTTGGGGGGAAGTTGGATTGCTTTCTTCACTCTTGTCTTTTTGACTAGGAAATAATCTTGATTTGCTATCCTGAACCAGTGAAGTCCCTGGCTACCATTTCCTCCATCCATGTCCAGCTTCTTACCAAGCAGACACATAAGAGACCTAGATTTTAAGCAGCCTTTAACTCGAGTTATCTTTTGTAAATCTCAGTTGTGCAGAGTTGAGTTGGAGAGTGGAGAAATTAACATGCCTCTTTCTAGATCTCTTTTCTACCAGCGTTGTGCAAAAGCATAGAGCTGTAAAGTGGAGGTGTTCAGGTCTTCCCTGGACGTCTATAGCTTTCACACAGAGCTCCTCTCTTTTCGTCTTCACACCACTGCCTTTTCCTCTCCAGGTTGTTTTTTTTTTTTCTGGGAGATGGAGTCTCGCTCTATCTCGCTCTGCACTCAGGCTGGAGTGCAGTGGTGCGATCTCAGCTCACTGCAAGCACTGCCTCCTGGGTTCAAGCGACTCTCCTGTCTCCGCCTCCTGAGTAGCTGCAACTACAGGTGTGCGCCACAACGCTTGGCTAATTTTTTTGTATTATTATTAGAGATGGGGTTTCACCATGTTAGCTAGGATGGTCTTGATCTCCTGACCTCGTGATCTGCCCGCCTCGGCCTCCCAAAGTGCTGGGATTACAGATGTGAGCCACTGCTCCCGGCCCCAGTTCTTTCCATTCTGAAATTCCAGCCTTCCCGCTTGTGCCAGATGCACTACTGCATTTCTTAGGGTTCACTAAATGGTAACTCTACCTTTATATTTTGTCAATTGTTGCATTGCCTATCACTGATTGTAAATGCAAATCATCCTACCTCTAAGTAAAGGGGTCATGGTTTCATTTCTGGGTGTGGAAGGGACAAGAATGAACATTGGATTTCTCCTCCAATCACTCACTACTTGGAATTAATTCAAATTTACTCTATTAAGTCCCATTCATCACATTCTTAAAGACTCTGCTAAAGACCTACCTTGTCCAAAAAGCATTCTCCACCCATCTCTCTCAAATTCTTTAGATTCCTTTAGCACTTTTCATACTACTTAAATATTTGCTCATATTTTCTAGTATTTTTACATACAAATATTGTATTTCTGCATACATAAGTTTAAATCAAGGAAAGAAACTTTGTTCTCTCATGTGGAAATTTACGTTTAGAATCACAGAGTACTAGATGTGCAATTACTGTAGAGATCATCCAGTTCAATGGCCTCATTGCAATGATGAATAAATGGAATCATTTTACAGCCTCCCATTAACATATAACACAATGTACACAGTAAACATGCAACAAGCACTTCTGAATAAATGGAGTTCAGCTGCTCATTTAACTGCTCTCATTACCTTGACATGGTTGGCAGCATTTATTAAGTGCCCACCTCTATGCGCGACAGTGCTAGAAGCTAAGCAAATGGAATGGAAGTGAGGCCATCACAGTGTGAGGCAGATAACCCAGAAGCAGACAACTCTATTAAAGTCATAAGCCTAGTGGGGCGGTGGGAAGGGATCGGGGGCGGCTGCGGCATGCCTGCAATGAAGTGGTTCCTGAAGACGAAATTTCTAGTGGGATGGGGCGCAAGTTTCAAGGAATCTGCCAGTCCTCTGCAAACTAGTAAAATACCAATTTAATTCAAAGGGTAAGAGTTTGGAAGTTGAATAATAGTCCTGAAGCAGCCGGGACACTATGCTAATAATTGGCTAAGTCCAGGATCAATTCTCTTGAGAGACCGTATTCTAAATTATATTTACATTCCTAATTAGTTCTATTCTTTCCTATAACATGATTCTTCCAAGACATTTCTTCCCATTGTTGAATCTTTAACATGTATTCATGGTTGTTAGAGAAAATATCTTTATTGAAGGTTGTGTGCCTCATGTTGGAAGCATGTAATTTAAATATTAGATTGGTGCAAAAGTGATTGCGGTTTTTGCCATTTACTTTCAATGGCAAAAAATGCAATTATTTTTGCACCAACCTATATTTAATTTAAAAATAAAGTTAATTGCTCTTTGGACTAAGAGGGAAAATGTCTGAAGTTATGCTCAGTAGATGGGAATGAATGATTACCCACATTTATATAACCAGTTTATTTCCTAGGAGAAGTAAACTTTAGAGTTTGAAAATGCAAAGAAAGGCAAAATCGAGGTAGGAAGCTATTTCAGACAACAGGCAGTGAGTAGAAATAGCTAAGATGTCTAGTTGGGGAATAAGCGACTGAGTCAATGCAAATGTCTAGCAATGAGACAGGCAGAATATTTGGGATACAAAGCAAATGCTAGGTACTCTGAAAAGATGTAATGGTAAAAATTTAAGTGTATTACTGGGTACAAAGATAGAATAAATTAGATCTAGTGTTTGATATCACAACAGGGTGACTATAGTCAATAATAATTTAATTGTACATTTAAAAATAACTAAAAGAGTATAATTGGATTGTCTGTAACACGAAAGTTAAATAGTTGAGGTGATGGATACCCTGTTTTGTGATGATTACACACTGTATGCCTGTATCAGAATATCTCACCTACCCCATAAGTGTATATACCTACTCTGTAGTTGGAACCAAAATGCAGGTTTAGTCCCTTGCCACTTGCAGAGTCCAGTTAAAAAGAGTGAGGTCTGGTATAAAGAAAATGACTTTTTTTTTTTTTTTCCAAAGCTACCTTTGGGGAAGAAGCACAGGTTCCTACCATAAGGGTACTGCTTCCCTTTTGGAGCACAGAGTGGGCCCTTTTAAAGGGGGGACCTATGGGAGATGGAAGGGAGCAGGTAAGAGGGCTGCGTACTTACTTTGGTGCCTTATCTACCGGGCATTCGAGTTGGCTTCTTCATGGGCAGAAACAGGCTGTAAATGCAGCCAAAAACTCTAGCAGGCATATGCTGGGTTGTCAATCAACTGTTATCTCCCAAGGCAACCTCCTGATGGGTGAGGGTTCTGCTCTGGAGATGAACTTGCCCTGTAAGGAGTGCCTGGTAAATGGGAGATAAGAGGCTATAATTGCATTTCTAAAGAGCTAAGTAAGAAGTGAGGAAAAGGAGGAGAGGAAAAAGAAGAGAGAGAAAAATAATAAGCTATCTCTTAGAAAAATGGGATACTCAGTCACATACCTACAAAAATTAATAATTAAAAATTTTAAGTGTAATACGCATTTACAAAAAATTCAAACACTCTGTAAAAGTATTTAGAAGAAAGTGAAAGTCTCTTTTCTCACATTTCATTTGAACTCCCCAGAAATTAACATTTGTTATCAGAATCGTTTGATTCTTTTTCAAAAATTCTCATGAATATCTTCATGTCTACTTCCTTTCTGTCTTTCTACCCATCTATCCATCCACCTTTCTTTATTTTAACCTATCTACAGCTATAGATATTAATCTATTTACCTTCATGTTTCTGAAGCTATGGGTGTATAGAGTTTTAACATAAGTGCAACCATTATACACTTCATTCTGAAACTTTCCTTTTTGTCTTAGAAATTAGCAACATATATGGACATTTTTCCAAATAAACAACTGTATTCTATTTTACTTTTTTCCAGCTGCAAAATATTACATCACATGAGTATACAACATTTTTAATTTAATTACTTTCTTACTAATAGACATTTAGGTTATTTCAAGGTTTGTTAAAATTGACTTCCCTGGTATTTATCTTTGTAATAGATTCAGAGCATTTAAAGCCTCCTCATAGGAGTATTGAGGGAAGGTTTCAAGAAGGGCATCTAGTGAGGGGAGAAATGAGTAAACATGGTTTAATCAGATGGAATATTGAATGCAATCAGAGTCAGAGCCACACTGCATAGTAATATACACATAGAAAAATCCTTACCATATTCAAACATGTTTAGTTAAAGCCATGAAAGTTCATGAAATTTTCTGTATTTAAAATCCACTTAACACTGATTATAAAATTCAAGTCATCATTCTGGATATTATTAGTTATTATGTTTAAGTTCGAATGAGAGGGATTTATACAGAAGTAACATTTTTGTCTTGGCAAGATTTTTTTGTAACCAGAGGCAGCAATGAGAATGTTCAGGAACTGAGCTGTGTACTAAATCATTCTCTACTTAATTGTTTGTCAGAGCTTCCCAAACCACCAATGATTCTCTTCCTCGAGTCTTGTAATTCCTGCAGACTTTAAGACAGGACACTAATTCCAGTTTCAAAAAGCTAATTTACGATACCTTCCCAATTTATTTATAGTCCACTCCAAACCTGTAAGTCAGGATAAAGCTGCTGATCTCTCTCATAGGAATGGTATAAAGACAATGGTGAGAGGTGACAGCGTGCTGGCAGTCCTCAGAGCCCTCGCTTGCTCTCGGCGCCTCCTCTGCCTGGGTTCCCCCTTTGGCGGCACTTGAGGAGCCTTTCGGCCCGCCGCTGCACTGTGGGAGCCCCTTTCTGGGCTGGCCAAGGCCAGAGCCGGCTCCCTCAGCTTGCAGGGAGGTGTGGAGGGAGAGGCGCAAGCAGGAATTGGGGCTGCACACAGCGCTTGCGGGCCAGCTGGAGTTCTGGGTGGGCGTGGGCTTGGCGGGCCCCGCACTCGGAGCAGCCAGCCAGCCAGCCCTACTGGCCCCGGGCAATGGGGGACTTAGCACCCGGGCCAGTGGCTGCGGAGGGTGTACTGAGTCCCCCAGCAGTGCCGGCCCACCGGCGCTCAGCTCGATTTCTTTTTTTTTTTTTTTTTTTTTGAGACGGAGTCTCGTTCTGTCGCCCAGGCCGGACTGCGGACTGCAGTGGCGGAATCTCGGCTCACTGCAAGCTCCGCTTCCCGGGTTCACGCCATTCTCCTGCCTCAGCCTCCCGAGTAGCTGGGACTACAGGCGCCCGCCACCGCCCCCGGCTAATTTTTTGTATTTTTAGTAGAGACGGGGTTTCACCTTGTTAGCCAGGATGGTCTCGATCTCCTGACCTCATGATCCACCCGCCTCGGCCTCCCAAAGTGCTGGGATTACAGGCGTGAGCCACCGCGCCCGGCCTCAGCTCGATTTCTTGCCGGGCCTTAGCTGCCTTCCCACGGGGCAGGGCTCGGGACCTGCAGCCTGCCATGCCTGAGCCTCCCACCCACTCCATGGGCTCCTGTGCAGCCCGAGCCTCCCCGACGAGCACCACCCCCTGCTCCATGGCGCCCAGTCCCATTGACCACCCAAGGGCTGAGGAATGCGAGCACAGGGTGCAGGACTGGCAGGCAGCTCCACCTGCAGCCCCAGTGTGGGATCCACTAGGTGAAGCCAGCTGGGCTCTTGAGTCTGGTGGGGAAATGAAGAATCTTTATATCTAGCTCAGGGATTGTAAATACACCAATCGGCACTCTGTATCTAGCTCAAGGTTTATAAACACACCAATCAGCACCCTGTGTTTAGCTCAAGGTTTGTGAGTGCACCAATTGACACTCTGTATCTAGCTGCTCTGGTGAGGACGTGGAGAACCTTTTAATGTCTAGCTCAAGGATTGTAAATACACCAATCGGCACTCTGTATCTAGCTCAAGGTTTGTAAATACACCAATCAGCACCCTGTGTTTAGCACAAGGTTTGTGAATGCACCAATCGACACTCTGTATCTAGCTGCTCTGGTGAGGACGTGGAGAACCTTTATGTCTAGCTCAAGGATTGTAAATACACCAATCGGCACTCTGTATCTAGCTCAAGGTTTGTAAACACACCAATCAGCACCCTGTGTTTAGCTCAAGGTTTGTGAATGCACCAATCGACACTCTGTATCTAGCTGCTCTGGTGGGGCCTTGGAGAAACCTGTGTGTCGAAACTCTGTATCTAGCTAATCTGATGGGGACCTGGAGAACCTTTGTATCTAGCTCAGGAATTGTAAACGCACCAATCAGGCCCTGACAAAACAGGCCACTCAGCTCTACCAATCAGCAGGATGTGGGTGGGGCCAGATAAGAGAATAAAAGCAGGCTGCACGAGCCAGCATTGGTAACCCGCTCGGGTCCCCTTCCACACTGTGGAAGCTTTGTTCTTTCCCTCTTTGCAATAAATATTGCTACTGCTCACTCTTTGGGTCCACGCTGCTTTTATGAGCTGTAACACTCACCGCGAAGGTCAGCAGCTTCACTCCTGAGCCAGCGAGACCACGAACCCACCAGAAGGAAGAAACTCCGAACACATCTGAACATCAGAAGGGACAGACTCCAGACGCGCCACCTTAAGAGCTGTAACACTCACCGCGAGGGTCCGAGGCTTCATTCTTGAAGTCAGTGAGACCAAGAACCCACCAATTCCGGACACAATGGCATGAAGACAATGTGGTAATATTTGTAAAAAAATCTGCATATTACAAATGTTTAATAGTGAATTTCAACTATTTTAGCTATGTAGAAAATGATGAGTTTCAAAATGGGGAAAGAAAATCAATTTTTCTTTTTAGATTATTGAAGTAATCCTTAAACATTATTAGTCTTGTGAGTGTGGTACTCACAAAGGGGCATGGGATAGAGGCAGGTGTCTCTCCACGCCCATGGGGTGTGCAACTGGCCTCTTTGTGCTGCCTAGAAAAGAGAAGGGACTGAGCAGGGGAAAAGGACAGAAGATGTGAAGGAGGCCATTCGGACAAGCATCAGAAAGAGAGCAGTGGGTTGGGGACAGCATTGGTCTATTTTTCAGGAGGGTGGATAGATCCAGGCCAATGCTTCTCACTCTCTCATTTGCACGTGTGTCACCTGTGGTCTTATGAAAATACAGATTCTGATTCAGTAGTTCTGCATTTCTAACACACTCCCAGGTGATGCCAATGCGCCATACTTTAACTAGCAGGGCAGTCTAAGTATTCATGGGAAGATTAGCCATGAGAATGGGCGGCACAGCTCTGATGGAAGCCGTCGATTCACATGAGGCTGGACAATTTCATCTGGGGCTGGTACTCATTCATGGCTTCAAGGGATTGCAAGCACAGTTCTAAACATGTTATTAAATATTCAGCAATTTCTGTTAATGTTGGAATGTTAATTTCAGATGCCAAAAACCGTATTTGGCAAACAGTATGAGAAAATGGGTGAAGGATGAGCTTTCAGTTCTCAGAACGCTATTTTAGTCTAGAGTTATGATGCCAATTTATAGGCTCTTGAGGATGGGTGGGAAGTGAATTGGAGGAAACCGGGAAGAAAAAGGGCAAGAGAATGGAGAGAACTGGAAGAAAGTGACCCCCAAATGTCTATAATATTTTGTTCAATCATAGCAGAAATGTTAGTAGCTCTTCATAAAGATTAATAACTTGTTAACAAACAAGTGTTCATTACATCTGCCTAAACAAGTGAATTTCATCAGAATAAAAAATTATTCATGTTCATTCTTCTCAAGTGTGATGTCAAATTACTGATTTAATGCAATCTTTCACTTTAAAAAGGTTTTCACCTCATTTTGGCAAAGTCATATACTTTTTAAGTTTAGATTGCTTCAAACAGGGAGGACCACAGAAATCACGTCACAAGGAGCTACGGTTCTTCCATATTCTGTCATGTCACCTGCTAGTGTGATAGCTAAAAATGTCATGCAAGCTGTGTCTAAATATCCATCAAGGCCTGGTGTTTCCTAATTGTGAGAAAGCATGTTTTTTCTTTACCTGAATAATACTCAGAGAATTTCAAAATGATTGGGTTTTTTAAGATAAAAGAAACATACTGACATCAAAATGTTCTATTTCAAAAACTTTGTTTAATATTTCTTTTTGGCCTGGTGGATTTTGAAATTAACTTTCATGTTTTGACCAAAGAATGGTGTGTCCCTCAGCCTGACCCCTGCTATCATCAGGCATGACTATACTTGTTGCTTTCCATACATAATTGCATTTGAAAAACTAGGCTTAATGTCTTGAACTTGGGCCAAAGTGTTGAAAGATGTAAACATCAGATAATTTGGCTTTAAAGCAGTGCCACTTTCTTCTTCCATTCTGCCCTGTTTCTCAATATGTTCACTCTTCTCGGATTCTTCTGGTAGCATAATTAAAATGTCGTACACCATTTCCAAGCACATTTAGCTCCTTTGAGAAGTTAAAATATTGAAGCTGGGAAATGTACCGAAAACATGTTTAATTTTCTCCCCACTTTTGAACTAGATAGGAAGCAGTCAGTCAACACTGACTTATTGGACTTTTACTGGGTGCTGTGAGTAGATTATATGCACAAGTGTTGAAAAACTCTGAAACATGTATCCGGTTTGGAGAAGATGATCTACTAATGCTTCTACAAAGGAAAGAGTCCTTTTGATGTCAGTGAAAATTCAGATAGGATGACAAGTGAGAAGCTGACCCATAGTTAATAGCTAATACACAATTTAAATAGTCCCTAAAACTCAATAATAAAAAATTTAAAAAGTAAAAATTAAAATTAACATGGCCATTAAATTGTTTTAAAAAAACAATTGCTCTTTATACCAGGAAATCTGAAATAAGGAAGAAATAAAGACATACTAGCACTGTGAAACCATGCAAATGTTTGCTAAGGGTTCTATCTATATATTCATCTATTTATCTTTCCATCTATTAATTTTCTTTGATTCAAAATCAGAATTTAAATAGAATGCTAATTTTCTCCTAACCTGATACCTGTTTTGTGGTTTACCTCAATATGCTCACAGTACAATCGTAAAGAAGGTACTCTAATCTTCAGTGCCAGAAAAAGGACAGAAAAAGACTCTGAGGCTGTGTCATATACCCTAGTGTTGGTATTTGTTTGAGAGTCATCATATTAAACCTGGCTTGATAAAGAGAATGTTCGTTTTCTTTTTCTACATTGCTCACATGAAAATTTCCAGTTATATTTGACTTATAGTTTTATACAGTTAAAATCAATAAGTAAAATCAAATAATATGCAATATTTCTTTTTTTCCTTTTTTTTTTTTTTTTTGAGACAGGGTCTCACTCTGTTGCCCACACTAGAGGGCAGTGGCGAGATCTCTGGTCACTGCAAGCTCCGCCTCCCGGGTTCACGCTATTCTCCTGCCTCAGCCTCCTGAGTAGCTGGGACTACAGGCGCCCACCACCACGCCCAGTTAATTTTTTGTATTTTTAGTAGAGACGGGGTTTCACTGTGTTAGCCAGGATGGTCCTGATCTCCTGACCTCGTAATCTGTCCGCCTCGGCCTCCCAAAGTGCTGGGATTACAGGCGTGAGCCACAACGCCTGGCTGCAATATTTCTTAATTTTAAAACCACACTTTAAAATTTGCCTGTACTATACCAAACCAAACCATACTAGAAAATGCACAGCGATGATATAATGCTCTATCAAAATTCTATATAGCTTTTATGATGGGCTTATTGGCTTCTTTGACATACTGGCTTATTACACATCTGAAATCATATCATTGCAACATTAGAGAGCAAATGTCGTAAGCCATTATCTTCCAGCTTTGCAATCTATGGCTGTTTCTAAATTTGTCACCACATTAACATTCCAGATGTTATCATTAGTACATGATTATAACAACAGCAACAAGAAACGGAGTTTATGGTGGTGGCATCAACTATTAAAATGCTCTTCTATATTTTCAGATTAATACATACAAAGTAGCATTAACAATTACTTTTTTAAAGAAATGGTGTCAGCATGGCCATGATGTCCATACGATAAGCCAGAAATATCACTTTCTTTCTCTGAAGTGGTATGTACTCATCACAGGCAATGTTTATTGCTAAAATAACTGAAAAAAATTGTCAAGGCAAAAGAATTCAGATAATTTCAAGCTCTGTTATATGTTTGGTAATTTTGTCTTTATTTGCTTAAAGCAAAATATACAAGCACTTAGAATTTTTCAGGAATAGTTATCTACTCCTTTTGTTTTTATTTACCTCACATTTTTGAATTTGTAATATAGTATCTATCAAAGAAACAAATTATAATTTAAAGATACCTTTCTTAACATCTGACTTGAGGAACTCTACCAGGGTCTTGTTTCACTCTTCATCTCATTTCTCTTTCTGTCTCTGTCTCTGCTCTTCTATTTTCTCTGTATGAATATGTATTGAATGAAGATTTCCCTTTTCCCCTTTTGAGATGAGCAAGAAGTAACAATTACAAAAAATTCCGTTTTATTTATTTAACTGCCTTGTCAAGAAATGAGAGAAGACTCCAAGTGGATCAACTTTTTTTTTTTTTTCATTTTAAACATGATGAACAAAAGCCATTTTGATTTATTATTTTCTTTCAAAGGACAGGTGACATTTCCTGCAACACTGACTTTAGTTCATAATCCTCTTTTGACAAGCCAAAGAAAATTACAATTGGAAGGATTTTCACAGTCAGACGCTCCACTAGAATGAAATGCCGTAGAGCACTTCATTTCAGCCAAACCAGCACAATCCTCCCATTGCCAATTTTTCTTTTATATTTTGAAGTTGGCCTCTCAGCACAGATTTGATTCACACCATTTAAAAATAAATCTGGCATCTGCAAAGCAGAAAATTCAGGCTGTGTTGTCACAGGATCAGTATTTCCATTTTTATGCTTGGAGACAACCTAAACTTAAAAAAAAAAAGCCACAGTTCCGAATTCTATGGCAATGGAAGGCTAATTTTATTTTAAATATACACATTTGTTATATTTACTAAAGAAAACAAATTACTACATTTATTACATGGCACATTCAACATTTTTATGAGTGATTCAATTGCATGAGAAATAGGTATTTGTGTTACAATGTGATACCCTATGGCAACCACTGATTTGGAGGTACATAGCTTAAACAGGAATTTGGATTCAATATCAATATGCCATTTTGTTCTCAATTTTTTAAAATGATTTCGTCATTCTCTGCTTAAAATCAACTAAGCAAATGGTGGTATTTTCCGGGCATCTGTGTGTGGCTTGACCCTAAAATGACCCTTGACAATCTCACTATTCTGCTCATGCTTCCTGCACACACAGGCCTCTCTGCCCATCAAGAGATGGGACTTATGTCTTCCCCTTTGAATCTAGGCTGGGCCTGTGACTGGTTGGACCAAGATGAAGCAGAGGAATTGCTGTTCTGGGATTTTGGAGCCCAGGCCTTAGAATGTGACAGCTTCTCCTTCCCTCATCTCAGAGCCTTTGGCCAGTAAGTAAGAAGTCCAAACTACCGTGTGTGTGTGTGTGTGTGTGTGTGTGTGTGTGTGTGTGTGCGTGCCCGCATGTGTGTGTGTGGTCCTGGAGGATAAGACAACACATAAAGAGCAAGGCCACAGTTGTCACAGCCAAGAGGAGCCCAAGGAGACATGACAACTAAATATGACATGGTATCCAGATGAGATCTTGGAACAGAAAAGGACATTTTGTAAAAACTAAAAAAAATAAAAAATAAAAAAAATAAAAAAAAACTGAAAAAAATCTGGACTTTAGTTAATAACAATGCATCAATATGGGCATATTAATTGTAACACTTGTACATCACTGATATAAGATGTTAGTAACAGAGAAAACTGGGTGTGGGGTATGTGTGAACCCTCTGTAGTATTGCCCAAGTTTTCTGTATGTCGAAAACTGTTCTTAAAAAGTAAGATTATTTAAAACAGCAACATAGAGTGAAGCCCCTGGGGAGGAACATGAGGGAGTTAGACCTGGAGCCACGGCAGCTTCAGCCCAATCTGATGGTAACTGCATGAGAAACTACACATGTGAGCAGCAGAAGAGGCACGCAGCTGAGCCCTGACAAGAGCTGATGAAACAGCTGTTTAAATCTCTCCATTTTGAAGTTGTGCTCTAATACATAAACATGCTACTTCAATTTGGTTATATCTACAACATATGCCTATTTTATGACATTTAACTTTAAAAAATAAATCACTAAGAAGTTCATTCTATTGAGAGAAATAGAGATGTCTGGAGAAGAGATTGCTTTCCAGGAAAGATGGTTGTTTAGTTTGAAATATGAACATATAGGTTCTGGGGGCAAAACTTGGGTTCATTTGTTTGGTTTATTTCCAACTAGCAGTGTGTACTAGGACAAGTTATCTCTCTTCTTACTACATAGGAGTTTTTTCTCCTCTATAAAATATTTTACAGTATTTATATTACAGAGTTATGATGATGACTAAAAGAGATAATGCATGTAGGCTGATAACATGATTTAAAACACAAGACTTACTGCTTAAATGTTACCTCTGAGCAGATGTGCTCAACATGCTACACTCCCAAGCTTTGTCTCTTCACCCCATCCATGAGGCTGCCCAGGAGAGGCCGTTTCTTCCATTGTGCAGTTAACTGCAGATGTAGGTCCAGTCCTTTTAGATGATGTCTGAGGAAATATTAAACTCTCAGTTATTGAGCAATTAGCATATGCCAAGTTTTTATGTATATCATCTCTTCATGACTACTATCCAAGATGGATATTTTTATAGCCTTTTATCCTATAAGGAAATCTGTGCTTTGCAGTAAGTTACCTGTCCAGGCTCAACAAGTAGCAGGTGGTAGAGCTGGTGTCCAAGCTCAGGTCGTCTGATTCCCAAGCCCATGTACTCACACACCATTCCTTATGTCCTCTGTCTGTATGACTTACTCTTTCTTTTTTATTAATTCATTAAATCCTATTCTACAATGTTCTATTTTACCTTGGCTTTATCTTATGTTATGCTAAAGGAAGCGCTTCATGTCTTTTTTAGGACACAAGCTTAGCACTTTACAAGCTGTCGTTTTGCTCATATGAAACCAGCTAGCTATTAACCAGTCTGATCTAGGTCAGAATTTTTTACTATTTTTTTTTCTGTGAAACTCCATCAGAAAGGAAGAGATGAAGATACATATAGGTGCTTAAATTGGGAAGGTCTAGAAGTAGAATACTCAAGTAGTGGGAGGAAATATTTTTATACTTAAAGAATGAAAAACTCTGTACAGCTAGATAAAGGTCAAGGAAAAAAACACCATTCTGCAGTGATTGAGTTGAAGAATAGAATTAGGTTATGATGAAGGGCATCAGATGATAATGACAGATATGAAAAGGAAAAAAATAAGATATGAGAAATACAATACGGTCTGCTAATATTGGCAATGTTCTCAAGAATTCAGCCACAGAGGAGAGAACCAATGTCACATAACTAACCTCTGATCATAATCTCTTAAGGGTAAATAAAGAAGGAACAGGAGCATTTCTATACAAATATTTCACAAAATAACATGTTTTTAAAAGCCTTAAAGTTGATTATCTGAACAAATACCCAGGATGCCCAAGCCCACCAGGTTAGGAGTTGTACTTCGTGAGTATTGGAAACGGCTTCCCTCCTGTAAAGTGGCCATTCCACTGCATTTTCGCTGCTCGGTAATTGCTGCAGGAACAACAATCGATGAGGAACGAGGAGACCAAGATAAGAGAAAACAATCCCTTATACAGGGGAAGATCCTAGTATAAAAGCTTTATAATGATATATGATAAAAGGAAGAGTTATATTACTCCCTTCTAATTAGATATTGAACAATGAATTTATAGTTTCTTAAAGCAAGATGCACATTCGGCCTTATGTGGCTGTTATTTATATACTTGTTTTATTTACTTTCCCAGATATATAAAAGCTTGGGGTTTGTGGTAGGCGGGATAATGCTTCTCCCAAAGAGGTTATGCCCCAGTTCCTGGGATCCGTGAATGTGTTATGTCACACAGTAAAAGGGACTTTGCAGATGGCCCTTTGCAGATGGTACCACCTTTCCGATGGGGAGAGGATCCTGGATTATCACAGGTGGGTCCACTGTAATCACATGAATTCTTAACAGCTAAGAACTTTGACTGGTGGGTCAGGGAGATTTGACATGGGAGAGACTCCATCCATCATTGCTGATTTTGAAGATAGAGGAAGAAGTCAGAAAGCCAGCAATGTGGCAGCCTCAGGAAGTTAATAATGACCCAGAGTTTACAGCCAGCAAGAACACAGGAATCTAAATCCTGCCACTGCAGATAAATTAATTCTGCCAACAACCTCAATGAGCAAGGAAACAGATTCTCTTGGCGAGGCTCCTGAAAGGAGCTCCAGCATATAGACCTTGACGTTAGCCTCGTGAGACCAGCAACAGACTTTTGAGATACAAACCTGTAAGATAATAAATTAGTGTTCTAAGCCTAGCCTACATTTGTGGTAATCTGTTTCAGCAGCAATAGGAAACTTATACAAGGATAATTATTACATCTCATCCATCCTACAGTTTTATAGAGGATAGCACAGTGCCTGTGTGTGCATAATAATAATCATTGCTAAAATTTATTGATCATTTATTCTGTTATTCTAAAAAACACAAAGGGGCATATCATTATTATCATCCTCATTTTACAGAAAAGGAATCTAGGCTTAGACAGAACTGACAGTGACCCTAAACATCTTCTATTTCCTTTTCCGATTTTCAGAGCTGTAGAAATAACTTGTGTGTGTTTATTACAGTAAACCTAATTTAAAGAGCCTTCACATAATGGTGCAGCTAACTCCCCATGTCTTTGTTAACTATATAGACATTAATGGTAACCAGGGGCTAGAAATGTTTTTCATCAATGTTAAATTTAAGCAATAATTGATACAATTTATTTTAAAAGCTAAAAGCATTGATGCGAGTACTTAAGACCAAGCTTAGTGAATCAATCAAATTTCATTATGTTCTTGCAGAAGCATCTTTTTATTACCAAAACCATTACCAATTCAATTAACATTTTACTTCAAACCAAAAAACAATATTCAATAGAATAATAATACTTATAAGCTCATACCCATCAAGTCTTGTGCTTCAAATCTCCCCATACTCAAAAAATGTTATATTGTCTAGGTAAACCATATGTGTGCAGGTTAATTACTTAGAAGAGAAGCTGCCAGATCTCTTTGAGTTGTTATCTACATGTCTATTAAAGATATGTCTTATAGATGTTATCTATATATCTATTAAATTATGTTTGTTACCTTCCTATTATTTTAAGGATACTTAGAATAGGAAGGTAACAAATACAATTTAATCCAGTGACCAGCTCTAATTTTCTTGTATGGAACAAGTAGAATTAGGTAAAGCAATGTAAGCATTGTGTTTCCTGTGATAATGATTATGAAAAGACCAAGAGGCCATCAACCTCTATCTACTGTGTAGCATTTACACTAATTTTCACATTGACTTCCCCACCAAATACAGTAGGCATCTTTAGGTATATTTTGTGTATGGAAATCCAGGCTTTGAAAGGTTGGGTATCGGCCAGGCATGGTGGCTCACGCCTCTAATCCCATCACTTTGGGAGGCTGAGGTGGGAGGATCACGAGGTCAGGAGTTGGAGACCAGCCTGACCAACATGCTGAAACCCTGTCTCTGCTAAAAATACAAAAAATAGCCAGGCATGGTGGCACATGCTTGTAATCCCAGCTACCCAGGAGGCTGAGGCAGGAGATTCACTTGAACCTGGGGGGCAGAGGTTGCAGTGAGCAGAGATTGAGCCACTGCACTCCAGACTGGGCAACAGAGGGAGACTCTGTCTCAAAAAAAGAATAAAAAAAAGAAAGATTGGGTATCTTGTACATAGACACAGATACAACCAATATCTAAATATGAAAGTGTCTAGAATTAGCAAGCTTCTCTGTTTATGCATATCAACTTTTCGTGGTTCCTCTTCATTCTAAAAATTCTATCCTGAAATTGCTTCAGGTCTTCATCAGGGCAAAAAATTTAATTAACCCAAATAGTAAATGTATAAATAATACTTTTTGTTACATGGAAATAAGTGGCATTGCTACGATACTTAGTAAATTTGTCCTTGAAAATGTTTCCATTGCTTTTGCTTTTAGCTGAGCTCTACATGTGCTAAAAAACACCTAATACTTTATTTCCAATATTTCCAAAGTAAGATAATAATAAATGTATGTGCTAAGATAAAATCAGGGCTATGTGTATGTGAATATAGGTACATACATATATGAAATATGTATGTCAATAATATTTATGAAAGATATATGAAAAAATATATATCTGAAATAAAGATATCTTTAGCCACTATATATGTATGTGTGTATGTGTGTGTGCATATATCTATCAGAGCTATATATTTCACATATGTACATATATATGAAAGATATAGGTGTTTGAGTTTCAACAGTTAAATTCTTAGTCAATGTACATTTATTTTCAAGTTTTATTTCTTCTTTACGATATAGCCCCTGAAATAATAGGGGGGAAATAAATAAATATATATATATATATATATATATATATATATATATATATATATATATAGTTGTCCTAAAATGTTTTCCCTGAGAAAACTGTTTAATATTTTTATTGTCTTATAATCCAGGATCTCCACTGATTAATCATTTAATGTTTATTACATTACATATATTCATTCATTTTTTTCATTAATTTATATAAGTGTTACTTCCAAAGGTTTCTTTTTGTAAAACAGATTTTTGTAGAGTGTTAGTGTACTACTACAGCAAGAATAGCCACATAGGAACCAATGCATATTTATTAAAACTGTATTCAACTCTACCTCTCAATTCCATGATTTGACTTGAGGAAATAACCAGTATCTTTAACACATACGTAAATCTGGATTTCAAGACACCAGACATAATTTTAGTTCTAAATGATTAAGATTTTGAAGCATTCTTTATACTTCTGTCTATAAAAAACTAAAATCATATTTAAGTAAAATTTTAATAGGCACAATATGTAGATGATCCTATAATTTGTATAGTTATAAAAATTATTTTGTAAGTTTTAATAAAATAAATGCAGCCAGTTATATTTAATAACTTAGATATTTAAAGTAGAGTAAAAATATTTTACCCAACATTTTAACACAAATAAATTTTAAATTACATGACTTCTACACATTTATAGTGCAGTAAAAAAAAGAGCAATCCTTATTATTTATTCATTCATTCCAAAAATCGCTATTGACCACTAAATCTAGCTTATCGGATATACATGCAAAGATAAGAAAACTTACTCGAGATGGGCTGGCAAGGTGGCCAAATAGGAACCGCTTCAGTCTGCAGTTCCCAGCGAGATCAATGCAGAAGGTGGGTGATTTCTGCATTTCCAACTGAGGTACCTGGCTCATCTCACTGAGACTGGTTAGACAGTGCGTGCAGCACATGGAGGGCAAGCCAAAGCAGGGTGGGGTGTTGCCTCATCCAGGAAGCGCAAGGGGTCAGAGAAGTCCCTCCGCCAGCCAAGGGAAGCCATGAGGGACTGTGCCCTGAGGGACGGTGCATTCGGCCCAGATACTACGCTTTTCCCACGGTCTTTGCAACCGGCAGACCAGGATATTCCCTGGGGTGCCTACACCACCAGGGCCCTGGGTTTCAAGCACAAAACTGGGCAGCCGTTTGGGCAGACACCCAGCTGGCTGCAGGAGTTTTTCTTCATACCCCAGTGGCACCTGGAACACCAGTGAGACAGAACCGTTCGCTCCCCTAAAAAGGTAGCTGAAGCCAGGGAGCCAAGTGGTCTAGCTCAGCGGATCCCACCCCCATGGAGGCCAGCAAGCCAAAATCCACTGGCTTGAAATTCTCGCTGCCAACACAGCAGTCTGAAGTCGATCTGGGACGCTCGAGCTTGGTGGGGGGCGGGGTGTCCACCATTACTGAGGCTTGAGTAGTTGGTTTTCCCTTCACAGTGAAATCAAAGCCACCAGGAAGTTCAGACTGGGCAGAGCCCACCGCAGCTCAGCAAAGCTGCTGTAGCCAGACTGCCTCTCTAGATTCCTTCTCTCTGGGCGGGGCATCTCTGAAAGAAAAGCAGCAGCACGATTCAGGGGCTTATAGATAAAACTCCCATCTCCCTGAGATACAGCACCTGGGGGAAGGGACGGCTGTGGGCGCAGCTTCACCAAACTTAAATGTTCCTGCCTGCTGCCTCTGAAGAGAGCAGTGGATCTCCCAGCACAGCTCTTGAGCTCTGCTAAGGGACTCACTGCCTCCTCAAGTGGGTCCCTGACCCCCGTGCCTCCTAACTGGGAGACACCCCCCAGCAGGGATCGACAGACACCTTATATAGTAGAGCTCCAGCTGGCATCTGGCAGGTGCCCCTCTGGGACGAAGCTTCCAGAGGAAGGAACAGGCAGCGATCTTTGCTATTCTGCAGCCGCCAGTGGTGACACCCAGGCAAACAGGGTCTGGAGTGGACCTCCAGCACATTCCAGCTGACCTGCAGCAGATGGCCTGACTGTTAGAAGGAAAACTAACAAACAGAAAGGAATAGCATCAACATCAACGAAAAGGGCGTCCACACAGAAACCCCAACTGTATGTCACCAACATCAAAGACCAAAGGCAGATAAATCCGTGAAGATAAGGAAAAACCAGAGCAAAAAGGCTGAAAATTCCAAAAACCAGAACACCTCTTCTCCTCCAAAAGATCATAGCTCCTCGCCAGCAAGGCCACAAAACTGAATGGAGAATGACTTTGACAAATTGACAGATGTAGGCTTCAGAAGATGCATGATAACAAACTCCTCTGAGCTAAAGGAGCGTGTTCTAACCCAAGGCAAGGAAGCTAAGAACATGGAAAAAGTTTAGACAAATTGCTAACTAGAAAAACCAGTTTAGAGAAGAACATAAATGACCTGATGGAGCTGAGAAACACAGCACAAGAGCTTTGTGAAGCATACACAAGTATCAATAGCTGAATTGATCAAGCAGAAGAAAGGATATCAGAGATTGAAGATCAACTTAATGAAATAATGTGTGAAGGCAACATTAGAGAAAAAAGAATGACAAGAAATGAACAAAGCCTCCGAGAAATATGGGACTATGTGAAAAGACCAAACCTATGTTTGTACCTGAAAGTGATGGGGAGAATGGAACCAAGTTGGAAAATACTCTTCAGGGTATTATCCAGGAGAACATCCCCAACCTAGCAAGGCAGGCCAACATTCAAATTCAGGACATACAGAGAACACCACAAAGATACTCCTTGAGAAGAGCAACCCCAAGACACATAATTGTCAGATTCACCAAGGTTGAAATGAAGGAAAAAATGTTAAGGGCAGCCAGAGAGAAAGGTCGGGTTACCCACAAAGGGAAGCCCATCAGACTTACAGCAGAGCTCACTGCAGAAACCCTACAAGCCAGAAGAGAGTGGGGGCCAATATTCAACATTATTAAAGAAAAGAATTTTCAACCCAGAATTTCATATCCAACCAAACTAAGCTTCATACGTGAAGGAGAAATGGAATCCTTTACAGACAGCAAATGCTGAAATATTTTGTCACCACCAGGCCTGCCTTACAAGAGCTCCTGAAAGAAGCACTAAATATGGAAAGGAAAAACCAGTACCAGCCATGGCAAAAACATACCAAATTGTATAGACCATTGACACTATGAAGAAACTCCACAAACTAATGGGCAAAATAACCAGCTAGCATCATAATGACAGGATCAAATTCACACATAACAATATTAACCTTAAATATAAATGGGCTAAATGCCCCAACTAAAAGACACAGGCTGGCAAATTGGATAAAGAGTCAAGACCCATTGGTGTAGACCCATTGGTGTGCTGTATTCAGGAGACCCATCTCACATGCAAGGACAAACATAAGCTCAAAATAAAGGGATGGAGAAATATTTACCAAGCAAATGGAAAGCAAAAAAAGAGGAGGAGTTGCAATCCTA